>NC_000007.14:110631779-111256779 GCF_000001405.40 Homo sapiens
AATTTCAAAGCAGAAAATCAAATCTAGTTTCTGTATTAATTATGGGAATTATCCAATTCCTTCCTAAGCATTGACAAGGCCTGAAATATACTAAACCTCTGGATGAACTCCTATCAACTTTGATTGTAATGAAAGGCTATGGTTTTCCCCTGGTAGCTAATTAGTTTTATTCAAATAGCCACCTTTCGTTCACGAAACTAAAAAAGAAAGAAATGTGTTTGAACCTATGTAAGCGCAGGGTAAGGGCTTCCTGTAAAGACATTATTTTCTGGGTTCTTTTAATGGAATATTAGATGAAGAGATAGAAGCATATCCCTCTGAAAGTTTATTTCTTCCATCTCTTTAAAAATGTTTTGAATCTAAATTCTGACATGAACTAGATTCACTGAATTATACTCCATTCTTATTTGTCAGTTTCCATTTTCCTTTTTTAGAATATGATTATTCAATAAAACTAATATGTATACCTAGAAACTAAAAGAAACTGCCAGGGTGGTCAGCAGTGTGTTCAGCATCTGTCATGTATCCCAAGACATGGAATCTCATTGCTTTTTCCCCTGACATCTCTTTACACTGAGCACCTATTTATCTCTCTTTCAAAAGAATTCATATGTGTGTATGTATATAGATATACACACACATATATATGTATATACACACACATATATACATACACACATATGAACACTGATTCTTCTGCAGACACAGCAGTTGAATGGATAAGATAAATAAAACTGTGTGGAAACTATCTGCCTTCACAAGGGTGTCTGAATGCAAAAAACCCACCCACTTCTGGCCATTGTTTTGCCAACAGCCACCATTCATATGCCATTGCTTTTCACAGCAGAAACTTGAACACCAACACTTCCCCCAGTGGCTTTAAAATGGCTAAGAATCATTTTAAAGGACTAGAAGGAAACTTGAAATATAATCAGATCCAACCTTCTTGAATCATGCTTAAACCATAGCAGATAAGAAGTTATTCTTTGACAGAGACTGGCAAAGAAATAGGGCACAGCCTCCACTAGCAAATCATTCTCATTTGTGATAACACAAATGCTCAAGAAATTCTCCTCTGTAACTCTTTCCAAACCTTCATACCTTAATGTCAACTCAAGTTCCACTCGGGACTTAAGTGTAGAATAAAAACAACCAGACGCTGCTCAAACTGTTAACAAATTCCCTATTGGCCAGTGACTTTTTCTCCTATAAATAATAAGTGTTCCTCTTTAAAGGGGCGACTTTGCCTCATCTTCTGGACAGTTCTAAAAATACTGGAATATTTTGTAGGCTCTTATCTGTCAGACATTTGGCATTGGATCTTTCTCCCCTACTCCTGGCTTTTATTAAAGTCAGCATCCCTGTAGCTTCCTCTCATCTCATTGATAAATCTGGTTATTCTTGTATCTCTCCTCATGTGGGCATTTGAGAATGGTTGAAGACAGTAGTCTCCTTATCCTAACTTCCCTGCGTTTCCTTTCACAGAGCAGGAGCTGAAACATCTCAAACAGAAGCATATAGAACATTTTTAAGGAAGTGAATATGCATTCCACATAGTTATATTTTTCCCAGTCGGAAGAGAAGAAGTGTCCACTTTGTCCTAAGGAAGAGAGAAAACAGCAGCTTTCCAAAAGTTATTCCAACCACCAACTTCTGGCCACTGTAGCTGTTACCAATATGTAAATCCATCACGTTTCTTGGACAGCTGAGGTTGGCTTTAGCCACCTCCATTGTTTAAGGTTTTCCTCTTTCAGTTTCTTTCTGAAAGAGTTTGTCTCACAATAGTCTGCCTCTGACTTGTTAACTAGTAATAGTCTACTATAGAGTTTGTATTGGCTGCCTATTCAACAGCCATTTACTCTCTATTACAAAGCAATTTACTCCCTCTTTGCTACCACAATTTGCACAACTGTTTAGATTCCTGGAGGCCCATTTTATAGGCCTGTCCCCAGACACAGTAGATGAATGCTCATTGTGGTTTTATCATAGCTCTTCTTCTAGTCTCCCTGCCAATGAATGACTGGTCTAGCATGGGTATGTGACACGTCTTTCACCAATGAAACAGAAGGGGAAGAGTTCTGTGGGGACTCAGGGATAGATTTCCATCCAAGGTTTAATGAGAGAGAGATTCATATACTGAATGTGCCCTTCTGCTCCTTGGTGGAATTATATACTGGTGTCATCTCGAGATGACACGCACCAAATTTAACATGCTAGTTGTATTAGGGTTCTCTAGATGGACAGCAATAATGGAATATATATATATATATATATATATATATATATATATATATATATATATATATATATATAAAGGGGAGTTTAATAAGTATTAACTCACATGATCACAAGGTCCCACAATAGGCCACCTGCAGGCTGACGAGCAAGGAGAGCCAGTGTGAGTTCCAAAATTGAAGAGAACTTGGAGTTCGATGTTCGAGAGCAGGAAGCATCCAGCACAGGAGAAAGATGCAGGCTGGAAGGCTAGGCCCATCTCTCTTTTCACATTTTTCACATTTTTCTAGCCATGCTGGCAGCTGATCAGATGGTGCCCACCCAGATTAAGGGTGGATCTGCCTTTCCCAGCCCACTGACTCAAATGTTAATCTCTTTTGGCAACACCCTCACAGGCACACCCAGGGTCAATACTTTGTATCCTTCAATCTAATCAAGTTGACAGTATTAATCATCACACTAGTGGTCACAGAGTAGAAAAATGGAAAGAAAACAAATCCTTGATGGCATCATTGCATTGCTGAATTAACTGATCCCTGAAATACCTCTAGATTTCTTATTATGTAGGATAATAAATTGCTTTTTATTTAAAACACTTTCAGTATGACTTTCCTTTACTTGCAGCTTAAATCTCTCTAATTAATACGAAGGCATTTGCTTTTAAAAAATACAAGTTAAATTCAAACCGAACAGAAATAATACTGTGGCTGTACTTCTAGAATGTGATTTAAAGGAACATTTCTAGAGCACCTACGATGCTCCAGGTATACAGCTACCCTCCCACTTTCCATCTTCGCAAGAGCCCTCTGACACCAGGTATTTAATGTACAAGAAAACTGAGCAACAAAGTGATTGAGTAACTTGCTCAAAACAACACAGCTTGGAAATGGAGGCACTGGGAACCCAAGGCTGCCTGACTCAGAGCCTGACCTTCTCTCGTAAACCATTTGCTTCCAAATAAACCAAAAGTTTTCTTGATGGGTATAAAATGGCCAAAATAGTACTGCAAACCTGTTTTCCACAGGCCAATATTTTAACAAAGACCAAACAAGTGTCTGCCAGAGGCATGCAGAGCCCCTGAATGTTGCTCAGTCTCTCCTGGCAGTCCGTATCCAGCTCATTCTTGTCTTCTAGAAGTTTGCAATAAAAGCAGGACTGCTTCTCATAAGTCAGCCCCATAACTACCATCCTACCTATGTGCCCACAGCTGCCTGCCACTCACAAACACTCTCTTCCTGAGCTTCAGGCTACCACTGGTGTGCAGCTTCCAAGGAATTATCATGACTGTTGTTGAGAACCCCTGGATCCCACACGGAAGCCACTGAGCCAGGCCAATATTTTTGAGAATACATATTTTCTTGGCTCCCAACAGTCACAGGATCCCTGCCTGAAGTTTAAAAAAAAAAGTCTAAACAATTTTTTAGACAAAAGGATATATTTTGTCTGAAAAAATAAAGGCAAAGGATACATTTCCTGGGAGTAGAAAAACAAAATTCCAGTGGAAGATAATGTTCAAATTCAATTCAAATTCTGTCTGACAAGGTTTGAATTATAACAAAGACTTTACTACTTCTCAGCTGCCATCTTTTAATTAGAATTGTGCTCTCAAAAGATATGTACGTGGTCCTCCATTTAGAAGACTGGAATAATATTTTGACACACTTGCAAAAATCATGTGGATAGACAGTACCAGGAAGGGGGTTAATTTTAATTATCTATCAACTGCAAATTACTATAATATAGGATACATGTTTCTACCTCCATTATGTATTTTTAGAAATTCATTATTATTAACTGCTGGACAGAAGGACTTCTGAAATGCTGAGCAATGGGCTCTATATAAAACTTCTCATTGCAAATTCATAGCCCTGAGGGAGTGTTGGTGTTGGTATTGTTGTTTTTACTGCAGAGTGAAGAATCTGAGTTGTAGGTAAGTTTTGTAACTTACTGGTTATGGGCCTCTAACCCCTAATGTGATGGTATTTAGAGGTGAGCCTTTAGGAGGTAATTAGGTTTAGATGAGGTTAATATGAGGGTGGGTCCCTTATGATGGGATTAGTGCCCTTCTAAGGGGAAGACAGAGAGCACACAGCAGAAGTCCACTGCTGTCTGCAAGCCAGGAAGCAGGCCCTCACCAGGGCCTGTGCTAGCAACTTGATCTTGGACTTCCCAGCCTCCAGAACTACTTGTTGTTTAAGCCACCCAGTCTATGTTATTTTATTATAGCATCCTGAGCCAAGACATTGCTCAACTTTTTCCAGAACTTAATTAGTAGCCAGGCTCTTTAACAGAAAATATACACCAGTTCAAAAGTACCACACTGCTTTATGTTCCACATACCATATTGGTTAACCATAATGCACTAGGCAATGGCATCCGAAGGTCATTGGCCTATCTTGAGATATCTTTATAGATTAGGAAATAAAAGTTTAAAAATAAGGGCTGAAAAACTGTGCTGTTGGTAGAGACTTAGATAATCAAATAGCCTTAACCAAAGTTTCTGATCAGTTCACCTGATAAGTCTCTTGACTTATTTTTCTGTCTACTAAACTATAAGGCATTTGAGGGTAGGACCCATCTAATGTAATAACATATGCCAGTTATTTAATATTTAGTGGCTGCAAAGTGTTGTTCTAAGTGATTTGCATGTATAAAGTCATTTAATCCTGACAACTCCATTAGATTTTTAATTGAAAATTAGACTATCAATTAATTGTTACCATTATTATTCTTGTTTGATAGATGGAGAAACTGCAACAGAAATATTAAATAATGGCTAGAGGAACTAGTAAGAGACAGGGCTGGGGATGAATGAAAGTAGCCCGGCCCCAGAGCTCCATCTCAATCCTCTGTCTCATTCACTGCTAAATCCCTAGTGCTCAGCCCAGAGCCCAAGAGTTGGCTTCACTAAGTGTGCATTGAATGCATACCTAATAGCCATTATTATTAGATGAATGCCAAAATCAGTCACATAACCTTACTATGCATTAAAACAAGAAAGTATTCAGGAAATGGGGCTGAAATCTTGTCATTTAGGAACAGAGGAGGGAACTGGTAGAGGAGTGAAGGTTCGCTGGGGGTGGACTGGCTGCAATGCAGGAGGAAATAGCATCACTGCATTTTGACGTTATTTCTTGTAAGACTGATCTACCAGTATGACCACTAGCATTTTATGATTTTTAAGTGTCAGAATTTATTTTTGTAAAAATCAGAGAATCCATGTTCTTAAGGCATTTCAAATATGAAATGTATGAACTCTGTCAGACATCCCTCTGGCCTCCACTGGCTCCTGTGACTTTGGTACCCAGTTCCCACGGGCTTCTAAGCTACAGGCTCCAATGCAGCTGGTCCCATGGGACGCCAGCCCCTTCCTGCCAAGCATAGCTCCATCAAAGGAGCCTTTAGAGCCACTGCCTCTGGGAAGCTCCTCTGCTCTCACTGGGGCTGGCGGCCCTAAGACACAGCAGTTTTGATGTCTCGCCCTCACATGGAAGGTGGCTAACACTTGGCCCGATGCCCACTTGTCCCCATGACATATCCACCAGCCTCAGAGGAGCTACCTGTCAGGCCCAAGCTCTTGTTTGTTTGCAGAGAAGGTGCAATTGGGGACAAGAAAAGGTGGGAGCTGTAGGAGTAGAAAGGTCTGGGACAGTGGATGGTAAGAGCAGTAGGCAGGGAAGGAAAAGGGGGAAGGATTTGAGAGACCAAATGAGATTAAATGAAGCCACCAACCTAAGTCAGATATAAGGAATTACAGTCATAAAAGTATCATATGTGATAATTTAAAAAACCCACAATGTATAGGAATATACAGGAAACTTGCTACTAAAGGAAAGAACTTGAACTACACGTAAAAAAAAAATTGTCAACACCTCTTAGAAAAAAAAATAGATCACATTTCTTTATTTCAGAAGGCAGAAGAAATTGCAGAGAGAAAAATTTTAGATCAATGTAAGGAAAGTTGTCAAACAAATAATCCTATCTTAAATTTAATGGGCTGTCTATATGACAACACATTTTCCATCACTTGGGCATTTAAACAAAGCTTAGATAATTACTTCTCAGGGATGATATATATTGATAAAGACCTTCTAAATTCCTTAAATCAAATGTCCAGTATTCTTCCCCTCAATTGCAATAACTGCAAAGACGACCTTTCTGCAATCCCTCATAGCAAGAGAATTTTAAGTAGAAGGACTAAAAACCTTTATAAGATAAATAATGTTAGAAGAACTAAGGGCATAAAAGGGAATCTTAAAATATTTTAAATATCAGCAAAAACTGAGACAATAAAAACCCACAAACAAAGCAAATAAAGATGTTATCTTTAATTTTTATATAACTTAAATAGTAAGAATGGGTTCTGAGATGAAATTTTCAGACCATCCATTCCTCAGGATCTCCCTTTTTATTCATTGTCAAAGACATGCTTAAAATCAATTGTGCTCTGTTTGAGGAAAGCATTGCATTGTGAGAGGCATTTTCCCTCACCTTACCCTCTCCCATCTTTTCTTCCCTCCAAGAGGTCAATGCCTTTTGGATTTTATGAATCAGAGTTATGAGCTTGGACTCCCAAGTCCAACTCTACCGCATGGCTGCAGGATGACGAAGACTTCAAATAACATGCTACTGTTGCCTTATTCAGCATATCTGCTCTAGCAGCAAATGAGTGTTTTCAAATCTCTAAACACAGGATATTCACCAGGAGATTCTAGAATGTGGCAGGATACTTGGACTTGGCTCCCCAGCCTGTTTTTGAGGACTCCTTCCTGACTTCTGCTCCTCTCACTATACAGGAAGGCCATTCTGAGACCCAAATTACTCACCTTCTGCCTTCCTTTTCCTCTCTGAAAACCACTGCAATAAACCTCTACTCCTAGTTTTCCATGTGCTCAATCCCCATTTTCTTCTCCCAAATCCCCAATCCTCCCCTTTCTATTATTTCCCATAGTGGACAGTTAATATTTGCTTATCCTTAGAACAAAATTCTCTTGATTGCTAAATAGGTATAGAAAAGTAAATTTGACTATGCTAGACTTTTGTTTCAGGGAAATTCATGGTCAGAAAGAAGTCATATACTATATGCACTTTCCCAAAGAGACACATTTCAATTACGTTCTTCATTTTGGTAAAAATGTAATGATCATTCACTACAAATTATAATTAACTCTTTAGAACAGGAGAATTTCTTCTCTTTAAAAGAAAAGCTTTAATATGAACTTTTAAATAATAGCACACAGTTATTTCTATAAATTGATTAAGAATAAGTGACCAATAGAAAAAATACATACTCATGAGCTGGACCCAAGTTTAAAGGTTATATTTAATGAAGGTAAGGGGGCAAGAGAGGGACAAGATTTTTTGAGGAAAACAAATCTTTCCTTTCAGTTTCATGTTAAAAAATTACCATCAGAATTGTTTGTTATTATTACTTAATAAACTTTAAAAATGCATGTATATGTTCATTATTACAAGGGCAGGGAGGGATATGTAAACACACAGGGGCAAAGAGAGAGACACATGGAGGACAGGGAGGTGTGCAGGACAGGATAGTGCCATGCTCTGGGGTTAAAGAGAATAAAGGAGTGAGGAAGGAGGTTGAAAAAGAGGAAGAACTACATTTCTGAGAAAAGCAAGACAGCTGTGCCAATGAAAAAAAGAATAGCATGAGGGAACAAGAAGATCAACATCTTCTACTGGCCATAATGACATAAAAAACAAATGATTACCAGCTGTTATGAGTGATTCCTTCAGACAGGTTGACAAAGTGGTAGCTCATTCACCAATTTGGCATCATAAGGGTGTTTATATTTTTTAACTGGATTTGAATACTGTTAGATTCTGCATTTCTTCCCCAGTTTACCACTAGCCTAAGCACATCTTAGCATCTAAAATTTTAGGAGGAATTTAAAAAAGGGTATTGGATTTCTCCTAGAATAGAGGTCTCAGGTTCGAATCTTGATATTACAGGGCAGAGACCACAGCCCTAGTTACTCCTTCTCCAGGCTTCTGCTTGTGTCAATCAATCCCCAAATCACCACCCTCCCTGTAGTTTGCCAAGGCAGCTTGCCTCAAATTCTTGTTTTAGGAAATTTCAGTTTCTAAGGATCTTGCTCTCCTGAAGCAATCCCTATCTTTCTTTTCAACTCCTGTCTGCAGAGTCTCTGCCTCCTAGGAGCCCCACTGCTAGATAAACAAATGGTTAAAAACAAAAGTCTTAATGTCCTTTCCAATTTTGAGTGACCTGCCAAAATTCTCCCTTCTAGATCTTTTCCTCATCCTGTCTTGAGTCTAGCCTACTCAAAGGCCCACAAGTGCCCCATACTCCATGCTCATAAAGTCTGGAGTCTACACTCAAAATCAGCATCACTATCTAGAACTTAATCCCAAGCTCTGCCCTCCCCCTATGGAAAGTACTGTGTTTCCCTGCCTCTGAATGGAGAGACTCCTCTGTTAAGTATTTCCATCATTGTCTTAGCTCCAGAACTCTCCTCAGATGAGCAGAAAATTGATTTTATTAATTTTAATATAAGGGGTAAGAAGACTTCGTAGCGTTGCCTGCTCAGTTGAGTAGGCATGGCACAGGGAGTAAACAGTCTTGGAACACAACTCATCTCCTTGTTGTGTCAGCTCAGAAAATGAAAAGCCTAATTCCTTCTCTGAACCCCTCAGGCTGGGTATGTTTAGGAAGTAAAAAATATTTTTTAGAATCTAAAATCTCAAAATAGAGTAGTATGAAGCTTATAGTACATATTACAGAATCCCCCTCTCACCTCCAGGGGATCAAAAGCAGTATTCTAGAAGTGCACTAAGGTGCTATCACGAAACATATAAGATTCACACTAAGTTGAAGAAATAAAGTCTCTAAATAGTCTTCTATCAATTCAAGCCAGGTTTTGCCCTCAAATGAGTTCAGGTCAGGCCGGGAGAGCTTTACTGCCAAATAGGCAGGTAAAAAAATCAATCAACCAACCAACCAAGCAAACAAATAAGAAACCTCTCAATTTTCAGGACATGTTGGATTTCAGAACTGTGGATAAGACATTGAGAACCAGCAGCATAAAGAGGGTAATATACAGAGAGGCAGGAAAAGGTTCTTACAAAAAATAAGAGAAGCAAACAGAAACAAAGCTAGCAAAGTTGCCGGTTGCATGAAGAATGAACGACTGAATGATCATCATCCACGTGAAAGAGGAAAGTGCAGTAAGGCAAGAAGGAGGGCATCACACATAGTGGGGCTGTTTCATCCACACACGGGCAGGTATTATGTCAGGCAGGAAGGACACGGATGCAGAGGCCCTGGAGACTGAAGAGCGGCCTAGGGCCCCAGAGTGCTGGAGGAGAGGGTGGGGGCGGTTGGCGGTGGGGAAATTTAAGCCCTGCGTCAAGGCCAGGCAACTGGAGCCAAGAGGAAGCTGGTCCAGAAACTCTCCCACCACTTCCACAACCAGGAAAAAGAAAAGGGACAATTTTAAAACTGTAATCTTAGTGACAGGAGAAATTTCAGTATCCCTATTTGATCTGTTAACTTAGACGCCCTTATATGCTAGTAAACATCTATCTTTGCGTCTATAAAATCTATTTATCTCACTGTCAGGTTTTTCATAGTCATCTTTATTACTTTTATTCCGAATGCACACAGGAGGTATTTATTCTGGGTCAGAGACAGGTTTCTTATTACCTCACAGTAAATACTAACTGCATTGCCTGCCTTTTTCCCCAGTCTTTACCCCTGGAACCAGGCAATGAGAGCCAGGTCAATTGCCCTTCATGAGTAGCTGGATGCTCCATAGGTAAGGGATGAGGACAAATGATTTTTCTCTGCTTATAAAGGGAAAGACGTCTCAGGAAGCTAGGGCTTTTTACAAAAGCACCAGGAGACCCAGGGAAGTTTTCTTTTCCCACACTTAACATGGTTGTAGTGAGCATTAAATGAGAATTATGGAAGATATTAACGCAAAGTCTGGTGCATTTTATTCTATATGATATTCTAATTAATCTTGTAGTAAGGGTAAGTAGAAAAAATATTGTCTGTCTTGTATAACAGGTATTCCAGGAAAGTCAAGACAATGATGTAATATTCTTGGAGGCTATCTTGAAGACTTAAAAAGATAGTGCCCTGACCTAGATGTTACACTGTATTTCTCTAAGAAATTATGTACAAGTTAATGAGACACATTGGGCTAGAGGTGCCCTATCTCTGACTTAACATGTTGAAGCTGCCATAGTGCATTTCACTTGCTCCGTGAGGTTAAATCACAAGGGTGCTCTTGGTGATCTGAATGTGGTTAATGCAACTGCAAATGTAAGAAATTGGGTCATTTCTATTAAGACCAATCTAAACATTACATCTAAATAGAGTTTGTTTTATTTTTGGTAATTAGATCTAAGGAAAACATGCAACTCTAAGATAAATATCTTTTAAGAAAAAAAAAGTTATAGAATGACAGAAAGACAAAGCACTTTTACATTACTGTTTCTGCTAATTAGTATATACTTATTATATAGCAGAATATTTAATTGAGTCTAATAGAAATGCTGGAAGTGCTAATTGCTTTGCCATTATATTGCTTTACATATTTCCAGTGGTTTCTGATGAAAATATAATACCATAAAGAAAAGCATATTTATTATTCATTTTATGAGTGGGTTATTAAAAATAAAAATTTTCCTTGGGAACTTGGAGAAATGCAGCTATGTATAGAATGCAAGTTATAAAAGGATCTTCAAAAATGGATTGATGTTGGTTTACTGCTTCTCTTGTTCTTCCACTTTCCAAGCTGCAGGGGCGAAGAAAGCAGCAGTGCACCGAGTCAGGCCAGTGAGGTCGAGTGTGGCTCTGCTTCAGCCATCCTATGGCCTCGGGCCTCAGTTTCTCTAACACTAAGCCATATCACACACCTTTGGGCAGCATGATAGAAGATTATTCAGAGAAAAAATTATGAAGATATCTATCTTATTAATCTTTGTAACCCCAGTTGATGGTGCAGAGTTGGTTTCCAGTATACATTTGCTTAGTAAATGAAAAAGGAATAAAGGAAGGAAGGAAGGAAGGAAAGAAAGAGGGATAGAGGGAAGAAAGGAAGGAAGGAGGCTGTATCTGTGTGACAAAGAGCCCTATGGGAATATAGGTAACTTTAATGTTTGTCTGACTTCTTTTAATGTTTGTCTGACTTCTGTGTCTTTCATGCTTTGGTCCATCTAAATCAATTGGCCCACCACCTGTTTTTGTAAATAAGGCTTTATTCAAACACAGCCACATCTATTCAGTTATGTACTGTATATGGCTGCTTTCATGCTATAACCAGAGCTCCAAGAGTTCAGTAGCTGTGAAAGAGATCGTACAGCCACCAAACTTAAAATATTTATTATCTAGCCCTCTACCAAAAAAAAAAAAATGTTTGCCAACTCCCTATCTAAATATTCCACATAGATCTGGCCTGCCCTAAAGGATGCATTTAAGGAATGATTTATAATAACAGAAGACTTCACCACTAATTTGGATACAGAGCTTTGGCATAATGAAGGGCACTCCTCGAAAGGCAGCTGCATAGGGAGACTTTTGAAACTGCTACCAACCTTTAAAAACCCAGTCCCTGAAAATTCTGAAAATGTGAGCCTTTGAAAAGAGCCAGGGTATGTTGTGCAGAGCAGAAATGTCCTAACCATTGCTGTCGAACAGTTAATGCTAACTCACAACACATTTTTCCAAAAAGTTAATGTGATTATACATCTGTATTAACTCAGAAGAGGTGCAAATTTCCACCTATACTCCCAGCATAATTATAAAGAGTGCCCCTTTTCATGATGAAATGTCCTGATTTAGAGAATCTATTATATGGCCATGATTTGCATAATTGATCCTAAATTTATTGTGTTTGCTTTTGTCAGACCAGACTCTTCTTTTTTTGTCAGTTTTAGAGTTTCTTGCTGAGCCTCAGGGTATTTGATTCATCTTTGTTGTTTTTAATCATGATTTTTGTTTTATATTCTGAAGCAGCCTTTGCTAAAAGACCACAGCTTTTGAATTTTGACTCTGTTTTTGGGAAAATTACCTCACAAAGATTTGTATCTGAATGTTCTCCATGTATGACTTTCTCCCAATGAAGATAAAAATAGAATTCTCTTGAAAATACAGTCTAACTTCTAGGCTGAAATATTTCTTCCTCATTTTGTATAAGAGCATTGACCTCTGTGGAATTAAAATCATTTAACTTCCCTTCCCTTATGGCTGTGTTTAAGAATCATCTCCAAGTATTCTTTGAAGCCATATCTGAGAATCAGTGATCATTAAGATGCTCAAAATGTCTCCCCTGAAAATGGAAGCTTGAGTCATAGGAGGACCAATCCACGCCCGATACATCGCCTTTGCTAACCTTCATGGGAAAGTGGTTGAAACCTATTACCAGGTGTGTTAGTCAGCTCCACATAGACTATTAAAAAAAATTAATGACTGTGGATAGAGTTTAACCTGAAGTTAATTTTACAACTTATATAGGCTGACAGATTGTCTGTCAAAACTGTTTTAAGCATCCTAGTGGCCATGAAAACTTTCTCTTGTCCCTAGGAAATATTTTGGTCAGCATTGGTCTGTGCTGCCTAGTACCAAGAACCACTAGCCACTACTACTTAAATTTTAATTAATTAAAATTAAGGAAAATCAAACATTTAGTTCCTCAGTTGCACCAGCCACATTTTAAGTGCTCAGTGACCACACAAGGTTAGTGATTACAGTATTGAACAGTGAGGATATAGAACATCTCCGTACAGCATAAAGTTCTATTGTTCAGCACTGGATAGATGGATGGAGAGAGATGATTAGGCTAGGTCAGTTAACATATCTATAACAATACATTATCTTTCTTCTAATTAGCAAATGTTATGCTGTAAAGCAGAAGTATTAAACCGTTATTGTATTTGAATTCAATTTATTTGTTAAGCAACTGTCATATGATAGGCCATGTGTTGTTTGTTGTGAAGAATTAAAGAAAAATGTTGCCATTGAGGATACCCAACCTGAAGAACTGGCTGTGGACAAGCTATGTTTTGGTTGGTGGGATGAGTATGAACAGCCAAGCATAAAAAGAACAGCACAACCACGTGCAGAATATCAGAGAGTATAAACCATATCCAATCAGACACACTGCTGGGAGATACCTTAAAAAACAAAATATTTATTCATTCATGCTTCTGCAACAAGCCTGTGAGGAGCAAAGCGTCTCTCAGAGTCTCTCAGTTTCATAGGATGTGGTCAGTGTCTTACCAATCAGTAGTGGTGTTACCAGCATGAGAGCAGAGCTCCCAGTTGGGTGCCATTTCTATTATATTGCAACTCTGTAACCTAGAAGTTTTAGACATAGAATAAGGGAACGAACTGTAATTGGCAATAGAAAAACATTAGCTTTATAGAGTACATTTTCATTAAAGTGAGAAAGGTCCACTAAGGATACAACTTGAAGTTTCAATTTTCTTCTATTCTAAAATTTCCATTAAATCTAAACATTTAGGGAAAAATATTATTTCCAAAAGTGTTTATGATGTTTCTATAAGTAATGCAGTTAAGAAAATGAGGTACATTTATGGACTAGTACTGCATATGTTCCAAAATAAGAAATCAAAAGGCTTACACTGATTCGGGTCCTCACCTAGAAAAGGGGACATATTTAGAGGCATCGTCATTTGGAGGCTGTTCTGCTCAGCCTATGGCTGCTTTGTCCTTCTGATCACAGAGGGCAGCCTAAGGTTTAGCATCACTGTGTACATTTTTATAAGGTTCTGGATAGTGTCACCTTTTAAAGACTTTACTTAATCTGATAGAGAATGAAAGAAGAAAACAGATGTTGTAAATGCATATTTGTGGTAATGTAATTTCTTTTGAAGGGCATTAGGCTATTTCTGTCTTAAAGGTTAAAGTAATTTTAAAGCATAAACATTTGAGTGTCAAGTACAAAAGCAGAATAAGAGTTCATTATCCAAATATCTAACAATGTACCACAAACCAAAATGACTTTCTTCACCATAAAAGACTCTTCAGTTGGCTTTCTGGTGAAGACTCTGTAGTAACAGTTCTGTAGTTCTGGTTTATAGCTTCGGGGTCTCTTTTTTCGTGCTTTATCTTTTCCCTCCAGGCTGATATATTTCCACCCTCACATATAAAGCAGAAAACAGTGGCCTTGAAATTGACTTCACAAAGAGACCATAGATCTCCACAAAGAGGAGAAAGAGAAAACTAAAGTCTTGGTCAATAGAGGAGAAAAAGGAGGTAATTAATATGCACTTGTAGAAATGCTAACATCATTCATGTTTGGAAACAAGGATTCTTCTAGCATGTATAATTGGGTCATGCTCTTGGATTGGCGTTAAAGCTCAGAAAAGAGGAGACCAGCTTGGGCAACCCTGTCTCTACTAAAAATACAAAAAATTAGCCAGGCGTGGCGGCATGCACCTGTAGTCCCAGCTACTTGGGAGGCTGAGGCAGGAAAATTGCTAGAACCCTAGAACCCGGGAGGCAGAGGTTTCAGTGAGCTGAGATCGCACCAGCCTGGGTGACAGAGCGAGACTCCATCTCAAAAAAAAAAAAAAAAAAAAGAGCAGAAAACTAGTTTATCCATATGGGACGATTGTGAAGATCACCTGTGAACCTGTGATATATAATGACAATATTCATGTTGACAAGTGTATATAAATTTATGTAAAGTTGAGCTATTCTGATTGTGTAGATTGTAATAGTTTAGGAACATATGCTTACTCTAAAATAAGCCTGAGCATTGCTGGGACAGAAATTGAACCCATTTTACTAAATCCAGCACTTGAGAGGCTTAACTCTTTATCCTTACAGGGCACCTTTATGAGGCAGGCACTAAGGAATAAGAGTCACATATTCAGTTGATGTCTGAACACAATGACGTGAGTCCCTGCCGATAGGGGTTCTAGAGCCCCAGATTTTTGAAGACTGTGGTTATCTTTTCCATTAGCTCTCAGACTATCAATGATAAGGAAATCTCATTATCTTTTGAAGCAGTGCCTTGTCTTTAAGCTTATCCAAAGTCCTTAAGTGCTGCCTATTCCTGATTTATTCTCCAGGAGCATTTTTATTTTTAGCTTTGCTTCTTGCAACTAAAAAGTTTAGCTCATTCCCCAAGGAAATGTAACAGCCTTTTTCCTGGGAAGGAAACCTAGAAACATTTGTCCTGAGTGATACATCTCCTGTTTGGGGTTTGCACACAGATTCTACTGGACATTTCCAGGGCATTGTTTGACATTCAGAGGTAACATGTAAAATTGGGTATATGGTACCTCTGTCACACATTAAAGTGATGTGAGCCATGCTTGAGCTAAGAGACACAAGAGTTTTGATTTCTCCCATAGCAAGAAATTATATCCTGTAACATGTGCTTGGTAATTACAAATCTTTGCATGGGCATCAGTGCCATATGCATAATATACCCCGGTGGCACCATTTCAAGATTGCAGAGTCACATTTTGTTGACGAATCATTTATAATCACCACTGCTACTGCAGCATTGTCTGTCACACTTTGCTCTGCATGGATGATTCTATAACGAATTTTAGCGTTGCTAAGTGATTTCTTTAAAACCACAAGTTAATGCTAGTGTATTTGAGATATTTCTTAAGGACTATGATAAAATGTCATCATGTATCTTGGAAAAGGAGTAGGATAAGAAAGAAAAAGGATGGTAACCAAATCTTCATTGATCGCTTACCATAACAGTAGAATAATCTTGTAACAGTAGTAAGGACACATGAACATTTGTGTACTTTTTTACCAAGCCTGCTTACCTTTTTGAATTATGAAAAATATTATTAAGTGACAGAGCTTAGATATGTTCATTTCTGTATGCAACTTGCTCACATGAAAAGATGAATGCATTCATACTTTCTTTTATTTTTTAAATTGATCTTCACTTCAACTCTGCAAAGTGTGTATTATACTGAAAATAGAATATCCAAGTGGTTAAGAGCATAGGCTCTCAGAGATTGAGTTTGACAGGCATAGGTTAAAATCCTGGTTCCATTAGTCTTTAGTTAAGTGACACCCACCCCACCCAAGGTCAATCAACTTTTGTTTACCTTGGTTTCTCCAACTGTAGAATGAGGACAATGACATAATCTCATTGAGTTGTTGTTGTGATTAAATAATTAATATACATATCCACTAAATGATAATTATTCAATATTAGCCATTATTTCCATTATAGTCATTTTACAGATGAAATGATAGTTTTAGCGAGATAATGTAATTTGCCCCCAGATTTACATTGCTAGCGAGTGGTTGACCTGGGATTTGAATCCTCTTTAGCCAATAAGAATAAGAATCCCATGATCGTCTATATTTTTAGAAAATTATCTCTGACAGTCAGGAGCCTGTCACAATGATTCAAGTTGACAAACCATTAAGATAAAGAAAAGACAATCTATTAGGTTGGTACAAAAGTAATTGCAGCTTTGCAATTAAAAGTAATTGCAGCTTTGCAATTAAAAGTAATGGCAAAAATCTCAATTACTTTTGCACCAAACTAATACTTTTAGAACCAGATAGACACCGGATTCGCATCTTACTCCTACCACTTACTAGCTGTGTGACCCTGGGCAAATCATTTAACTTCTTGGATACTCAGCCTTCCCAACTTTATATTAGGAATACCATCTACCTTTAAGTAAATATTGTTGGGAAGACTAAGTATGATTAAATATGATATTTGCAAATCTCTTAGCACAGTGTCTGATACATGGGAGGTATTCAATAAATGACAGCTATAGTCATTGTCATTATCAGAACTTTATTGCCCAGAGTTGCTCCCTGGAAGTTGCCACTACAGAGCACTGTAATGTCATGCAGAATGAACAAATATTAGAGGCCCAACTCCTGTTCATTGTGCTCCACTACTGAGATAATTGGGAAAGCCAGACTGATTGGGTGACTATAAGAGAATTCTGTAGAAGACAAAGCAACACTTTAGCAAATCTCAGTACTTTTTTTCTCAAAGGGAAAATGAGAAGCAATGAGAAACCAAAAATTCAGATGTTAAAACTCAAAAATATTTAAATTATCCATTAGACATATGTCAGGCCATCATATAATTTCAGCAATTTGATCTCATTTAGGAGGTTTAATGACCTTACTTTAAAAATCATATGAAAATTAAATTCAATAAAAATCAATGTATACTCATATCTACCTAACTTAATGAGAAAAATTAGGTTTAGTTGTAAAGATTTCCAAATTTGATTTAAAGTATATGTGGCTGCCACAGGAAAATGGAGATGTAAAAAACCTCTTGATCTTAAAAAGAGCTACGCACTTAAATTCAGAGACTAAATGAGAGCTAAGGGAAATCCATTTCTTTAATTATAACCTCATCAAAAGTATGTTAATCAAATGATAGTGATACATGAAGGATTTAGATCTATAAATGCCAAAATACAGGATTAATACATATAATCACAGGATTCTTGAGTAACAACTTGTGTGAATACAATATCCACTGGTGATCAAACAAGAGCTATAAAGAATTTTTTGTAGGGAAAAGTAAAATCCACCTGTCATTTTTTTCATTTATTATTAATATAAGGATATTGAATATTCAGATGATCATGCAAAGTAATCCCCTAAAATGTAAATTTCAGTTGGATTCAAAATGTTTAACTGTCATTCAATTAGAAACTAAACAACCAGAGATTTAAAAGAGAAATTGCAGACCGACTGGCAGTGAAGGCTTCAGAGAAGAACACACCATAACACAACCTTTCAGTGGTTTAAGCTTGAAAATCAAAACGGAAATCTCTGAAGCACCCGTGTTTTACAATTTGGTGATGAGAATATGAAGATAAGTGAGCAAACATAAGTTAGCTGATGTTTGAATTTTCATATTCCAAAATATAAAATCAAGAATAAATGACTGTCAAGTGTATTCTGTCATGATATATAACCCAGAGTAAATGTATATGTATTATTAGTTCATACTTCTGCCAGTTACTTTATTTTTGCAATATACTGTCAAGGAAGAGTAACTTATTAAGCAGGAGCCCTTAGTAAGTCCCCAAAAAGTTTATCTAACTTTTATGGTAGACAACCTCTATTAAAAATTCTTTCTTTAGTGGATTTAGTTGAAATAATATTCTCAGAAATATAAAGACGACACACAATGTTATGTAGCTTAGACTGTAATACAAATATCAGAGTAGGTTCTGACAAAAACTTTATGTAAATATTTTACTGCAATTAAAAATGTACAAAAAACTATGCCTTAGTTTTTCTTTAGGCTTCAAACTATGGACATTTAGACTTGTAAAAAAAAATGGAAAATACTATAAATTGGCACGAAGCCTACTTAACATGATGAGAATGGAATTGATAATGTAGCAATCTCTGAAAATAAATGGAAGCCGACTAGGTGAATAATAATAATGTGGAATGCAACATGAGGCAAGATGATGCAAGTAGAATGGTTCATCGTATAACAAAAACAGGGAGAGAAAAGCAGCTTACCTCTAAGTGTTCTTGTGAACCTATGTGCATTGAAATGAATTACATTTGTGAGGACTGCTGGGAAGGGGCTGAAGTGAAAGTGTCAGGAATGCTGTCCAACTAGTGTTATGCTCAGCATTATTTTTTCTAAAAACCAATAGATTCCAGAACACATTCCCTTTTTATTAACAGATTCTCTGTGATTTATGTCAATTTATGTTACATTTATTTATTTAATTTGTAAGAAGTTTGATGTTCAATTTATAGAATCTAAGAAATGTTGGTCATTTTAAAATAAAATAAAAATTTAAAAATACCATTTGGTATCTGTTCATGGAAATGCAAAATTGCATACACTATTATTTAATATTTGTATTTTCCCATTGAGCATAGTCTGAAAGCACTAACTTCCACATTCCCCCCCACTACAAAAACAAAACAAAACAAAACAAAAACCCGGAAACTGTGTTCTAAAATTTTCGTTTAGTAAATGATATACATGATTCTCTGTTTACTATTAGAAAAGAATTAACAAATTGGGATAAGCAACATAAAAGGTGAAGCTGGTTTATAAATAAATAATTACTCAACCCTTTGAACCCAGTCTCGTCTCCCCACTATGTCCACTCTATATTTAGTAGGAATGTGGTAAAAAGAAATAACAGATAAGAACTGCTATTTACAATGCAAATTTAAAATATTAAATATTAATTTTAGCCTCCACCTCATCTCTCCTGAACATTTCTCCCAGCGGTTTTAACCATCCACTATCTAGTAGAGTTTCTGGTATATAATAGGGATTCACATGTAAGTTGAATAAATGACCACTTGATCTAATTTCACATAAAACCAAAGAGATGTGGACCAGAATCAAGTACAAACTTCAAATGGGTATCTGGCAAATATGATTCTGTTATCTGATGTGATATAAAAAATATATAGACATCTGGTAATTTGAACACCAAATTACATCTAAGTTTATATTGTTCTTATAATGTAACAAGTAACATCTATTAAAGATAAGATTCCAAAATATTCTTCTGAAATGGACAATTCTAAAAAGAAGTTCTAAAATGTCATGCCAAAACATTTACCCCTTCCACCTTTTTCCATAGCCCACATAATGCCTATATAAATCATACAAGATTCTAGATCTTACAATAGTAGAGAATCATCTTTGGACCGAGTTTCCTGCTTATTACAACTAGAAATCTGGACAATTTATCTGAGTGAGTCTTACCAATAACTTCTAAGATCAAGATTCTAGACATAAGAGAAATTGAGATGTGTATCGCAGTCAGCTCACTGTTTCTCTTAAGGTATTTGCCCATGTGAATGCAGCAGCAAAGAGGCTTAAAAACTAATAATAAGTTTGGCAGGCTTAAAAAGGAGGAGGATCTCTGGTAAACATTATAGCATGAGACCCCAAATGGTTACATCTTGGGAGGGTGAGGACAAAATAAAAATCCTCATTGGTAGAAGTTAACATTTATTGAATTATTTCAAATATTATCTCTAAATAGTTTCTAATTACCTCTAAAATTTTTCAAATGTGATTTTTCAAAATGAATTAAAAATGTATAAGCATACAAAATTGCAAGAACTGATCAAACTCCAAGAAAAAAAAAACAGATAATAGAAACAAACACATGAGAAATTCAAAAATCAAAGTGATCATGTAGTTTAAGATAATAATTATTAATATGTTTACGAAATAGATAATAAAATTAGGAATTTAGGCAGAAAAATAGGAACTATAAAGAGAATCGAATGGAAATTCTAGGAATGAAAAATATAATAGTTGAACTTAGGAACTCAATTGGGTGATTTAACAACCATTTAGACACAATTGCATGGAAATGCAGGAAAAAATAGTAAATATGTGAGTAAATTTTTAAAATATTGACATATTAAACAATATATTGTGATGTTTAAAATATATGCAATTTTTTTAAATGACAAAGAAGGCACAAAAGGCAAAGATTATTAAATAGACTTAAAGTGACTTAAAGTGATCTATTAAATAGACTTAAAGGTCCTAACGTTGTCTATATTAGGAATATGCTATGGTCTGAATGTTTTTCTCCTCTAAAATTCGTAAGTTGAAATCCTGACTCCCCAGTGCAATAGTATTAGGAAGTGAGGAGTGTGGCAGGTCATTAGATCAGGGGTGGAGGCCTGTTGAACAGGATTAATGCCCTATAAAGAGACCTGAAGGAGCTTGCTTGCCCCTTCTTCCATGTAAGGTGAAGAAGACATCTAGGAAGGAAGAGGGGCCTCGTCAGAGAGCAAATCTTCTGGCACCTTGATCTTGGACTTCCTAAGTTCTAAAACTGTGAGAAATTAACTTCTCATTTATAAGTTATCTAATCCATTTTGCTGTAGCAGCCTGAATGGACAAAATCAGAATTATTTATTTTCATTAAATTATGGTTAGAAAATGTAGACTTCTATTTTGATTAAAATTAGGATTTTATACTTAGCTTAATATTCAATAGACTCTTGTAAATATGTAACATTGTAGATATTATTTGTTTATGTGTAGTATGCTATTTTTACCTTTTTGGTCCTCTTAGTAATATACGTTTAATACATATGTACACATATTTATATAAATAATTTTTCTTTAAGGGTGGGGTGTAAGGAATTTAGGACATCTTAGTAAGCTTGTCTCATGATTTTTCCCTGGCAGGTCTCTTTTAGTCCTCTTAGTAATATACGTGTAATATATATGTATACATATTTATATAAATAATTTTTGTTTAAGGGTGGGGAGTTTGTAAGGAGTTTAGGACATATTAGTAAGCTTGTCTCATTATGAATTTTCCCTGGCAGATCTCTAATTTTGGTCGATTGTTGCTTATTAAAAATAAAAATAAAAACATTAAAGAAATCATTCAAGATAGAGTATATTTTTAGGAGCAACCAAGTCCACTCTGGTTCTAATCAGAGGTGTTTTGTAGAGATGAGATATAAGCCCTGACTCTACGGTTAGCCAGTGCTTCAGTTCTAGATTCAGGGAAAGATATCTACCAGCACTTGAGTTATGGCCACTGCAGTTAAAAAGCTATGCTACCAGCTTGAAACTCCCCAGCTCTAGAATGGGTAGAACTTGATGTTTACAGAGACACCTGGCTTCTGAACAGCAGCATAGATAGATCAGCAATCATAGTCAAGTGATGATAAAAAAAAATGCAATGTAAGACACTCAAAAATTTCTGTAACATATTTTTAAAAATCATGCCAAAAGGGCTTGAAATAATTTTTTCCATAAAGTAAGGTCACTACTTTAAAAAAAGAGAATTTTAGAAACCAAATATTTTCTCTCCTCATTGTGCATGTGTATGTTACATCTACCCTGTAAGAGAGGGCAAAATAAAAAGAATAAAAGTAAATGAAATATGCAAGAAAATAAAATTAATGTTGGAAATAGCAAAATGCATATTCATATATCAGAAAACTAAATTAGTGATAGGAAAGATAAATTTGACAAACATATCCAGAATGCAGAATAAATTATGAAACAAGAAACAAAAATAATTTAAAAGAATATTACAGACATGGATTAAAGAACTGGAAAAGGCTGGGTGCAGTGGCTCACGCCTGTAATCCTAGCACTTTGGAAGGCCGAGGTGGGTGGATTGACTGAGCTCAGGAGTTTGAGAGCAGCCTAGCCAACACAGTGAAACCCCATCTCTACTAAAAATACAAAAACAAAATTAGCTGGGCGAGGTGGCGCACGGCCTGTAGTCCCAGCTACTCGGGAGCCCGAGGCATGAGAACCTCTTGAATCTGGAAACCCAGGAGGCAGAAGTTGCAATGAGCTGAGATCGCGCCACTGCACTCCAGCCTGGGCAACAGAGTGAGTCTCTGTCTCCAAAGGAAAAAAAAAAAAAAGAAATGTAAATCCAAAAATCAGAATAGTAAGAAAAGTTCAATGACGGTAATAAAACAACAGTAATACAAGAAAGATAATATGATCTGAGTGTGATAGTATTGATGAAGACACATCACTTTCATAGTAATTGGAATATAGTGCTGAACAACACAAATTACATGCATTTTACATTCCAGTTGGCACAGTATCAACAAATAACATAGTATCACAACAGTGAAAGGGCTATCAAGGAAACGCAACAGCCTAGGTGGATAGAAAGTGACAAAGGGGCAGCTTTAGAAAGGATGACCAGAGAGGTTCCATGAGGAGGCAATTTTGAGTAGACCTGAGAAAGGTTCAGGAGGAAATCATCAGGTATATAGAGGTGAATATGGTTTAGGAAGGAATAGAGAAAATATTTTTATGCTGTAGACTAATATTATTGAGGGTAAAACTTCAAAAAAATTCCAATTGTGACTATAGTTGATTACGTAAACTGTAACTTAAAGAATATTAAAATACTTTCCAAGTTCCATTTCCAAAGGCCAGTCTCCACTCTCTCTCACAAAAATGTATGCCAGTGAAGTTTTATAACTGTAGCATAGATAACTTTAAAATTATTTTAAATTTCCTTTTTTTCTGACCATCTGAATTCAGAAACTGTGCAAGGCAAAAGTGAGCATGCTAATTTGGTAGTTTAACATTTATTTAAATTTAAAAGTTCTTTGATATATAACACATTTTTAAAACTTTTATTTATTTTATTATTATACTTTAAGTTCTAGGGTACATGTGCACAACGTGCAGGTTTGTTACATATGTATACATGTGCCATGTTGGTGCGCTGCACCCGTTAACTCCTCATTTACATTAGGTTTATCTCCTAATGCTATCCCTCCCCCCTCCCCCACCCCACGACAGGCCCGGTGTGTGATGTTCCCCTTCCTGTGACCAAGTGTTCTCATTGTTCTATTCCCACCTATGAGTGAGAACATGGCGGTGTTTTTCTGTCCTTGCGATAGTTTGCTGAGAATGATGGTTTCCAGCTTCATCCATGTCCCTATGAAGGTCATGAACTCATCGTCTTTTATGGCTGCATAGTATTCCATGGTGTATATGTGCCACATTTTCTTAATCCAGTCTATCATTGTTGGACATTTGGCCTGGTTCCAAGTCTTTGCTATTGTGAATAGTGCCGCAATAAACATACGTGTGCATGTGTCTTTATAGCAGCATGATTTATAATCCTTTGGGTATATACCCAGTAATGGGATTGCTGGGTCAAATGGTATTTCTAGTTCTAGATCCCTGAGGAATCACCACACTGACTTCCGCAATGGTTGAACTAGTTTACAGTCCCACCAACAGTGTAAAAGTGTTCCTATTTCTCCACATCCTCTCCAGCACCTGTTGTTTCCTGACTTTTTAATGATTGCCATTCTAACTGGTGTGAGATGGTACCTCACTGTGGTTTTGATTTCCATTTCTCTGATGGCCAGTGATGATGAGCATTTTTTCATGTGTCTTTTGGCTGCATAAATGTCTTCTTTTGAGAAGTGTCTGTTTCTACCTTTTGCCCACTTTTTGATGGGGTTGTTTGATTTTTTCTTGTAAATTTGTTTGAGTTCATTGTAGATTCTGATATTAGCCTTTTGTCAGATGGGTAGATCGTACAAATTTCCTTGCATTCTGTAGGTTCCCTGTTGACAATGATGGTAGTTTCTTTCGCTGTGCAGAAGCTCTTTAGTTTAATCAGATCCCATTTGTCAATTTTGGCTTTGTTGCTATTGCTTTTGGTGTTTTAGTCATGAAGTCCTTGCCCTTGCCTATGTCCTGAATGGTATTGCCTAGATTTTCTTCTAGGGTTTTTACGGTTTTAGGTCTAACATTTAAGCCTCTAATCCATCTTGAATTAATTTTTGTGTAAGGTATAAGGAAGGGATCCAGTTTCAGCTTTCTACATATGGCTAGCCAGTTTTCCCAGCACCATTTATTAAATAGGGAATCCTTTCCCCATTGCTTGTTTTTGTCAGGTTTGTCAAAGATCAGATGGTTGTTGATGTGTGGTATTATTTCTGAGGGCTCTGTTCTGTTCCATCAGTCTATATCTCTGTTTCGGTACCAGTACCAAGCTGTTTTGGTTCCTGTAGCCTTATAGTATCGTTTGAAGTCAGGTAGCATGATGCCTCCAGCTTCGTTCTTTTTGCTTAGGATTGTCTTGGCAATGCAGGCTCTTTTTGGTTCCATATCAACTTTAAAGTAGTTTTTTCCAATTCTGTGAAGAAAGTCATTGGTAGCTTGATGGGGACGGCATTGAGTCTATAAATTACCTTGGGCAGTATGGCCATTTTCACAATATTGATTCTTCCTATCCATGAGCATGTAATGTTCTTCCATTTGTTTGTGTCCTCTTTTATTTTGTTGAGCAGTGATTTGTAGTTCTCCTTGAAGAGGTCCTTCACATCCCTTCTAAGTTGGATTCCTAGGTATTTTATTCTCTTTGAAGCAATTGTGAATGGGAGTTCACTCATGATTTGGCTCTCTGTTTGTCTGTTATTGGTGTAGAGGAATGCTTGTGATTTTTGGACATTGATTTTGTATCCTGAGACTTTGCTGAAATTGTTTATTAGCTTAAGGAGATTTTGGGCTCAGACGATGGGGTTTTCTAAATATACAATCATGTTATCTGCAAACAGGGACAATTTGACTTCCTCTTTTCCTAACTGAATACCTTTTATTTCTTTCTCCTGCCTGATTGCACTGGCCAGAACTTCCAACACTACGTTGAATATGAGTGGTTAGAGAGGGCATCCCTGTCTTGTGCCAGTTTTCAAAGGGAATGATTCCAGTTTCTGCACATTCAGTATGATATTGGCTGTGGGTTTGTCATAAATAGCTCTTATTATTTTGAGATGTGTCCCATCAATCCCTAGTTTATTGAGAGTTTTTAGCATGAAGGGCTGTTGAATTTTGTCAATGGCCTTTTCTTCATCTACTGAGAAAATCATGTGGTTTTTGTCTTTGGTTCTGTTTATATGATGGATTACATTTATTGATTTGTGTATGTTGAACCAGATTTGCATCCCAGCGATGAAGCCAACCTGATCGTGGTTGACAAGCTTTTTGATGTGCTGCTGGATTCGGTTTGCCAGTATTTTATTGAGGATATTTGCATCAATGTTCATCAGGAATATTGGTCTAAAATACTCTTTTTTTGTAGTGTCTCTGCCAGGCTTTGGTATCAGGATGATACCGGCCTCATAAAATGAGTTAGGAAGGATTCCCTCTTTTTCTATTGATTGGAATAGTTTCAGAAGGAATGGTACCAGCTCCTCCTTGTACCTCTGGTAGAATTCAGCTTTGAATCCATCTGGTCCTGGACTTTTTTTGTTTGGTAGGCTATTAATTATTGCCTCAATTTCAGAGCCTGTTATTGGTCTATTCAGGGATTCAACTTATTCCTGGTTTAGTCTTGTGAGGGTGTATGTGTCCAGGAATTTATCCATTTCTTCTAGATTCTCTAGTTTGTTTGTGTAGAGGTGTTTACAGTATTCTCTGATGGTAGTTTGTATTTCTCTGGGATTGTTGGTGATATCCCCTTTATCATTTTTTATTGCATCTATTTGATTCTTCTCTCTTTTCTTCTTTATTAGTCTTGTTAGCGGTCTATCAATTTTGTTGATCTTTTCAAAACACCAGCTCCTGGATTCATTGATTTTTTGAAGGGTTTTTTGTGTCTCTATCTCCTTCAGTTCTGCTCTCATCTTAGTTATTTCTTGCTTTCTGCTAGCTTTTGAATGTGTTTGCTCTTCCTTCTCTAGTGCTTTTTATTGTGATGTTAGGGTGTCAATTTTAGATCTTTCCTGCTTTCTCTTGTGGGCATTTAGTGCTATAAATTTCCCTCTACACTGCTTTAAATGTGTCCCAGAGATTCTGGTATATTGTGTCTTTGTTCTCATTGGTTTCAAAGAACATCTTTATTTCTGCCTTCATTTCGTTATGTACCCAGTAGTCATTCAGGAGCAGGTTGTTCAGTTTCCATGTAGTTGAGCAGTTTTGAGTGAGTTTCTTAATCCTGAGTTCTAGTTTGATTGCACTGTGGTCTGAGAGACAGTTTGTTAAAATTTCTGTTCTTTTCCATTTGCTGAGGAGTGCTTTACTTCCAACTGTGTGGTCAATTTTGGAATATGTGTGATGTGGTGCTGAGAAGAACGTATATTCTGTTGATTTGGGGTGTAGAGTTCTGTAGATGTCTATGAGGTCTGCTTGGTGCAGAGCTGAGTTCAATGCCTGGATATCCTTGTTAACTTTCTGTCTCGTTGATCTGTTTAATGTTGACAGTGGGGTGTTAAAGTCTCCCATTATTATTGTGTGGGAGTCTAAGTCGCTTTGTAGGTCTCTAAGGACTTGCTTTATGAATCTGGCTGTTCCTGTTTTGGGTGCATATACATTTAGGAAAATTAGCTCTTCTGGTTGAATTGATCCCTTTACCATTATGTAATGGCCTTCTTTGTCTCTTTTGATCTTTGTTGGTTTAAAGTCTGTTTTATCTGAGACTAGGATTGCAAACCCTGCTTTTTTTTGTTTTCCATTTGCTTGGTAGATCTTTCTCCATCCCTTTTTTTTGAGCCTATATGTCTCACTGCACACGAGATGGGTCTCCTGAATACAGCACACCATTGGGTCTTGACTCTTTGTCCAGTTGGAGCATTTAGCCCATTTACATTTAAAGTTAATATTGTTATGTGTGAATTTGATCCTGTCATTATGATGTTAGCTGGTTATTTTGCTTGTTAGTTGATGCAGTTTCTTCCTAGCCTTGATGGTCTTTACAATTTGGTATGATTTTGCAGTGGCTGGTACTGGTTGTTCCTTTCCATGTTTAGTGCTTCCTTCAGGAGCTCTTGTAGGGAAGGCCTGGTGGTGACAAAATGTCTCAGCATTTGCTTGTCTGTAAAGTATTTTATTTCTCCTTCACTTATGAAGCTTAGTTTGGCTGGATATGAAATTCTGGGTTGAAAATTCTTTTCTTTAAGAATGTTGAATATTGCCCCCCTCTCCGCACTCTCTCTGGCCTGTAGAGTTTCTGCTGAGAGATCTGCTGTTAGTCTGATGGGCTTCCCTTTGTGAGTAACCTGACTTTTCTCTCTGGCTGCCCTTAATATTTTTTCCTTCATTTCAACTTTGGTGAATCTGACAATTATGTGTCTTGGAGTTGCTCTTCTCGAGGAGTATCTTTGTGGCGTTCTCTGTATTTCCTGAATTTGAATGTTGGCCTGCCTTGCTAGGGTGGGGAAGTTCTCCTGGATAATATCCTGCAGAGTGTTTTCCAACTTGGTTCCATTCTCCCCGTCACTTTCAGGTACACCAATCAAACGTAGATTTGGTCTTTTCACATAGTCCCATATTTCTTGGAGGCTTTGTTCATTTCTTCTCTTTTTTCTCTAAACTTCTCTTCTCACTTCATTTCATTCATTTGATCTTCAATCACTGATACCCTTTTTTCCACTTGATCAAATTGGCTACTGAAGCTTGTGCATGCATTAAGTTATTTCTCGTGCCATGGTTTTCAGCTCCATCCGGTCATTTAAGGTCTTCTCTACACTGTTTATTCTAGTTAGCCATCTGTCTAATCTTTTTTCAAGGTTTTTAGCTTCTTTGCGATGGGTTTGAACATCCTCCTTTAGCTTGGAGAAGTTTGTTATTACCAATCGTCTGAAGCTTTCTTCTCTCAACTCATCAAAGTCATTCTCCATCCAGCTTTGTTCCATTGCTGGCGAGGAGCTGTGTTCCTTTGGAGGAGAAGAGCTGCTCTGATTTTTAGAATTTTCAGCTTTTCTGCTCTGGTTTCTCCCCATCTTTTTGGTTTTATCTACCTTTGGTCTTTGATGATGGTGATGTGCAGATGGGGTTTTGGTGTGGATTTCCTTTCTGTTTATTAGTTTTCCTTCTAACAGTCAGGACCGTGAGCTACAGGTCTGTTGGAGTTCACTGGAAGTCCACTCCAGACCCTGTTTGCCTGGGTATCGCCAGTGGAGGCTATAGAACAGCAAATATTGCAGAACGGCAAATGTTGCTGCCTGATCCTTCCTCTGGAAGCTTCATCTCAGAGGGGCTCCCAGCTGTTTGAGGTGTCAGTCGGCCCCTACTGGGAGGTGTCTCCCAGTTAGGCTCCTCGGAGGTCAGGGACCCATTTGAGGAGGCAGTCTGTCCGTTCTCAGATCTCAACCTCTGTGCTTGGAGAACCACTACTCTCTTCAAAGCTGTCAGATAGGGATGTTTAAGCCAGCAGAAGTTTTTGCTGCCTGTTGTTCAGCTATGCCCTGCCCCCAGATGTGGAGTCTACAGAGGCAGGCAGGCCTCCTTGAGCTGCAGTGGGCTCCACCCAGTTCGAGCTTCCCAGCTGCTTTGTTTGCCTACTCAAGCCTCAGCAATTGTGGACGCCCCTCCCCCAGCCTTGCTGCCACCTTGCAGTTCGATCTCAGACTGCCATGCTAGCAGTGAGCGAGGCTCTGTGGGCATGGGACCCTGTGAGCCAGGCGCAGGATATAATCTCCTGGTGTGCCATTTGCTAAGACCATTGGAAAAGCGTAGTATTAGGGTGGGAGTGTCCCGATTTTCCAGGTATCATCTGTCATGGCTTCCCTTGGCTAGGAAAGGGAATTCCCTGACTCCTTGCACTTCCTGGGTGAGGCGATGCCCGCCCTGCTCTGTTGGCTGCACCCACTGTCCGACAAGTCCCAGTGAGAGAAACCCAGTACCTCAGTTGGAAATGCAGAAATCACCCATCTTCTGCATTGCTCATGCTGGGAGCTGTAGACTGCAACTGTTCTTATTTGGCCATCTTGGAACATCCGATATATAACACATTTTTATAAGTTACTTGGTAAAATTGTTTGAAATGACTGTTGTAAAAAGTGAAAAAAAATTAATTACAAATCTCAATATTCCTGAGGTACAATCATTATTTCACATTTTACAAATTAAATGTATAAAACATAATACACACACTACACCCTGAACAGTAAACTAGCAGTAATGTTTGAGAGGAAACTATTTAAGTAACTGAAATCGTTTATACAGATTAAATTTATAATTCACAGGAGGGGAACTCCATTCATCCTAGAAGGCTCAGCCCGTGGCACCCCTCCTGTGGTGGTTTCTCCCATCCCTATTTCCCCAGGCACAATCAGATTTACAGCCCTTTCTGCTCCCATTGCACCTATTCCATGCTCTATACCTACTGCGGAATTGTATGTTAACTCTTTGCCTCTTTACAGTTCCTCCTGCCCCCACCAGTCGACTATGAGAACCTTTGTTTTATCTACTTTGATTTTCCTGTCCTTAACACAGTGCCTAGGATTCATACATTGATTGGACAGGATTTTATTGTCAATTATGAGCAATCGTATGACCAAGTTGAGCAAGATAAACCCTGCTCTAGATTAGACTACTAGTTCACAGTCTAGTAGGGGAGAAAGTATGTACACGAATCATTAACATGCAGAGTGATACATTAATGAAGGTATATACCAGGTAGAGCAGTGACTTTGCCTGGGGATGTATTCCTGAGGAAGTAACTAGTCAGCTGAGCTGTTCAACAAGCATTAGGCATTAACTCTGCTGGTGATGTGCTGGATGGCTAGTGAATAGAAAATTGAATAGAAAGAGCATTTACCTTCCCTCCAAAGATATACAATCTTGAATGAATAGTTCGAGTAACAATGGCACGGGTAGTCAATAAGGTAGCAAGGCTGATAGCCAATGGGGTAAACTGTTAAAATATTGAACTCTTCTATACCAGTGGTAAATAGCAGTCACTACCAGCACCTGTCTATTTGTTCTTTACTCTACCTCCCCTCAGTACTCCCAATCCCCTCCTATATGACCCATAGACCCTCCTGTGTTCCAGCAAGTAAAGAGTCAATACCCTTATGTACTAAACATTTTACACATAATTCCAAGGGATGCACTTTGCCAAGAAAGAAAAAAATTACAAGCTTTGAAATAGCAGTATTTGGTAAACTGCAGTTAAAAGCCAGGGTATGAAGTTCGAGTTGGGGAAAAGAGAAAATGGAACTGAAGAATTGAGAAGGGCAATGAAGAGCCACAGAAAAATTTTAAGCAGATCTGTTTTAAAAAAAATTCTGTCCAACATTAGTATGTAAGTGCTCATTAATATTTGTTGAATATGATTATGCTAATAATAATTTACACAAACCTCTAACCAATGGGAGAAAAAGAAGCTTTCATAAACATGGACTTAGATGCAGGGAATTTATTCCATTATCCATACAAATTACAGACTCTATGATTCTACTGTAACTTTGCAATTGGTGATTTCAGTATTACAGACGTGAATACTGAGAAATAATTAGGGGAAGAAAATCAAACGTGGCTGATCTGGACTGTTTTTTCTTCTATTTCACTCAGAACTTTTAAACACATAGTATGACTAAATGCGGATAAAGGGGTTTACCCATCATTGTGAATAGGCATGAGATCACTCAGAAATGTTGGATTACAAAGGGCCAATAAGAAAGGCTTGACTGTATGCAAGTGTCGACAGAATGGGTTCTCCATTACTTTGATTCCTTATTTTCAGAAGAGATAAGAAATTCCTCATTAATGGATGTACTCAATGAGAATTAAATACTCAAAACAGGACCTTAGCAAATCATTGTTTTATTTTAACATCACTGTTTACTGTTCTTCCTAACTGGCAGTTACTCCTTTGTAGATAGTACAAATCACAATGTAATTCCCATCATTATGTGTATAATATGTGTTCCTTCTTGTTCTACCTTAACAGCAAGTGACAAATACATCATTTTTATTGAATATTAATTTTCAATTTATTTCAGCAGCAAGCACCAAAATCAAAACCCAACAATCAATATAATAAGTATATGTAACAAATAATCTGAAATTCAGCCCCATTAAGACATGTGGGTGCAATATTTTTATATTCCCAAAGGTCTGCATATTTTGGGGGCATTAAACAACAGGGAACTAAAATTTAACACAAAATCAGGTGCCATTTAATACTGTTTAACATTTGAAAATTATTTATTTAATAATACAGATCGTTTTAATGTGCTGTAAATATTTCTCGCACAGCATCATATTGTCAGAAGTTTTTCCCTTTTGGAGGCTTCTTTTTTCCATTCCTTTCCAGTAACTGGCCTCCCAATGCCAGCAACTCAGGTAGATTCATGCAGTCATTCCTCTTCTCTCTGTACTGGTAAGCGCTCTGGAGGAAGAACAGATTCCAATTTCTGCCAGCGCTCTGGGGGCCACAGGATATGTGTGGCATGGGCATGCAGAAGTCCTAGGGAAACCTTAATTCATGAGAAACAGAAAGAAAGCAATAAAGAGATCATTTTATAAGAATCATTATTAATAGCTTGAAAGCAGAATTTAATCCAGGTTTAACATCCCAGGGAGAAGTGATGATGAATAAAAAAAATAGTAAACACCTTTTGTAGCCATTGAAATACAAAGAAAAATACAGTAAGCACTTATATAGCATTTTTCTAGGTGCTATTGTATATAAACTCCTTTAATCCTCACAAAAACCATTTGAAGTAGGTTCTGTTAGTATTTCCCTTTTAGAAATGAGAAAGCAAAGCTCAAAGAGGTTAAAAAATTTGCCAAAATTCATACAGCTACCAAGCGGTTAGTCTGTGTTTAGAACCAAGCAGTTTGACTCGAGTCCACCATCTTAACCATTAGCCTCAAGAGCCTATTTGCATAGACCCAGGAAGCATAAATCTGGCGTATATTCTCAGAGTTTCCCGCAGAGTCATTGGTATCCTAGAGAGACTTTCTTTATGGAAAAATCACAGAGTCCTAAAAAATATATATATTTTGTGAAAAACATTGTCCCACCTACTAGATGAGCAGCAGGAGTTAGGTGTGAGACTGGGTGGGCTGTCTCCATGGAGAGTACACTGAGTAACACGGATCTAGTACTCATGGAGAGAGGTGGAAAACAAAGAGAAAGCAAACAAGGTGGGATGGGTAGCAAGGAAAAATAATAAAGTATACAGATCATGGCAGATGGTAAAGAATCCCCATCAGCAGAGGAGAGCAGAGATTGGCGAGGATGGAAGAGGAGGTGAGGGGGAGGACTTAAGGCTGAGCCCAAAGACAGGAAGGGAGCCCTTAAACATCTTAAATCTTAAAGACATCAATTTCGGTGAACAGGAGAACATAGCAAACTTGTTTAAAAGGCAGATCAGGGTCTTATCTTAAGAGATTACCCTTCAACAGGTCTGAAGGAGGGCCTGGAAATCTGTGTTTTTAAAAAAATTGTTGTTGTTATAGTTACTATCAGGTGATATTTTAATGGTATTTAGAAGCTTACAAAATACACTCATATTTAGCACATATTTACTGAGTGCCGGTTATAAAGTAATACTATATGTCCACTTTATTTACCATTTTATTTTCAAATGTTTTTCCTATAAACTGGACTTCCACAGAGATTAACATAAAACATTCCTTTCACTGAAGCTCTTCTATTTGCTATCACATGAATTCAGGAAATCTCTTCTATTTGCTATCGTATGTATTCAAAAAAATCACATTGTCTAGGGACTCGAAGACGGAACTGGATGTCAGGGAAGGCTTCCAAAAAGATAATCAAAAACACATTGTTTACACAGAAGAAGAAGAAGAAAAATCTTTTAACAACAACTTGAAATACAAACTAAATATTCACGAAGGGTAGCAAGAAGCCCTTGGGCTCAATAAAGGGTTCTTTTTTTTCTTCTACTTGTTATTTTGAAAATCAGACCTGTAAAAAATTTGAAAGTGTGGTACAAAAAACAGCTCCATCAAAAGTAAGCATTTACATTTTGCTGCATTCATTTTTTTCTCATTTTATGTGTATGTACATATATGAGACATGTACACAGCTACTTCTTCTAAACTGTTTGATAGTTGTTGACATCATGCTAAATTTATCCCTGAAAACTTCAACATATATCTCCTGAGAATGAAGACCGTTTCATATATGAACATGATACCATTATTATACACAAGATATTTAATGTAGATACAATATTACTTATTACATAGTTCATATTCAAAATTTTCCAATTGTCCCACTGATGTCTTCTATAGCCATTATTTTAAAAATTCAAGGTCTAATCAAGAGTCACATATTGCATTTGGTGGTCATTATTTTGCTTCGGTTTACATTTAATTTCTTTTAATCTGGAGTCCCAGCAAGCTGCCTTGTAAAATGTCATATATCTGGAATTGCTTGATTTTTTTTCCCTCATGACTAGAGTCAAGTTCCATCAAATCAGGAGGCACAAAATATCGGTGCATCTCATTGTTGTGATGCCAAGTTTGATCACTTAAGGCAATATTGACTAGATTTCTCCATCATAAATAAATCTTTTTCCTTCTGTAATTAATAACTGTGAGATATTTTGTAATAATGTAAATATCCTATATGCCAGCTATATTTCATCTAATTGTGTTAACATTCATTGATGATCCTGTCCGAATCACTTATTACATTAGGGATTACAAAAATAATGATTTTCCAAATCTATTCCTTCTTTTGCATTTATTAGTTGGCATTGTTCTCTTAAAAAAAAAGTGCTTTCCCTTTCACCCTAACTGCCTCTATTGTAATATCAAGAAGTCCTTTTTTTAAGTCAAAATCTGTGACTACTTTTTATTTATCCGTTTGATGCTCAAATGTCTTAAGTTTGGCCAGTGGGAGCTCTATGTGTCCTTTGGATACATCTCCATCAGTATTTTAGCGCTACCTTACTTTTTGGCACTATTAGTTGTTACAGGCTTACCTTGCACCTAATACCTGCTCCCCCTGAGATCAGACATTTCTTTAAAGTGCCTTGGTTTCTTGTTTGTTTGTTTGTTTGTTTGCTTTTGAGACAGAGTCTCACTCTGTCGCCCAGGCTGGAGTGCAGTGGCGCAATCTCAGCTCACTGCAAGCTCCACCTCCTGGGGTCACGCCATTCTCCTGCCTCAGCCTCCTGAGTAGCTGGGACTACAGGCGCCCGCCACCATGCCCGGCTAATTTTTTGTATTTTTAGTAGAGATGGGGTTTCACCATGTTGGCCAGGATGGTCTTGATCTCTTGACCTCGTGATCCACCAGCCTCAGCCTCCCAAAGTGCTGGGATTACAGGTGTGAGCCACCGTGCCTGGCCATTATTTAGAAACCAAGGTTTAGTACTAGGTGTGCTCAGTGCTCCTGGGGTGTCAATATTCTATGCCATTTCAGGGAATACACATAAAAAATCCAATACCAAAAAGTTCTCCCTCACCTTCCGCACTCCATATTTTATCTCCCTTCTTCCACAGTGATTACCCTGGCTCCCCACAACATTAACACATTTATTCATTTATACTTTCCTAAAATATACTCAAAATAGTTTCAAGGTGACTACACTACAACCATTACCAACAATAAATCTGCTGAGTACAAATTAAGATGTCTGTGTAATTATTTTAGTCCTTAAAATATATCTCAGTTTAAGGGTGTACTTGTAGGCCGGAGTGCAGTGGCATGATCTTGGCTCACTGCAAGGTCCGCCTCCCAGGTTCATGCCATTCTCCTGCCTCAGCCTCCTGAGTAGCTGGGACTACGGGCACCAGCCACCACGCCCAGCTAATTTTTTGTATTTTTAGTAGAGAGGGGTTTCACCGTGTTAGCCAAGATGGTCTCGATCTTCTGACCTAGTGATCCATCTGCCTTGGCCTCCCAAAGTGCTGGGATTACAGGCGTGAGCCACTGCGCCCGGCCTGGAATAAATTCTTTTTTTTCTCCCCAGTATAGTTATGTTACCATTTGATATAGAGGTAGGCTTATTTGTTTCTATTTATACTCAATTTTAGAGTTTGCTTTGATTACCCATTTTTGATTCCATTTTATTTTTGAATATATATAAATTTACATCATTCAAAAGTTAAGATTATTTTTTAAAGATGTGGTAGGCAGAATGATGCCGCCCCACCACCGTCCTGGCAAAAGATGTCCACATCTTAATTGCCAGAAGCTGTGAATATGTTAGAGAATAAAGAAGAATTAAGATGCTAACCAGTTGACCTTAAGATAACAAGAATATTCTCTATTATTTTATGGGCCTGAATGTAATCACAAGGGTCCTAAACAGTGAAAGCAGGAGGCAGAAGGGTCAGATTCAAAGAGATTTGAAAATGCAGTGCTGCTGGCTTTGAAGGTGCAGAAAAGGACCATGAGCCAAGGAATGCAGGCAGCCTCTCGAAGCCAGAGAAAGGAAGGAGATGAATTATCCTCTAGAACTTTCAGAAGGAATGCAGCCCTGCTGACATCTTAACTTTAGCCCAGTGAGACCCATATTGGACTTTTGACATCCAGAACTGTAAAATAGTATATTTGTGCTGTTGTAAGGAGATACATTTATGGGAATTTATTAGATCAGCAATAGGAAACTGAAACAAAAAGTATACAAAGAGAAATCCCATTCCCATCTTCCACCCCATCCGCAATAGGTAACTAATTTTATTAGTTTCTGGTTTGTTGTTTCTGTGTTTCCTTTTTGAAGCAGGAAAAAAGCAAATAAGGATACATACATATTCCTTTTTCCCTTTTAGACTTATACCAAAGGTAACATGCTATATTCTCTTGTGCACCTTGCTTTTACTCTCAACAATATATCCTGTAAGCTACCTCTATTACTTCATAGAAATGAAGTCTGTGTTTTTTTTTTAAAGTCTCCTCACCCCACCTAACCCTAGTGATTCTGCTGATTACTCAGTTGGGGAATCTAAATCTGTAGTTTCCACTTTGTTTCACGTCTGGAAAAGGTAAACCTAATCAACCTTAAAGAATCCCTTGAATGTATTCCAGAACATCCTAAAAAACCATTCCATCTATGTTAACTTCCAGGAAATACTTCCCTAGACCTAAGTGATCTGTCATATTGCAGTTTTTATCCAGTTTTGTTCTTATCTGAGCTCAGCAGAGTTGGAAAACAGCTGGTCTCCATCTCTTCTACAATAACCCTTTTTAAAATTTGATAGCTGCTACTCAGATGTACCTCAAGCCTTTATTTGCTCTTCAAGATGTTTAACTTTGTTTCATAAGGGTGATTTGCCAGTCTTCTAACTTGGCTGAACTCTTGCCAATATATCTGCTCGCTTGCTTAGCTTTGGACTCAGTTTTGGGCATAGTGATTCAATTTTTTTTAAATCAACACTCATTTTACCAAAACCAATCTTAGAATTCTTTTATTTTAAACATTTATTAAGGCTACTACTCTTGCTTCCTGAAAAAAATAATTCATCTTCACAATGATGAATGATGAGAATTCTATCAGATAACATCAATATTGCTTCAAAACATGGTATGGGAATGCAAAATTCAGGGTTTCTTTTTTTTAATATTGAGAATAATAGAGAGAGAGAGAGTGTCTGTTCATCCTCCATAGTGTCTTGTCATGGATCTTCATTTTTTAAAATTGATATGTCTATAGGCAGGCAAAGAGTATAGTGAATATAGAAAGATAAAAATCCAGAAATATATGAACTTTGTAAAAATTAAAAATTATCCTTCAGGTACAGTTTTGACTTGCATACTGGCTGTATTAGTTAGGTTCTCCAGAGAAACTGAACCAACAGTATGTGTGTGTGTGTGTGTGTGTGTGCGTGTGTGTGTGTGTGTGTGTGTGTGTGTGTGTGTGTGTATATGTATATATATATATAGAGAGAGAGAGAGAGAAAGAGAGATTTATCTTTAAGGAATTAGCACATGTGATTATGGAGGCTTGGCAAGTCCAAAATCTGACAAGGGAGGTCAGCCGACTGGAGACCCAGGAAAAAGTTGCAGTTCGTTGCAGTTCGAGTCCAAAGGCAGACTGCTGGTGAACCAGGAAGAGTCAATGTTGCAGGTGAGGTCTGAAGACGATCTGCTGGTGTGTTCCTTCTTACTCAGGGGAAGTCATCCTGTTGTTCTATTCAGGCCTTCAACTGATTGAAGAGGCTTACCCACATTACAGACAGTAATCTGCTTTACTGAAAGTCGATCAATTTAAATGTAAATCTCATTCAAAAGCACACTCAAAGAAACATCCGGAATAATGCTCGACCAAAGATCTGAGCACACTGGCACAGCCAAGCTGACACATAAAATTCACCATCACACTTGACATATACAATCCTCCTGCTCTTTGCTTACTCAGTGTTACACTCAGTGCTTACTCTATGGAGGGCAGTGTTCTGAATGACTTACACATACTGACTCATTTAATTCTTAAAATAAGCCATGGGGTAAGTACTGTTACTGCCTCTATTTCGTAGCCGAGGTAGTGTAGGTGCAGCAATGTATTTTTTGAGCTGAGACTCAAATGCATGAACTCTGGTTCTAGAAGCTTTCTATCAGGATCACCATATCATTCATCATCCAAATGAAACACTTCTGGCAGTCCAAGGGGGTGCTATTTTTATTAAGTCAGGATAATAAAAATAAATCAGGACTGTCCTTGACAAATAAGAATATAGTTGCCCTAATATAATTGCTTCTCAATACTGCTAGGTCCCACGTTCTTTCCTGAAAAAATAGACTCATCAATAAGTAAGTACACATTGTTATGTGCTAAATTGTGTTCCCTCAACTTTATATGTTGAAGTCTTAACTCCTAATACCTCAGAATGTGACTGTATTTGGATATGGAAACTTTAAAGGGATGATTAAGTTAAAATGAGGCCTGAAGGCAACCGGATTAGTGACCTTACGAGAAGAGGAGATTATGACACACAGAGAAACACCAGAAGCACATGTGCACACAGAGAAGTTCATGTGAGAACATAGCAAGAAGGTGGCATCAACAGCCAAGGAGGGGGACTATAGAAAAAAACCAAACATATACTGAACCCTTGATCTTGGACTTCTAGTTCCAGAATTGTCAGAAAATAAATTTCTGTTGTTTAAGCCACAATCTGCGGTATTTTGTTATGAGAGTCCTAGCAAGCTAATACACACATGAATTTAAAAAACGCTACGCAGCCGGGTGTGGTGGCTCAAGCCTGTAATCCCAGCACTTTGGGAGGCCGAGGTGGACAGATCACTTGAGGTCAGGAGTTCGAGACCAGCCTGGCCAACATGGCAAAACCCTGTCTCTACTAAAAATACAAAAATTAGCCAGATGCAGTGGCGCCTGCCTGTAATCCCAGCTACTCGCCAGGCTGAGGCAGAAGAATTGCTTGAACCCAGGAGTCAGAGGTTGCAGTGAGCTGAGATCATGCCACTGCACTCCAGCCTTGGTGACAGAGCAAGACTCCGTCTCAAAAAAAAAAAAAAACAAAAAAAACAAAAAAAACCCCTAAACAACACAGTGCTAGAAGTCAGGTCCATGAAATGTCCTAATACTGACTCCTCAAAATAGGGGAACAAAGAAATATGTTGAGAGAAAAACAAAACAATTTTTGCTTTGAAGAAAAAGAGAGAGATGCTAAAGTATAAATAACTCTTCCAATAGGTTAAATACTTTGAACAACCAACCTAACATCTTATTGGAACTTGATTCTCCCCTTTCCTTACTTATTTGTGTCCCATGTGTAACTGTGTCTCCTTCAATGGATTCACATTTTTCAGGTATAAGAAAGTTACTTTTACAGTAAATTTCAAAACACAATAGCAAAAGCATATTAAATGAACCCTGCAACCTTGAGCAGATCATTGCATTTTCAGTATCTATTGAATGTGAAGATAAGTTCACCTATGTGTCTTAATAGAACTCTTGTAATAACTTGCCCCTATGGTAGAGTGGGAGGGCACTGAGCCCACAGATTGGAAATTCATAATCTAGAATAGTAGTCACCAAACTGTTTTGATTATGCATCAGCAGAAAATTTGAGGATTCATCCCTATTATTTATGTTAAAATTACATATATGCTATTAACAATCCATAAAATCAAATGTTAATATGGCTTAGATTCTTATTTTAGATACAAATAGAAGTTCTAATTTTTTTTCTTGCCTCCCATGGATCATTGTATTCACTACTTGAATATTCCTGCTTCCCACTTTAGCAATCTCTGTTTTAGGAAACACCAAAATTACTGGCTGGAAAGTGATCCAGGATATCAGTCAATGGGTTTGTTTTGCCCACACAATGCCAACGAACCACATGGACTAAATTTGCACTGAATTGCCTGTCTTTGATTGAGTTGGCTCCACTGAGAAGTTATTTTGGCATCTGGTAGACACAGTCTTCATGAGCCCAGCCTTTCCTTCAGATGCCAGGGGGACAGATGTGTGTGGCTTTTGTTCCCTCCCCTCCCTTTCCACAAACCTATAGTCTACCTAACACTCTTTCATTTCTTGGCTTCAGGTAGTTTCACCCTCTCTTGAGGGAAAGGCTTGCAAGGACAAGATAAGGACAAGCAAATGCAAAAGAGCCTTGAGTTGGGATAGAGGAAAAAACACAGGAAAGAAAATCAGGAAGAACAAGACTGTTAGCGGGAGGAAAGACATTTTTTAAAAAGATGTTCAGGCACTTCTACCATGTGAGGGGCCCTCACCAGATGCTGAATTTGCTAGCCCCTTAATCTTGGATTTCCTAACCTCCAGAACTGTGAGCAATACATTTCTGTTTAGAAGCTGAAAAAAACAAAACAAAAACAAAAACAAAAAAAGATTTTCAGAACTTGTATTATTCCATTATCATGCTGCTAATAACTAATAAAGACATACCCAAGACTGGGTAATTTATAAAAGAAAGAGGTTTAATTGACTCACAGTTACTGTGAGGAAACTTACAATCATAGCAGAAGGGGAAGCAAACATGTCCTTCTTCACATGGTGGCAGCAAGCAGAAGTGCTGAGCAAAAGGGGGAAAAGCCCTTTATAAAACCATCAGATCTCATGAGACTCACGCACTATCACAACAAAAGCATGAGGGTGATTGACCCCATGATTCAATTACCTCCTACTAGGTCCCTCCCATGACATGTGGGGATTGTGGGAATTACAATTCAGGATGAGATTTAAGTGGGGACACAACCAAACCATATCATTCCACACCCAGCCCCTCCCAAATCTCATGTCCTCTCATTTCAAAACACAATCGTGTCTTTCCAACAGTCCCCCAAAGTCTTAACTCATTCCACCATTAACCCAAAAGTCTAAGTCCAAAGTCTCATCTGAGACAAGGCAAGTCCCTTCCGCCTATGAGCCTGTAAAATCATAAGCAAGTTAGTTACGTCCTAGATGCAATGAGGGTACAGGCATTGGGTAAATACACCCATTCCAATGGGAGAAACTGGACAATACAAAGGGACTACAGGCCCCATGCAAGTCTGAAATCCAGTAGGGTAGTCATTAAACCTTACAGTTCCAAAATGATTCTCCTTTGACTCCATGTCTCATATCCAGGTCACGCTGATGCAAGAGGTGAGCTCCAATGGCCTTGGGCAGCTCCGTCCCTGTGGCTTTGCAGGGAACACCTCCCCTTCTGGCTGCTTTCATGGGGTGGTGTTGAGTGTCTGCAGCTTTTCCAGGTGCACAATGCAAGCTGTCAGTGGATCTACCATTTTGGGGTCTGGAGGATGGTGGCCCTCTTCTCACAGTTCCACTAGGCAGTGCCCCAGTGGGGACTCTGTGTGAGGGCTCCAACCCCACATTTCCCTTCCACACTGCCCTAGCAGAGGCTCTTCATGAGAGCTCCCCATCTGCAGCAGACTCCTTCCTGGACATCCAGGCATTTCCATATATCCTCTGAAGTCTAGATGGAGGTTCCCAAACCTCAATTCTTGACTTCTATGCATCTGCAGGCCCAACCACATGGTAGCTGCCAAGGCTTGGGGCTTGTACCCTCCGAAGCAATGGTCTGAGCTGTACCTTGGCCCTTTTAGCCATGGCTGAATCCAAAGCATCTGGGACTCAGGGCACCATGTCCTGAGGCTGCTTAGAGCAGGTAGGTCCTGGGCCCAGCCCATGAAACCATTTTTCCCTCCTAGGCCTCCAGGCCTGTGATGGGAGGGGCTGCCATGATGGTCTCTGACATGCCCTGGAGACATTTTCCTCATTGTTTTGGCAATTAACACTGGGCTCCTCATTACTTATGCAAATTTCTGCAGCTGGGTTGAATTTTTCCCAAGAAAATGAGTTTTTCTTTTCTACTGCATCATCAGGCTGCAAATTCTCCAAACTTTCTACTCTGTTACCTCTTGAATGCTTTGCTGCTTAGAAATTTCTTCCGGCAGATATCCTAAATCATCTCTCTCACGTTTAAAGTTCCACAGATCTCTAGGGCAGGGGGAAAATGCCACCAGTCTCTTTGCTAAAGCATAACAAAAGTCATCTTTGCTCCAGTTCCCAACAAGTTCCTCATCTCCATCTGAGACCACCTCAGCCTAGATTTTATTGTCCATATCACTAACAGTATTTTGCTCAAAGCTATTAAACAAGTCTCTAGGAAGTTCCAAACTTCCCCATATCTTCCTGTCTTCTGAGCCCTCCAAGTCTCTAGGAAGTTCCAAACTTTCTCACACTTTCCTGTCTTTTTCTGATCCCTCCAAACTGTTCCAACCTTTGCCTGTTACCCAGTTCCAAAGTTGCTTCTACTTTTTGGGGTATCTTTAAGCAGAACCCCACTCCCAGTACCAACTTACTGTATTAGTCCATTCTCATGCTGCTAATAAAGACCTACTTGAGACTGTATTTACAAAGGATAGAGGTTTAATTGACTCACAGTTCAGCATGGCTGGAGAGGCCTCAGGAAACTTACAATCATGGCAGAAGGGGAAGCAAGCATGTCCTTCTCCACATGGCAGCAGCAAGGAGAAATGTCAAGCAAAAGGGGGAAAGCCCTTTATAAAACCACCAGATCCCATGAGAACTCAGTCACTATCATGAGAATAGCATGAGGGAAACTGCCTCCATGATTCAAATACCTCCCACCAGGTCCCTCCCATGACACATGGGGATTATGGGAACTATAATTCAAGATATGATTTGGGTGGGGACACAGCCAAACCATGTCAGAACTAGAGCCAGGGTCAGAAGATGATCAATGTCAGGTGTGAGGAATGAGGTGAAGCACAACACTTTTAAATCCATTTGATTAAAATATTTTGTAAGCAGGAGAAACAACCTGCACTTTTAGCAAATAAAATATTTTGATGAATTTTACTTAGCAGCGTAAGAAGAGAGAGAAATTTCCAAATAAACAAAGCAGCAGTCAGATGATATTTATTCTACAATATTAAATTACCTACAATTATGTTTGAAAGTCAAAACGAACTGAAACAATATCCAAAATTTGAAATGTTGTTCTAAAATAAGTACTGATTTCTCAATGCTTAAAGAAATGTCAGCTCTCCAATCTGATATCAAAGGTCCTTCACAGTCACATCCTTCCAAACTCATCTTCATGATTTCTCAGTACAAGTACTCTACTCTCAGGGCCTCTCCAGAGCACCTACAACAGGACATACCATATCTATCTGCCTGCTTCTGATTACTGTTGTCCTTCCAGTTTGTAATCCTCTTCCTTAGATCCCTGGATCTCTCTTGTAAGACCCAATTCAGTCCTGACTCTTCCACGGAGTCCCTCCCAGCCAGTCCAATTCATATCCATTTGTTCCTGACCAAGGAATCAAGGCCTGGTATAGGGTCTCCCCAATATCCAGTTCTACCCAATATAAAGATCAATATATTTGAGTTAAATATATTTTTTATAAAGTAGCACAACTCTTATTTTCTTGACCTCCCACCTTTGGATCCAGAGGATTACACAGCTATCATCCAGTGTTTTCTCTTAGAATGTATAAGGCTAGTGGTGAGTATAAGGCTAGTGAGGTATCATCAAAAGTGGTGACCCCTTTTGGACCATAACTTATCTGCCAGTGATCCCTACCTTCAGGTCCTTGTTTAAAGGGGAAACCAATGGTGCAGGCCCCAACTTAATTCAAATGAACAAAATGAGCACAGTAGTGGCTACATCCTTTGTCAGGCTCAAAAAAAAACAGGCTCAGTTCTCCCATAGTTTTTCTCCCCCCAAATGCAACCGTATTTCATCAAAGGCAGAACCCACTCCTCCTGGGCCTCTTACTGCAAGGTTGTCGCATCAGAAAACCAATTTTCTTCTCACTGGTTTAGTTATTTCTAAGTCTCCGTAATGAGATTTTGAAAACATTACTATTGGGTTAATAAATGTTTCTTGCTTAAAGGAACAAAGTTTAATAATATAGGAACCAAAACGTTTGTGTGGTTAGGTCAGCAATGACCAATACAAAGTAATTTACTTTCTTATCATAGTACTTACAGCTTTAAAATAAGTTTTAAATAAAACTTACAGTTTTAAAATAAATTTGGTTCCTCATCAAAATAAGATAATCACAAATGAAACTTTAAGAAATTCCCTAAGCATAGTGTGACCATGCAATCTATTACCCAAATTAGGACACTTAAGAGTGAAGGGGGTTATTAATAATTAAACTGGGACAGCAGGTGTAAACCAAGGTGGCTCTAGGATATATAGTCATCCTACTTATGTGTCATCCTATTATTTTGACAAGTGAACATTTATTGACTATTGTTATACTCTGAGGGCCTTACATATAAATAACCTCTCCTACTACTAAAATTAAACCTGCAGTATAGATATTACTAATTGCATTTTGCAAAAGAAAAAAATAAAGCTCAGAATTACTAAGTAACATGATGAAGGCTGTAAGGCTAGTAAATGATAGAAGCAAGATTTGAAATAGGCATGGTTCAAAATTCATGCTGCTCCCACCATAAGGTACTGTTTCTTCTGTGATGTTATGTAATAATTTATGTTTCCATCTCTATAGCAAGGGTCAGCAAACATTTCCTCTAAAGGATCAGACAGTAAATAGTTTAGGCTTACAGGCCATATGATCTCTGTTGCAACTATTCAACTCTGTACTTGCAGCACAAAACAGGCATGGACAATATGTTAGCGAATATAACATTTGTTCCAATGAAACTTGATTTACAAAAACAGGCAGCGAGCTGTATTTGGCCTGAGGGCCATTGTTCAGCAACCCCTGATCTATACTCTAGACCCTATAATGTCTCTGATTGGACAGGCAGAGGTTCTAGCTCACCTTTTCTATATTATAAATTAGCACGGTGTTTTGAACAAGATTGGGAACTACCTGTCAGCAATAAGCATTTACTGAATGAGTGAATTAAGGAGGAAAGCTTGTTTGGAAATGCTGTATTTTATTATCTGGGAATCAAGGAAATTCCTTAACCTACATTAATGGAAACATCTACAGTTCTTCAGAAAACAGTATTAAGTAACAGGAGGGTTTCCATAATCACTGATGATATACCACAATGGATTGACAGCAATCTATCCCTACAAAGAACTGTGAGACAGTCTCAAAAGTATTTTTAAAAGGTAGAATATGGAATTCCCTAGTACACTTCCTGGTACTGCACTGACAACATGCCCCAATTCTTTCTGGATTGGGTACCACAAAGGAGGATGTTGCCCTTATAATCACTGCTGAGACCAGATCTGTGAGTGCCAAAGAGAGAGCAAGGTCACTAACAAGAAGCACAGGACTTCACTTGCAGCTTCTACTGTGACGTCACGCATTCAACATGATGCAACAAGTGGAGGGATGTCTTGACAGTACAGAGACACTGCTTTCCTGATCCCACCTCTCTGGTAACCATTTTTTGCTCATGTCAATATTACACATGAACAATAACAACCATAATAAAGGCACAACTTTAAAAGCAATCTAAGAGACTAAGAAAAAGTGAGAAGAACAAAATGATTCCTTTAATAAATAGCATAACATTGAGATTTCTTGTGGATGCCAGCGAAACAGATGCATGGTTTAAGTAAATCAAACAGAATTAGAAATAAAGGCAGGTAAAACCAAATATCACATGGAAAAATGAGCAATTGCACTGTTAAAAATTATCAAAAAGATATTTTTTAAAAAGATTAAAGCATATAAATGATGCTCCCTACTTTATTTTTAAACATGTATTAACATATCCATATTTGAATTTTTTCACCAACATTTTTGGATACAGGAGACTAGGTTCGTACAGAGAACAGTATTAGCCTATTATCTACTTACACATTCCCACGATGCTTATCTACACAGCATACAGAACGGATAAACACAACTCCTAATAAAACAAAGGCATGCACACAGAATGCTTCCATTCCACGTAAGCACTGACTGATATGCACTCAAAGACAACCTGATAAGAGCAAAGCTTTGCTTGTTTAGGTGAATGAGGTATGTGAGCATCACGTGCCAAAGAACTATGCTGAAGGCAAACAAGAAGAGCCTCAAAACTCCTAAGATCTAAGCTTTGGTGAGGCAAAAAGGATAAAAGAAAAAAAAAATAGATAGAAAGCAATGGAGGAGTGGAGAAGGGAGGCTCTGGAAAAAAATGGATAGATAGGTTAGTACAGGGAGGAAGGAGCAGCAGATAAGCTAAAAGGCACAGAGTCAGGGGTGGCACAATGGGTGAGCTTTCTTTGTGGGAAATGAGCTACTGAGATTGCCCCCTCTGGTATCACCATCCTGTGAGACCCTAGCAGTAGTGATAGTTCTGGAAGCATGCTACTCTGCAGAAAGACCCAGCATCATTTTCTTCATCCTCCCTGAACTCACAAGAGTAATGGCCCTTGCACCTAGGAATATTTCCTGTAGACAAGAACTCTTTCCTTCCTGAAGATATAATACAGGTCCACAGTACCTTACTAGCAATTCTAAAATCGAAAGAGTTCCAAAAATATGAAGTTTTCTGTAACCCTCTGGTAGCAAAATCTGACCTGACCTGAGCTGCTATAAAATTGTAGTCTATTTATCCCACAGAGTATGCCAATTCATACTTCTGGCTGCAGAAATATTAATGTGCTTGATTCTAGAAGCTGCCCCAGTCTCTGCTGGGGGTATTATGTTACATATGGCATAGACATAGTTTAAATATGCTGTTTATAGATACTGATATCACCTTTCCAACAGCTAAAAAGTCTGAATTGTGTACTATAAGTTTCCTAGTTTCAGATGTGATATTAACATCTTTAAATATAAGAAAAGGTGAATATTTACCAAAGAGAATAAATGTAATCAGAGACATAGGCTCAATCCTAGGTGGCATTGGCACCCTACTAGATGCTGGAAATATACAGAAGGTAATGGACATGATCCCTGTCCCTTAGGACCTCATGATCTGGTGGGAAAGACAGATGTTTAAACAAAGTTTTGAACTACAACCTGGCATGCTAGACATACAAAGGAGCCAAGTACCCCGAGAGCAGAGGTTGTGGTCAAGCCTTGGAAAGGCTCCACTGAGCAGATTCATCAAAGTTAGCTCTAAAGGATGCTGCTGACTTCACTCTCCTAAGGGCAGATCTTCACCCATGATATCCCTTGCCAGATTTTTATCTAGAACATTCTCCTAATCTTTCATTAATTTCAAAGGTGAGATAATGTGATAGGTTGATACAATGCAATATTTTGCAATTTGAAAGCAAAGCCCTATGGTTTGGAAGAGATTCGAAATGAGACTCTCTCTTTCAAAGGCCTCATTCTAGGACAAGTGTTTTCCTTCATTACCAACAATTTTAACTTTAATCATTTCAAAGCAATTTTCCTGTTCAAGACTCAGCTTTAATCAGAATGCATTTTCAGGTCACTCCATAGCCTCTTCATGCTTCTCTCTAGATAACTACAGAATCATGCATAATCATTCTAGTCCCCCCAAGACACCCTCAGTAAGTTCAACATTTTATGCAAAAATAGATACAAAACAGGCCTCCGGGGGTATCTCCAGCTAATTTTCATGAATTAATTTCCCAGGATTGATGTTTATGCACCAGTCTCTTTACCACATAATCAAATCACTGGAGTTGAAGTGGTCTAACTCCTTATTTTGCAGCTTGATTAAGCAGGTGATGAAATACTTGAATATAATTTGGATAGTTAACAGCTCACACTATTCAACAATAATCCAAGGTGGATGGATGACATTACCAACCGATGTCTCATTGTTTGCTTGTTTTCCTTCTAGTAGCTGACGTCCCACATGTTATTTTTATGTTGGAGATAAAACAGTTCATATATATACATGAGTGGAGAGGTGTGAAAGGCTTTAATATTGATGATGTTGTTTTAAACCACATTTAGACCAACTGGGCAGGCAGCCACCGAGACAGACTAGATTGCCATTGGTTAAGAGAGGATTTGGGATGACAACGTATCTGGTACCCACTGCCAATCCCGCTGCTGTGGTGAATGCAGCTATTCCTCTGCTGGGGTTACCTCTGTTCATCTGGGTGGCTATCTGGCTTCCAGCCTCTATCTAAACATCTCCCTCTACTTCCCTTTCCTCTTTTGTCTCTACTTTCAAAATAAAAGGAGAGAGGCTTAGAAAATAAACAACCAGAAATGAAAGAAGATAAATAAAAGTAACAACTACAAAGACCAAGATAGTTGCTGTGACTAGCACCATATCTGGTGCTATGTGAAGAAGACAACAGGCTGACTTACACAGCTCTCATATGAGAGGACACTTCACATTTTTAAAGAGAGACTAACATTTTCTCTGATTTAATTTTTGCAATACAATTCTAACATAGGGTCTAGTACAGGACACTCTAAGTATCATAACGAACAATATTCACACATTACGTTTCCCCAAAAAAGGCAGAAACAGAGTTCAAGTTGCTGGCAATTTGGTGAATATTATTTTGCATGAGACTAAGGTGACTTGGTCTTCTATGTAATCTTCTAGTCACCTAATTTATTCCAATGATAAGAACTTAGATTACACAGAAGTTTAGATAGGTAGGACGCCCTTAACATTATCTTTGTTCATTATAATTTTTCTCAACCGTGTTTTTCATATATAAGATCTGTTCTAAGTTGTTTGTGGCCAGAGACAATTCCTGATTCCAAACTATTGCTACATGTCTGCAAGTGAATGATGAGCTAGATGAGTGATCCACTCCACTCTGCCTGTCTCCTCACCCTAGAATGACACTTCGAGTGGTCAGAGCTATAACTGCCGTTCTTAATTTACACCAGAAAATCCAGAAAATTGTGTTGTTGAAGACAAAATAAAGCATAATAAAAGGTAATGGAAAAAGTGGTCTAAACCCGAGAAAAACTGACTTCTCAAGAAGAAACAGATCTAGCATGTGCTTGAAGTTTTAAATGTGCACATGGTGAAGGAAGATTTACCTCACTGAGATCATTACAGGTGTGGGCATGGCACAATTGGCAACACCAGTCTTAATAATGGCTGCCTGTCTGTCCAAGTGTCTGTGAAAATAAATGTCTTCTTCTATTGCCTACTCCTCCAGCAAAATGATCCAGATATTCCTTTTCTCCACTCCCAGCAGCTAGGCGGAAGCACCTGACCTGGGCCCAGCCAATCAGATGCCCACACCTAGGACCATGAACATGAAAGGAGTGATGTGAAGACACAGAAACAGAGATTACTGGCAGAGACATGAGTGCCAGAAAGTGTCCAGAAACACCAATCGCCATCCTCCCTGCCTTGCTCTTGTGGAGTGGCATAGGGGTGTGCTGTGTTCCTAGCTGTGAAATTCCCAAGCCTAGTTTTCGTTGCAATTTTTCTGTAAGCTGGCCAATATTCTTCTAATTGCATCTTTTCTTCTAAAATTAGTAAGGATTAAAAAAAAAAACACAAAACAAAGTGAGAATGGGTTTGGGTTGGTAGGCTGATGTGGAAATACTGGTGAAAGAATAATGTTTATAAGGAGATTAGAAATTAACTCTAATTCCTAATTCCACAGGTGGGAAAACTGAGGCCCAGAAATGCTACCCAGATCACTCAGTTAGCTAGAGATGGAACTTCAAAACCTATTACTGGCTCTTAATTTGAAGCCCTTTTCACTATACCGATCAGTGAAATGAGGTATAGAACCCTAGAAATTGTAATTTTGTTAAGGGCCCTGAATCCATGCTTTCTACACCTGCTTTTACCCTAGGGAAAAGTGAGGTCTTTCATTTTCTGCAGAAAAAAACAAACATTGCACATGAAGGTTTGTACACAGCCATGCCACTCTGTTTTGGAATTGTTCTGACTTGTAGCAGCAGGGCATGTCACAAGCCACTGGGCTGTAAGGAACACTTGCTGAGGGCAACAAGAAAACTAGTGATTATTACAGTAACTTGGCTACATCAATGTGCATAAAAGGCCCTGAAAAATAAAGAAATGTGGTTACTCTTTTTACTCAACACAACAGATATGCAAAGGCCTACTACATGCAAAGCACACTGCAAGGTGTTCTATTTCATAAATGTACCAAGCTGTGTGAGACACAGAATCAGGCCTTAAAAGGCTTATAATTCACAGAGGAGGATGGTTGTCATAAGCTTGACCCATGCAATGTGTTTGGCAGAAGTGGAGAAGAGGTTGTAGGAATTGAGAGTAATCTAGTGAGTAATTCAAGCCATTGAAGGATCAGGAAGAGAGACAGGTTCTCATTGGGGAAACGACCTCTGACCTCAATCTGAAGAAAAAAAAATGGCAAGAGAGTGGTCAGCAAGAGAACAGTCAGGAGTTCTTGTGATGTTGCTGACAAAAGATATAATCATGCATAGGAAAAGAAGAAAGAAAAATGTGTTGAGATTGAAATCCAACTTTCCTAGTGTGGCATCCAGGCCCTTCATAAATGTTCCTCTGTTCTGTTTCATTTCTCAGCACTCATCAGCTTGTAGTCCGAATCACTCTTATGCCTCCTTGAAAACTCTCAGATCTCTCACAGCACACTCTGATCTCTCACAGCTCTGGACATTTGTACATACTTTTGTTTCTGCCTCCTGGAAGGCTTTCTCTTGCTCTTTACCTTGATAACTCCTCTTGACCTTTCCACACAGTGCCTACATGCCACCTCCTTCTGGAAGGCTTCCATGACCTCTTCCCAGTTTCAACAGCTTGTGAATAATTCTAACTAATAATTATCATACTGGGCAGTGATGGTCTATTTAGTTCTTTCTCTCTACCACTTGTGAGCTTCTTGAAGCAGGCACTGTCTCGTATTCCAAATACATGATATAAAATGGAAAGATGCTCAAAAAAGTTTGTCAGTTGATTAGATGAATAAATGAAACTGGAGAAAATGTAGATTGGACACAACTCAGCAACTGATTGGATATGGGAGCTGAGAAAAGAACAAGGTGATGGGGGGATGATCATTGCTTCTCACCCGCCTGGAAAGATGGTAATGCCATGAACAGTCACGGGATCACAGTACAAGGAGCAGATATGGGAAATGATGAATTCAGTTTTGTATTATTGAATCTGAGAGTCCTATTGAATGCCACAGAAGATACCTTGCATGTGGTTGAAAATTCTGTGCAAGAGTTCAGGCAAGGGTGTGAAGTAGAACTTAGAGATTCAGGAGTTACCCAGTTGCACCCATGGGAACACAGTGCTCACAGAGGGAAAGAGAAGAAAGCAAGAGCACTAAGGGCAGATACCTGGGGGAACACAGCATTTCGGAGGCAATGCTAGAAAGCTACTGACTATATGCAAGAATCAATAAACTTGCTTGAGTAACACATCCACCCTTAAACCAGAGCTCATGAGACTTATGTACAAGTAGAGAAGCATTGCTCTGCTTATAAAAAGGGGGCCATTGAGATTAGTGCACAACAAAATACATCAGATAAGATGAGTGGGGGAAATACTTCTAACATCACCTTTAAAACTGCAGCTATTTGGGTTTTTTTATTGCTGAATTTATAGAACATATAAAGTTCTAGATAATACCTCTTAAAATCCTGAAACTTATGTTCAGGTAGTGCAGTTATACATCTGTTTATATGCATATGACTCATATACATTAAATATATAATGTAAAACCTCTCAGTAGCTTAATTAAAATATCTCCTCTAATGGAAATAAACGTTGTTACTTTATGAACATTTTGCTTTCAGAAGGGTAAATGCAATACTTTATATAATTTTTAGCTGACTTTTAAATGAATTTCACAAGCTTTTAATACCACTTTGGTCAGAAAAAAACTTTTGTTTAGTGAAACAAAGATGCTACCAAAAGTGGCTAATATGTATCATTTCTGATAAATAATTGTAAAGCTTTTACTTTAAATATTATGATCTATCTGTTCACTTTTTATCAGGTCAACTAATAAGCGAATTAAAGCAAAAGACAAGAAATTTAAACTATCATACAGATTTTTGCTACTTTTATTTTTTGTAAAGACTCAATCTGTCCTCTTCAGAAATCATCTTGTTAATAAAGCATAGTTTGAATGACTAAAAAGTAATGTTACTGTGATCATGTTAAAGGCATATTGGTCCAATGTCAGTCCTAGTATTGACATTTAGTCCCTGAATATATAGACTTCATTGTTGTTACATTAGGAAAAGTTAAGTTAATGGAGTCATTCCAGCTTTGTATACTTTCTATTGACTCTGTGATTTTTTTCTTTTTCAGATTTGAGTTCCTACAAATAATAGTTATTTTGCTTTTCTACTTTGATTACAGTAGTTAATTCAGAGAAATCTGTTTAGGGTCATTCAACATTCAATCAATAAACATGGTGGCAGAAGGCCATGGCTGGGATGCTTTGTAAGACATTTGAATTTCCATATACTGAAATTGCTAAGAGTAAATAACATGGAGTCTTTTGATTTTGAATGTGCACAGTTATTGTCTGAAAGTTAATAGTAGATTATTTAAAGTTGAAATTTATAAAATGACAGATGAGCCATGTCAAATATAACATAGTAGCAATAAAATAAAACTGGTAGAGCTACCATAAACCAGAAGAAATTCCTCATGGCTAACTATGGACTGACTACTTGAGAGCAGTTTATTTACAAAAATTTTTATATTCCAAGCTGTTATTTCCTAAAGTAGACTGAACAGCAATAAGTCTTAATTCTTTTTCGTATGTTGATTATGTATATGCCAGAGAAAAGGTTGATCATTTTAATGGTAGCCTAAGGCAAGTATAATGACAGAGACAAATTAATTTTTTAGAGCAATGTTATAAATTACCTTGAGATTACCCTCTGGTATGGATTATATATAACTTTACTCCACTGACTCAGATAGTTCAGTGCTAGCTCTAATTTGTAAATTTTCTTAATTTACAATATATCACACAATTCCATTGTGTGATAAATTTTGATTGATCTTGGTCAGGCAAGCAGATGAGGTTGACTGTTAAAACTCTTGATGCTTTATACACCTAGGGATCATGTTAAATTGTCAAGGGTTCAGTCTGAAGAGTGAGGTGTGTTAGCCCCTGTGTAAATGAAATGCTCACTGCCCTGTGGAAATTTGGGCTGATGATGAAGGTTTCACTTTATTTGGCACTGCTGTCCTCGTGCATGTTCTGTGCCCTCTCCCGGTGCTAAGAAACTGTCACCAATCCATTTCCCTACCAAAGTGGAATGGAACAAGATATGCGTGCAGCAACAGGAGTAGAACCTGCCCTGCCTATGGATGAAGTCTTTTCACAAACACTTCTGGCCACGCTCAACCTACTGTATCCAGTGCTACCTGGCATTTGAAACAACAGTTCCAAATTTTCCTTTTCCTTCAAGTGATTTTTAATTTTTTTTCCAGTTTGCTTTTCTACATCTCCTTAAAGCTGAAAAGACAACTTCTTCATTATCTTAAATAAATTTTCATTAAGGGTTGGGGGGGAAGGGGATGTCTCAACTCAAACTAATCCATCGGTCAAATAGAGAATATTGTCTCTAATCATAAAAAAATCCTGATAGTTCAGCATCAATAGTGCAGCATCCATGCTCCTGGAGCACCATAATGTAAAGACAGTCCAAGAAACAGGAGTGGAGTGAGCATCAGTCACAGACCACAAAGAGCGCAAGCTTTGGAGTCAGAAAACCAGGTTTACTTTGGTAAGTAACTTAACTTCTTTCATTCTTCCTTTTCTCATTGTCCAATGGGAATAACAATATCAACTCTGCAAGACTGCCACAAGAATTAAATGGTATAATTTGCAAATCACTAGCTCAGTGCTCTGCTACATACTAACTGCTATGGCAGCCCCATAGAAAGTCAGGTACAGATTAAGCCTGATGTACTGCACAACAATAATAACAAGGAATAAGGTGTTGAAAATAGCTGCATTATATCATATCCCATTATTAACAGTTAATGGTGCTGAACTAGGAGTTATGCCCTTGAGAAAAATTGTATTTGGTTAGCTGGTGATACTAGTTTATGATGGTTTATTGTAAGTATAAAATGATTGCAAAATTTTGTCCCAACCAATTTTCTTCTTAGAAAATCTATCTCTAATAGCAATAAAATGTGGTTGCTGTTATGTTTCATTTTTTTTTCTGACACAAAGCTGGGCTTTGAAGGAGCTTTTCTATATACTAAGATGAGCTCAATAAAAATAAAATCCTTTGGATTAAGGTAACATCCCTATGAGACCTTTGCCTCTGGTAGAGGCATTTGCAGTAATGAACAAAAGAAGAATGGAAGACTTCCATTGTTGCTTTAAATTACATGTGTGACAGATCACAAAGAAATGGCTTTTAGTTAAATGAGCAATATTTTCTTGGTTTTCTCTCAGCTCTTCAATAGCAGTTAAAAGGTCCATTGGAAGTATGAATTTTCCTAGCAAAATAACACTGCATTATAAATGTTGCCAGTTTCTGATCACTGACTCATTCCTTAAACCTTGCTGGCTTCTGTTTTCACTATGTGACAGAACTGCATTCTTAAAAGTCACCAACACCTTCCATGGCTTGTCTTTAGTCTCCATCTCCCTCTGCAATCTTTAACCCTGCTGATCAGTACCTGCTAAAAAGTCTTCTCTGCAAAAGATAAGTAGCTACCCTATTTATCTTCCTAGCACTCTGAGCACATTATACAATTTTGCTGATTTATAATAATCCCCCTGTTTCCTGAATGTACCTATTTCTTGAGGTTTGTCTCCTCTGTTTTTTTGCTCTCTTTATATTCTTTCTCTTGGTAAACTCATCCACACCATAGTTTCAACACCTACCACACTGCCAATAACCCTCAAATTCGTATTTCCAGTCCTATCCTTTCTCCTGATCTCCAGACCTGATTATCTTCTCAGTGGCCAGCTGGACAATCCCAACAGGGTATCCCCCTCAGTATACAAACAAAATGCAGGTATCACACCAGATCATATTCAGTTGTCTCAACTGAGTATCATGCCCTGGTGTCTCGATTTTGGGATCTCCCTATTGCCTGCTTCAACTGTAACCTCAGAGCCATAATTAGAGTTCTGTCTTTGCTTCACCACCCTCATTTCTAATTAGTTTACAGATTTTTTCTTGCTTGAATCCATCTGCTCCTTCCATCCTCACTGCCCTCATCAAGGAACAGGTTCTGATTTCCTCTTCCCTGAACGAACACAGTAACCTCAATACAAAACTCTCCAATTTCAACCTTGTTTTTCCCCAACTGCTATACACACTGGTACCAGATTAATTTTCTAAAATTTGGCTTCAATCAGATCATTCCCACGATTAACACACTTCAATCATTCTTCACTTTCTACTAATATAAAGAAAAGACGCATAGCCTGGCATTCAGGAACCATCACAGTATTATGCCCATCTGTCCACTTTTTCTTTCTTCTCTCTTGATATTCCTCTACCACATACCCTGAACAAGTTCCATACAAGTTCTTCAGGGTGAATTCAGTGCCCATCAAATCTTGAGAACTTCTTCGCTAAAATACAAACAAACTGAAATGGTCACAGTGTAACCAGCATGGTTACTCTGTATTCATAACATTTTGCCCCCTATTCCTGTTAAGTATTATTCTTCATCACCACCTCCACCACCTCATTCTACCCATCTCTCAACATCCAGGAACATTGTCCGTAAAGCTTTTTCATAAAGCTTTTAAAAAATGACTCTCTTCTACCCCCACTTCTATCTATGTCTCTCTCATCAGCTTATTTATCGTTATTTATATGTGCTATCTTCTGAGATGTCTATAAGGGCCTCAAATGCAGAATCCATGTCTAAGTCATCTTTTTTGTTTTTTAAAGTACTCAACATAACATATTATCCATAGTAGACACTCAATGAATACTTTATTCATAAACAAATAAAAGGTTATAAATAATGACATTCCCTTAGACAATACTTAGGAAGTTCAGGAGGGAACTTCAAAATGTGCATGGCTGACAAAAGGGACCTATGAATTAATTTTGGCATTACATATATTTTATAACAAATTAGTTTAAAATTTAGATCTTAATGATTAGAAATACACTTTTAAAAGAATAAATTAAAAATGTTACACTTTTTGATGAAATAGCCAAAGCATGTGTACGTAAATAATTCTACTTATTTCTTTATGTCAATAAGCTATCTGTGGCAGATTACATTTTTCAAAGAGGGCCACAAAAATATATCCCTACTCACACACTTTTCTGTGATGTAATCTTTCCACCCACTCATCTCAAGAGGTGGAGTCTATTTCTTCATCTGCTTGTATCTGGCTGGGGATGGGTCGGTGTGACTGCTTTGTCCAATTCTGGGCATAATACTTAACTGGCCTGGTAGCTTTTGCTCTTTGGCTCTTGGAAAAGAGCCATCATATAAGAAGTATGTCTATGAAATCATCATACTGTGAGAAGCCCAAGCCACACTGACAGTCCCTGGAGAAGAAATGTCACATGGAAATCGAGAGACGGAAAGGTGAAAGAACACCGTGGTACCAAACATCTGAGTGAAGAAGCCATGTTGGAAGTGGATCCTCTATCATGAGCCACTCCAGTTTATGCCATGTGAATTGGACACAAACCGCCCAGCTGAGCCCTTCTGAAATTCCTGATTTGTAAAATTGTAAGCAAAATAAAAGTGTTGCTTTATACCACTAAGTTTGGTGTAGCTTGTTACTTAGAAATAGCTCGTGGAAACACTACTCATCACCAATTTGAACCTGTACAACTATGTTCACACAAAAACAAAAATGGTATGACTACAAAACAGACAGCTAGGAACAACAAACTGCTATGTTTGTGATTTAAATGTTCTAAACAAAACCAAATACTGGCCAATTTACTAATTCCTTTAGTCCTTTCCTTAGCAAAAAATTAATCAATATAAAAATGGATTAAATATATTTAATATTTTCCAAGTCAAGCCTCCACCACAAACGCATAAGACTAAGTTATAAAATAGGCTGAAAACTACCAAAGAAACATAAGTTAAAAAAAAACTAGGACAAGTTTGCAAAAATGTATTCTGGCAATGTCCATTATTAGTTTACATAAATTATGATGTATTCTAATACTGAAATTCTACGTAGCCATGAAAAATGATGATGTAGCTATACTGACAATAAAGATATATATAGTATATTAAATGTAAGGAGCCAATTACAAAACTGTGAATAGTGAAATCTTATTTGGGACTGCTTTTAAAAGGATATGTATTTGTCCTTTCTCTCTGTCTCTCTCTGTATGTATGTATGTATATACACATACATATAACATGTGTACATATGTATACACACACACTTTTTTTCTATCAAAAAGAGGTCTGAAAAGATGTACATAAACATTTCATTATCTTTAGGGGGTGGAATTACAGGTCATCTCTGTTTTCTTCTTAAGACTTTAAGGCAGTGATTCTCAAAGTGTTGTCCTGCAACCAACAAAATCAACATCATCTGACAACTTGCTAGAAATGCAAATTTGTGGGTGTCATCCTGGGCCTACTGATCAGAAACGCTGGGTGTGGAACTCCGCATTCTGTGGTTCAAACAGGCCTCCAAGGCAACACTGATGTATGCTAAAGCTTGCAAACAATGGCTTCACCACTGAATTTTGTAATTTTTAAAAAGGAAATATGGTATTTTCTCAGTTAAAAAAGTGAGTGTGTTTCCTTTATAAAGATTTTTAATGGGAATTTTTTAAAAGGAGCAAAGAGATGATTAGAGTAGTATGCACATGTTATTTTTTCCATCTATTTTCCATTTTTTTATTCTATTCTCCATATGTTTTAGCTGCTATTAGATATTTTTAAACTCTTTATCTCTCTGTACCTATTCCCAGTTTGTAGACTGTCTTTTTACTTCTGTCTAATCTGCCTGTTTAAACTGTCCATTGAGTTTTAATTTCAAACTGCTATATTTTTCATTTCTAAAAGTCAGCTTTTTTCTTTTTCAAATTTACTTTATTTTCATAGTTACCTCTTTTTACTGTAGGGTGTATACCTTCTCCTTAATAATTGTAAAGGCACTTTTTAATTAGTATCTTTGAGATCATCCTCAAACCCCAAGTTTTCTGTATCCTAATTGTTATGCTTGTCTTATCTGCTGCCCCTGTTTTATGATATATGTTTTCATCATTTTGTTTGCAGTGTTTTATTTTAAACTGCTCTTCAGAGAATTGTTTTATCTGTAGATGTCTCAAGAGAGGCTGTGGAAGTATTTCAACATAGCAGATTTGTACTTATTTTTGCCAGGTAACAGGAGTTTCTCTGGTCTAGACCAGTTTGTGCTCTAATTTCTCGGTTTAGAACTTCAACCACAATGCATGTAGTGTAAATTCACAGTATATATCTTTTCTCATGGGAGGCTTTTGTATTATTGTCATTCAAAGTCCTGAGACGAAAAAACTAGTTTTGTTGTACATAGGATAAAGTTTCCTTGTATCTTGGGGAAAGTTTGCTGCTTAGCCTTTCACTGAGGGGTCAGGACTTTCAGAGTCCAGGCCAGGCTTCTATCGTGGCACCCACTCACCCCCCACCTCAGACAATGCCACAATTCCTGTCCTATGACGCTGGGACCTGTATCCAGTCTAAGAATCTCCCAAACTGTGACAGCTTCACATTTTGAGTGCATCGTTCTTAGCTTCACGTCTTCTTTTTGTTTCCTCCAGATGAACTTTCTTTTCCCTCAGGTTCATCTTTGTATTTTGTTCAGCATTTTTAAGAGCTTATGGAAGGAGGAAATTTCACTTTAGTTCAGTCTGCCATACTGATGGAACCTCCACATTTCCTTTAATGTTGTTATCTTGCTCTTGCAATTAATTTTTTTAAAAACCTCGGTTGTTGGAAGTTCCAGCTAGAGCAATCAGGCAAGAGAAAGAGATAAAGGGCATCCGAATTGAAAAAGGGAAAGTCAGACTATCTCTATTTGCCGATGATATGATCATATACCTAGAAAATCCTAAAGACTCCTCCAAAAGACTCCTACATTTGATAAATAAATTCGGGAAAGTCTCAGGTTACAAAATCAATATACACAAATTGGTATCACTGTTATATACCAACAGTGACCTAGCTGAGAATCAAATGAAGAACTCAATCACTTTTATAATTGCTGTAAAAACAAACCAATAAACGAATTTTAAAAATCTAGGAATATACTTTACCAAGAAGGTGAAAGATCTCTACAAGGAGAACTATAAAACACTGCTAAAAAAAAAATAGATAACACAAACAAATGGAAATACATTTCATGCTCATGGATTGGAAGAATCAATATGGTGAAAGTGACCATACTGCCCAAAGCAATCTACAGATTGAATGCAATCCACATCAAAATACCAACATCATTTTTCACAGAATTAGAAAAAACAGTCCCCAAATTAATATGGAACCAAAAAAGAGCCCAAATAGCCATAACAATCCTAAACAAAAAGAATAAATCTGGAGGCATCACATTACCCAACTTCAAATTATACTACAAGGCTATAGTAACCTTGTAGTAGGTACTTGTATAAAAGTAGATACATAGACCAATGGATCAGAATAGAGAACCCAGAAATAAAGCCAAATGCACCCATCAAACTGGTCCTTGACAAAGCATAGAAAAACATAAATTGGGGAAAGGACACCCTATGTCATAAGTGGTGCTAAGAAAACTGTACAGTCACCTGTAGAAGAATGAAACTGGATCCCTATCTCTTACCATACACAAAAATAAACTCAAGATGGACTAAAGACTTAGTCTAAGACCTACAACAATAAAAATTCTAGAAGAAAACCCAGGAAAAACTCTCTGGACATTGGCCTAGGCAAAGAATTTATGACTAAGACACCTAAAGGAGATAAAACAAACATAAATAAATGAAACCTAATTAAACTAAACAGCTTCTGCACAGCAAAAGAAATAATCATTAGACTAAACAGACAAACCACAGAATAAGAAAATATTTGCGAACTACACATCTGATAAAGGACTAATATCCATAATCTACAAGAAACTCAAACAAATTAGCAAGAAAAAAATAAAAAATCCTATCCAAAAAGTGGGCAAAGGACATGGATAGACATATCTCAAAAAAAGATAAACAAATGGCTGACAAACATGAAAAAATGCACATCACTAATCATCAGGGAAATGAAAATTAAAACCACAATGAGATATCACCTTACCCCAGCCAAGATGGCCATTATTAAAAAGTCAAAAAACAATAAATGTTGGCATAGATGTGGTAAAAGAGAATGCTTATCAACTGATAGTGGGAATGTAAATTAGTGCAACCTCTGTGGAAAGCAGTATGAAGATTTCTCAAAGAAATTAAAAGTAGATTTACCATTCAATCCAGCAGCCCCATTACTGGGTATCTATTCGAAGGAAAAGAAGTCATTATATCAAAAAGACATCTGCATACAAATGTTTACCACAACACAATTCACAATTGCAAAGAAATGGAACCAACCTAAATGCTCATTCAACACTGAGTGGATAAAGAAAATGCGGTGTGTGTAAACATACACACTCCCCCCACAACACACACACCATGGAATACTACTCAGCCATAAAAAGGAACAAAATAATATCTTTTGCAGCAACTTGGATGAAGCTGAAGGTCATTATGTGAAGTGAAGTAACTCTGTATCTCAGGAATGGAAAACCAAATACCATACGTTCTCATTCATAAGTGAGAGCTAAGCTATGGGTATGCAAAGGCATATAGAGTGGTATAATGGATGCTGGAGACTCAGGAGGGGGAATAAATGGGAGGAGGGTGATGGATAAAAAACTGCATGTTAGGTACAATATATACTACGCGGGTGACAGTACACTAAAATCTCAGACTTCACAACTACATAATTCATTCATGTAATCAAAAGCCACTTGTACCCCTAAAGCTATTGAAATAAAAAAAAAGCTTTGCTTGGTAAAAATGGGCTCTGCTAAATATAATATCTCAGATTCAAATCTACACATTGTTAACCATAACAGTTGCATTTGATTTCACTGAAAATAATCTTTTACTAAAGAAAATAAGTTTCAAACTTCGCCGATTATTTACAATTTGTTATTTATTTATTTTTGGTATAGATTATAGCTGTGGGGAAAAATAGCTCTTTCTAGGAGGAATTACTATTCAGAGCAGTCTGAACCAGTGTGAAAACTGCTAGAAGCAGGAAATCAAAATATTGTTTATTCTCATGAAAGGCAGGAGATTGTATTAGATACTGCTAGGCCCAATGTGACTGCTAACTAGAACACTAGTAATCACTCTATTAGCTGCAAAAAATCTTCAACTGTTCAGCAATGTGGTACAGAGGAACCAGCCCAGTTTAAGAAGAGGGCTAAGTGCAGTGTTTGTGAAAATGCAGCCCAAGCCATCTGCACATGAATCTCCCAGGGTGCTCCTTTGAATCTTCATTTTAAACAATTCTTCCTGGTGATGCATCTCCATATTCAAGTTTGAGATCAACTGGTTAAGTGCATAAAAGCAAGCATTTTGGTAACAAAATACAAATCATATAACAAAGAACTGAAGTTCCGTTTGAGACAAAGAATGAAAATCAAGTACATCTTACATGAGTTACATGATATATACTAAATTGTCTACTTCTTAAGAAGGGCAGAGGTTTTGTGTACTCTAATGCTGAGTGATCTCCCAGCTCTAAGAGAACAACCATATAGGAAAATCGCATCTGTCTCAACCACTCTGGTCTGAGACACTATCATCTTATACCAGGACTATTTCATTAGCCCCCTAAATGGTTTCAAATGTCACAATGGAAAAGCCTTCTATGTCCTCCACATTTAAAATAGTGCCATCTAGTCTTTATAGCACTTTTCTCCAGGTGACACATTACACAATATAGACTTATTCATTTGTTCTCTATCTGTATTTACTCACTAGGCTATGAAACTATGGGAACAGGACTTTGCTTTGTTAATTGCTGTATCCTGAGTGCCTAGAGGACTGTCTTCCACCTGTAAAGGCTCAACAAACACTTCCTGAATAAATAAGTGAAAGTGCTTAAGGAAGGCCTCTCCTCCTTCTGGATTATTAGAGAGGATGAAGCTTTCCTAGAGGGAACAGGAAAAAAATCCATAGACACCAGAAAATAAGATGTGTTCTGAGTACAGGGCAAACCAAACCAGTGTCATGAGTTTGATGTAGGGAAGAACCTCACACAAAGAGAAAGAAAGAATTTCAAAGCCCCTGGAACTCTTGCACTGAAATCAGTTTTGTTTTGTTGTTGTTGTTGTTAATAAAAGGTCAAGCTAGTCTTTCTGGGGTACTTGTGGTAGCAATAATGCAAGGGAGGCTATAGAGACCCTCGCAAGTGGGAGGCCATGTGTTGGTGATGGATGCTTCCCTTCTTGGGGAACAGAGGGGACCTTCATCTTAGAGGTTCTATGTTTCCCACCTGGAATGAGTATCCCAAATACAAGAGATTGCAGATACTACCATTTCTGATGACTTGGAAGAATGATAAAGTCGTAAAAAATAAAGCAATCTTCCTGTGAAATAGACTTGTGAAACTCTGGGATACATAAGGATTAAGTCTTTTTATTTCTTTTTCCAATTCAAGTTTTTACCTTTGAACAAAGAAAAAAAAATAACATACAAGTGAATAGTTGGCTAAAAAAGAATAGACTAGAATTTATTGTTCTGGGTGATGACTTATGATCTTAGAACAATTGGATCCTGACAGGGAGAGAGCACAATCTTAAAGAGATGAGGAAGAAAGTGTTTGGCATCTGTGCCCACCAGATGAAGATGTTGTAAACCTAAATGAAATCAGATACAAAAAAAGAACAATATACATGATACAGAAAAAGAACTCTAATAGAGTCCAGTAAGTCTCAGGGGAAAATTAAGGAAAAGAAAAAGTAATATTTAGGTCCTTAATTGCCTTTGAGACACAGTCTAAGTTCTGACACAAAGGAGTAAATGTGATTTCTTGGCAATTATTAAGGCTTTCTGAGAAGGTACTCAGGTCTGAAGATGCAATTGACTGAGGCATAGTGAAACAGAGAGAGCGAGAGAAAGAGGAGGAGAGAGAGAGAGATAGAGCGAATTTGGTGGTTCCTCAAAAAGTTAAACATAGAATTTATATATGATCGAGCAATTTCACTCCTAGGTATATATCAAGAATTGAAAACAGACTCAAACAAATACTTGAACCTGCATGTTCATAGTAGCACTGTTTACAATAGTTAAAAGTGACTGGATGGGTGGATAACTGAAATGTGATATATATCTATCTATATCTATATATGCAAAAGATTATTCATCTATAAAAAAAATGAAATACTGATAAATGAACATGGATAAACCTTGAAAGCGTCGTGTTAAGTGAAAGAGCTGGACACAAAAGGTCATATATTGTATGATTCCATTGATATGAAATATCCATAATAGGGAAATCCACAGAGATAGAATGTACATTGGTCATTGCCAGGGGGTGTGAGGATAGGGAAATGGGGAGTAATTTGTTAACAGATAAGAGGTTTCCTTTGGGGTAATGAAAATATTTTGGAAGTAGACATAGTGGTTGTACCGCATCATAAAAATGTTTGATGACACAGAATTGTTCACTTTTTATTGTTTGTCTGTTTATTGAGACAGGGTCTTGCTCTGTTGCCCAGGCTGTAGTACAGTGGCACAATTGTGGCTCACTGCAGTCTCAACCTTCTGGGTTCAAGCTGTCCCCCCGCCTTAGCCTCCCAAGTGGCTGGGATCATATGTGAATGCCACCACCCCCAGCTAATTTTTAAATTTTTTGTAGAGACAGGGTCTTGCCATGTTTCCCAGGCTAGTCTCGGACTCCTGGGCTCAAGCAATCCTCCCACCTCAGCCTCCCAAAGTGCTGGGATTACAGGCATGTAATCCACTGTGCCCAGCCAGAAATGTTCACTTAAAGTGGATAATTTTATGTTATTTGAATTTCCCCTCAATAATGAGAATAATAAAGATAGTCTCAAAGGTTAAAAAAATTAATTGAATTTTTAAAAAGATAGAAGCGGGAGGGCAGGGAAGGGGAGAGTAGAGGAGGGAGCGGCAGTCCCTGATAGAAAAGGATATGCTTCTAGAACAGCCCAAACCTCAGGGCAGCAGCATAATGTAGGGTGCTTCCTGAGACTAATAGTGTAGAGAGACACCAAAGCAACAGAATTCTGAAAGGAAGACTCAGACAGCCTAGTCCGACAGACCATTAAGAATGATAGTCTCCAATTAAGGAGGCAGAGCACAGAGACAAAAGATGAATGACAGATTCCACAGAGGACATATGCTGTGGGAACTGCACAGGTTAATAAACTGAAGTCTTTGTCTCCAAAAGCTAACACTCTAATACAGCTGTGACTTTCAGAGGACGGCCTTTTGCCATGATAGAGGTAAATGTACATGTCAGGATCATTCAGAAGAAAGAGAAACCACTTTTCAAAAGTGGAAACAGTAAAAGCTCCATAAACATTTGCACCATCTCTTACTGAGTGATTGCAGAGTAGGGTGAATGAAAAGAGGGAAAAGCACATGAAGACACAGGGCATGTCACATGCATGAAGGGGTTCCATAAGCAGTAAGGCTGGCAAGGAGGACTCTGTCCAGACTGGTACCTGAATGCCAGGCTAACAAATCTGGACTGTATTTATCAGCTAATAGAGAAGCATGGAGGTTTCTAAGTAGTGAGTGACATGAGATTTGCTTTGGGAAAATTATTCTGGCAGGTATGTGTAAGAAGAAAAATGGACTACCAGCAGGGAGAGCACTTAGAAATAGACTCAGTATTCCAGGTAAGAGGGAATAAGTATCTGCACTGAGACATTCCTTTTTCTCTTTTTTTTTTTTTTTTTTTGAGACAGAGTCTTGCTCTGTTGCCCAGGCTGGAATGTAATGGTACGATCTCGGCCCACCGCAATCTCGGCCTCCCAGGTTCAAGCGATTCTCCTGCCTCAGCCTCCTGAGTAGGTGGGATTACAGGCACCTGCCACCATGCCCGGCTGATTTTTGTATTTTTAGTAGAGACGGGTTTCACCATGTTGGCCAGGCTGGTCTCAAACTCCTGACCTCAGGTAATCCGCAAACCTCAGCCTCCCAGAATGCTAGGATTATAGGCGTGAGCCACTGCACCCAGGCTTGCATTGAGACATTTCTGTGGTATGAGAGTAAAGGGACAGATAAAATGGGTATCGGAAAGCTCACTGGAAGTAGAAGACAAAGAGAATAAGAATTTGATTGGGGGGACGGATGGGTAATTATGTCATTAGTTAAAAAAAGTAGCACAGATGAGTTCCATTTGACATATATTGTGTTTCAAATGGGCAGGAAGATCCAGGTGGAGGGCTCAATAAACAGCAATAAAGCCTGAGGAGAGATAAGAAGTGCAGGAGACATCCTTAAAGGTATGAGGGTCGAAATTCGATTCAAGTTTGTTATGCAGATGGTCTGTGAGCACTTGGGGAAATGAAGAGAAATCAACCAGAAGCAAACCTGAGTTTGCTGCCAACTAGTTATGCCAAATTAACCTCAATTCCTTTGTGATGAGGTACCTAGACTCACAATCAGGGAAGCGTTTTGACATGGCATATCTTGATTTCAGCTAAACATGTGACAGTATCTCATGATATCCTTATGACTAAAATGGAAGCATGCTGGGTACAAAAACAGATATAGATGGATTCAGAGTTAATTGACTAATCATAGCTGAAACACATTGATTACCACAGCATTGCTGACCTGAACACAAATACAGGAGAACCTAAAAAATATTAACTTTATACTCAAATGTTTATACCCTTAAAAAGAATGGCTAATTTACCTCACTGAGTAGTTGAAGGAATCTCCAATAGAATCACAACAAATTATTTTGTTGGTTTACAGTGTTATTCATGGTTTGGAATTTTAACTAACAGTGACCACAGAAAGAATTCTTGGCTTGTCATGGTGGCACACGCCTGTTATCCCAGCACTTTGGGAGGCTGAGGTGGGAGGATTACTTGAGCCAGGAGTTTGAGACCAGCCTGCACAACATAGTGAGATCCTGTCTCTACAAAAAATTAGCTGGCTGTGGTGGTGCGGGCTGTAGTCCCAGTTATTTGGGAGGCTGATTTGGGAAGATCACTTAAGCCCAGAAGTTCAAGGCAGCAGTTAGCTGTGATCATGCCACTGCACCCCAGCCTTGGCAACAGAGTGAGACCCTATCTCTAAGAAATAAAAATAAAAAAATAATTCTTAAGACATTATCTCAAAAGAATAAGCTAGAATTACTTGTGCACATTATTTGGAAGGAAATGGCTAAAGATGGCATGTTGTCTTTGTGTAATGTATACATGTAAGATTCCCTATTTAATAGTTTGAGAGACTTAAATATTTTATTGCTAAAATACTATGGTTAAATATACATGTCACTAAATGCTAATATCTGTCAAAACATTCATTATAAAAAATTGTCTTTTGACATTTTAAGGTATCACCAATTTCCATTTGAAGAATTTATCATTAAAATTTCATGGGGAGGCAGCAGGGCCTGGGAATTAAATATGGTACAAGATGCCACAGACTGAGTTTCTACCCAAACTCTCCACCATAGTCACTGACTATGTACTAGCAGAAAGAGTCTATATGGAATTGTAAAATACACTGAAATTACAGTGTTTGAAAAGTGCCTAAGATAATGTGTTCTCTGAAAAGAGAAATCAATCATGTATAACTGTTACCTACTGGAATAAATAGGCTTAGTCACTACTCAGACCTTAATGTTATCTCAGTATACAATGTAATTTAATATTATCCCTTAATAATAATACTTAAGTAGCTGCCCGTGAATATATGAGCCTTATTATTTCATTGTAATTCAACCAGTAGCATCCAGAATTGTAAAAGGACAGGTGGATGGATGAATGGAGCGATGAGAGAATACCCTCCCCTCTACCTACCACTGCCTTCCTCTTTCATCCTTTCTAGAATTCAGAAGTGATGGCTGGAGCTCAGCAGCAGCCATAGAAACTGACATATAAACTTTAGAAGCCTTTAGGACTAAAAGTTCATGCTCCAAGGATGGCAGGGCTGGAAGACAGGAGGAGCTCTGGGCCTCTTAAGAGTGGGAGAAAGCCAAATGGATTTCGTTACATGCAGTTAAATTTAGCCCCAACCAATACACACTATGTGTCCAGTATTCACCTTATCTTTCCACCACATCATTTGAGTCATCACTTGCAAGTCTTTCAAAAGTTTTCATAAATATTAAAGTACAGAAAGACATCAACACATGCCTTGATAGTCTATGGCCTTGTGTCCATCTGGATGCTTTAAGAAATATTTTGAATTCTTATTTTTTAAGTAAATGCTAACGACATGGTAATCGTTTTTATAGATTTCCAATGAAGGGTGAGGTGCTTTGACAGCTGTCAGCGGAGTGTCAAACAGACTGTGGCAGTGAAAGATGAGGAGATTTAAAAGCCTTTATTCTTAGTGGCCTTAATTTCATCTGATACTAAGTAGCTAAAACTTGGCATCCACTGAGGAAAAGTGTTATTCTTCCCCATAACTCCTCTACCTATTCTTTCTTCCCTGCCTCAGATTTCCCAAGCTTCTCTCAGTTGTGTTCAGAGTTGGCCCCAGTTTAAGATATGATGCTGCCCTAGACTATGTGACAACCTCAACTGAATCTCTAAGTACCTATCCTTTCTAATATCTCATTTAATGGTACCCAGAATATTAAGTCATATTAGGACAAAGAGCCTATGATGCCTAGGAAGTTACTGGGCTTGCTCGGTGTGGTTGAAGGAATTCTGAGATGGTCCCTGTGATTTCCACCCACTGAATATAGCTCCCCTCTCCTTGAGTACAGGTAGAACCTGTGACTTGATTCTAACCAATAGAAGACAGAAATGGTGAAGGAGGCCAGGAGCAGTGGCTCGCGCCTTAATTCCAGCACTTTGGGAGGCCGAGGCGGGCGGATCATCTGAGGTCAGGAGTTCGAGACCAGCCTGGTCAACATGGAGAAACCTCATCTCTACTAAAAATACAAAAATTAGCTGGGCATGGTGGTGCGCACCTGTAATCCCAGCTGGGGAGGCTGAGGCAGGAGAATCACTTGAACCCAGGAGGCGAAGGTTGCAGTGAGCTGAGATTGCACCACTGCACTTCAGTCTGGGTGACTGAGACTCTACCTCAAAAAAAAAAAAAAAATAAGGTGAAAGAATATCCCTCTCATGATTATATTGTTACATTACGTGAGTCTGTCTTAGCAGTCTGAGTGTGAGGGCCTTGAAGAAGAAAAAAACCATGTTATAAGCAGCCTACAGAAAGCATCTCATGGTAAAGACCTAAAGGCAGTCTCTAAGTCCCCAGACTGTAAAAAGCCAGGGCCCTCTCTTATACAGTCCATAGCCCCAAAGAAATGAATTCTTCCAATAACCTAAATAAGCTTGGAAATGGATTCTTCCCTGGTCAAGCCTCTGGATAACAACACAGCCCAGTTGACACTTTGATTATAGCCTTGTGAGACACGGAGCAGAGGACCCAACTAAGTCAGCCATGATTCCTGACCCACAGAATTGTGAGATAGTAAATACGGCTCGTTTCAAGCCACTACGTTTGTGGTAATTTGTGAGGCATCACAAAAAAACTAACACCCCGTAAGCCTCCCTTGCTTTCACCTGATCTGGGACCCATTGCCCCAGTGTTGGTTTTTTCACTTAATTGAAGCCATTCTGAATCTCAGGAGCTCTAGTCCACAGCACTGAAGTTTCAGCTTTGGTCATTTTTCTTTCAAAGCACCACTACTTGCCACCATCCCAAACCCGCATATACTGCCTTGTAGATTTTACCTTGCTTTGGTGAATCTCATTTTTCCAAATATTCAGGCCGTAACTACTGCAATCCCCGTAGTCCTCACAAAGATTGGCACAAATACTGTTTGACCAGTAGTCAGATATTACCCATAGCCAGGTCTCCTGGTCAATAACCTCCTGCCAGCCTAGATTCCCCAAAATATTTCCCCAACACTCTGGCATCTCCAGTGCTTTGCATCACTACCTCTCACCTTATCAGAAGCTCTCCAGTGTTCATGGGTTTACCTGAACTCTAACTTGAGGTTAGCATCTGTTGGATATTGGACTTTCTTACCTGGTCATTTCCTTCAATTTTGCCTTTCTTATACATTTCAAAACCAAAACAGAACTCCACTCATTAATTCTAAGAAATAAAAGCAAATTCAGTATTAAATGCTTATTAATGTGGCCATGATACTAGTATTCCTATGTACTGATATAGTATGTATAATTTAATTTTGTATGTGTTCAATTTTGGGGAAACTGGAATGCACTATAACATCAAATGAATATTTGCAGTATATTTATATCCATTTTATAGATTTTGCAACAGCTTTTTCAAAAACAGATATAAATTATTTTTAACAGACCTAAATTATTATGAAGGGTTACAGTTAAGGAATCTGTTTTGTTTTATGACATGTTGTACACATATTTTACACATATCACACTTCTGTTATACATGAGGCGATCTTGAATAGGCCATTCTGAAATGACCATTTATTACAAAATTCATACAGAAAAAATATTATTCACCCTAACCTATCATAGTGTAGTTTTTAGAAATGAACTGCAGTGAAAATGGAATATTTACTATATCATATATAATGCAGTATATATTATAGCATTTACTGCCCCTAATAGCAAATTACTATCACTTTTAGCAATAATAGCTAGCATCTACCAACTATTTAGTGCTTACTAAGTGTCAAGCATTATTTTAAATGCTTTACATATATTATCTCATTAAATCTTGGGAAACATGACAAAAGAATTTTTTTTTTAATTTTTGTTTTTTTAGATGGAGTTTCTTGTTGCCCAGGCTGGAGTACAATGACGCAATCTCGGCTCACTACAATCTCTGCCTCCCAGGTTCGAGCGATTCTCCTGCCTCAGCCTCCTGAGTAGCTGGGATTATAGGTGTGCACCACCAAGCCCAGCTAATTTTTTTATATTTTATTGGTAGAGACAGGGTTTCGCCATGTTGGCCAGGCTGGTCTCAAACTCCTGACCTCAGGTGATCCGCCTGCCTTGGCCTCCCAAAATGCTGGAACTACAGGTGTGAGCCACCGTGCCCAGACGACAAAAGAATTATTAATCCCATTTTAAAGATGAGAAACTAGATTAAAGACACTAGATAAATTTTTAAAGATCACAAAATTGCAAACCAGGATTTAAACTCAGGCTGCTCTAACACCAGATTTCCTATCCTATTACGGTATATTAGCTCTAATTTGATTTCTATATGTGTATAGTCAAATAAATTGTGTTGCTGAATGGTTTCCTTTTTTTTATTTTTATTTTTTTTCTTGAGACAGTGTCTCACTCTGTCATCTAGACTGGAGTGCAGTGACATGCTCACTGCAGCCTCGACCTCCCAGGCTCAAGCAATCCTTCTACCTCAGCCTCCCTAGCTGGTAGGACTACAGGTGCATGCCTCTATCCCAGCTAATTTTTTTTTTTGTATGTTTTGTAGAGACGGATTTTCACCGTGTTGCCCAGGCTGATCTCGAACTCCTGGACTCAAGTGATCCACCTGCTTAGGCCTCCCAAAGTGCTGGGATTATAAGTGTGGGCCACTACACTTGGCCCCTGAATGGTTTCTAAAATCTTGTTGAACGGTCGCACTTGTGACAAATTTGGAATACAAATTTGGATTTTATTTTGGCTCATATATTATTTGGCTTTAATGTATATACATATACATGTTCACAGAAATTTTTGAATAAGTGGTTACTTATGAACAAAAAGAAAAACTAAATATAAAATAGACAATACTTTCAGGGCAATGGCTAACATTAACCATGAATATTAATATTAAGATCTTAGTGCCTGCAATTACACTGAATTTGTAAACCAAATCATGGATAACTGACATCTTAACAATATGGAGCTTTGCTATCCAAGAACACGGTATATTTTCCAATTTATTTAGGTCTTTAATTTCTTTCAACAATGTTTTGTAGTTCTCAGAATGTATTGCACATATTTTGTTAAATTCATCCCTTAGTTTTTCAAGGTTTTAATGCTATTATAAATAATATGATTTAACATTTTCAATTTTCAATTGTTTATTGCTAGTATAGAGAAACAAATTAATTTTTTTGTATATTGACCTGTACTCTTCAACTTTACTAAACTTACATATTAGTTCTAGTATTTTTTAAATAAATTCCTTAATATTTTCTACATGTACAATCATGTTTTTAAAACTTTTACTTTTCACTTCCTAATCTGTATTCTCTCTCATTTCTTTTTCTTGTTGTACTGTACGGTCTAAAACCTTCAGTACAACACTGAATTAAAGTAATGAGATCAGATAGCTTTACCTGGTTTTCTGTTTCAGAAAGAAATCATTTATGATGCTTTATAGCCATGAAGTCCTTTATAATTTATGAAAGCATCATGATTAACTATAATGTTGCTGTAGGTTTTTATAGGTACCTTTTTCAGAATGCGGAAGTTCCCTTATATGCCCAGTTTTCTCAGAATTTTTATTATGAATAGATATTGAGTTTTTTCAAATGCTTTTTCTGCATCAGTTGAAATTATCTTATGGTTTTGCTTTCTCATTATGTTAATATAAGTTACACTGACTTTTGAAAGTTAAACACCCTTGCATTCCAGAGATAATCCCCATTTGGTAACAACATATTATCCTTTTTTTTAATGTATTGTTGGAATCAATCTGCTAATATTTTCATAAGGATCTTTGTGTCTACCTTCACTGGAGTATTGGTATGTAGTTTTTTTTTCTTGTATTGCTTTTGTTTAGTTCAGATGTCAAGCCAATTCTTGGCTTATCAAATGAGTTAGGGAGTTCTCCACAATTTCTACTTTATTTCCCTACATACTCATCTCTCAGAGATAATTCCTTTTACTCAGTTTTTCGAAACCTCAGTTTGTAGCTCATTTATATTTTAAAATAGATAAATATACAAAATCAGTTTGCCTTGTAGAAATAATGTTGTAGAAGTATGAGCTATGAAAAGCAATGGGGAACAAAGAAATTCACAGTATCATTGGAAGCAGAATACTGTGTTCAGAAAACAAAACATTGATGTTTGCAAATAGGTCTCTGTGTGATGAAGAATACTGCTTATATAATGACTAGGTTTCAAAATAAAATGTGCAACATATTCAAAATCTTACGGAATTGTAATCATGTAGAAAATAATAGTTTTCTAATTGCTCTTAAGAGAATAATTTTTTTTTTTTTTGAGATGGAGTCTTGCTCTATCGCCCAGGCTGGAGTGCAGTGGTGTGATCTGGGCTCACTGCAAGCTCCACCTCCCGGGTTCATGCCATTCTTCTGCCTCAGCCTCCCGAGTAGCTGGGACTACAGGAGCCTGCCACCACACCCGGCTAATTTTTTTTGTATTTTTAGTAGAGACAGGGTTTCACCGTGTTAGCCAGGATGGTCTTGATCTCCTGACCTCATGATCCACCCGCCTTGGCCTCCCAAAGTGCTGGCAAGAGGGGATTTTTAAGGCTTTATGAGTTACTTACCAAATTCCTAATATTCTCAATTGATTTTATAATTTCTAAGGAAAATTGTCAACATAACTATATTTGTTAACCATGCACAGTGGGGAAAAATCGCCAATTTAATGTGTGAATAACAACCTCCAGATTGCTGAATAAGAAAAATTGAGCCTAAGTTACTTTAGGTTGAATAATTTCCCTTAGGAATATCACTCCTTCCTAACATTTCCAAATTTCTCTTACAATACTGTCACACCTATTAAACAATGCAACTTTCCAATGCATGATGTAACTATAAGCTATTCTGAGCAATATTTGTAGTTCTCTTGTCTTAATTGCTGAGACTCTATCGTAACCATTTTGTTATGTGGTGAATTCTGCATCAAGGAGAAGCACTTCTGTGGCAGTGCTGCCTCAAACTGCCCTACCAGAAGTCAGGTGACAATATGGAACATTAGACTGCATGGTAAGCTATTCATTAGACTGTTAACTTTGTCTGACCCAGTTTGTCAAGTGTTTGTGTTCTAAATGTCAATTCCTACTCACCTGGTTTTGCTAGACTAATAAGAAATTACCTTTTCCAAAGAAAAGAGAAGAAAGTAAGACTATCAGGAAAAGTAAACTCAGAAGTCTCTTGGGGGAAGAATTAAGTACTGGTGAGAATCATCTTAATTACCCAGTTGGGAGGTTAGTGAGACTCTTTCTTCATCCTGTTTGTCTAATACTACCCCTCATTTTAAACTTGGCTACTTACCCTCATCCCACAGCATATGCCAAATCTAAGAAAACTTTCCAGCAAAGCATTTTCTTAGACCAGATGAAATCACCTCTGTTTGAAAAAAGTCAATTCATATTATATAACTGAATGATAAAAAGTTAGTCATCATTTTTATATATGATCAGCTCATTATTATTATTTCCACCAGAAATAATCATAGAAAATTAAAAGGAGATTAAACTGGAAGCTTACTATCAATGTCATAAGAGATTAGTGATGGAGGAATTTACAGCTACTAAGAAGAGAGTTTAAAATGATCTATAAATGTCTTTCATTCATGATGATCCATTACCAAAGATAATCAAGAGTTGGCTAAAATACCTCCAAAACCTCATCAAACAGTTATATTAGAGGAAAGAGACTGATAGTTTCTAGTATACTAGAATGTTTTAGGTGAACAAAGAGTAAACACATGATTATGTCTCAGACCAAAAAACAATGTGCAACTTTAAATGTACTGCATAGCACTTTCCTTATTTACTATGAAACATATCTGCTTGCTGTGAACTGATTTGTCCAACCCCTAAGAGGTAGTTCCCCAGGTAATGAATTTTGCCAACATAATAAAAGATTATATGAAACGTCTTGAAATTAATCCAAAGGATGAAGCAGGTCAAAATATTTCATCTCATAAGTTTTAACTTTTATGTCAGTGCAGTCATTTTTTTAAATAATTTCAACTTTTATTTTAGATTCAGGTGGTACATATAAATGCTTCTTACATGGGTGTATTGCATGATGCTGAGGTTTGGGATATGAATGACCTGTCACCCAGATAACACTATCTGGGTGCATAGTACCCAAAAGTTAGTTTTTCAACCCTTCCTTCCCCTCCCTTTCCCCCTTCTATTAGTCCCCAGTGTCTATTCTTGCCATCTTTATGTCACTTATAAGTGAGAACAGGCGATATTTGGTTTTCTGTTCCTGTATTAATTTGCTTAGAATAATGGCCTCCAGCTGCATCCATGTTGCTGCAAAGGACATGATTTCATTCTTTTTATGGCTGCGTAGTATTCCATGGTGTATATGTACTACATTTTCTTTATCCTATGCATCATTGATGGGCACCTAGGTTGATTCCTTCTCTTTGCTATTGTGAATAGCACTGTGATGAATATACAAGTGCACATGTCTTTTTGGTAGAATGATTTATTTTCTTCTAGATATATACCCAGTAATAGGATTACTGGGTCAAATGGTAGTACTGTATTTTAGAGATGGGGTCTTACTCTGTCATTTAAGCTGGAGTGCAGTGGTGCAATCCTGGCTCACTGCAGCTTTGAACCCCTGGGCTCAAGGGATCCTTCTGCCTCAGCCTCCCAAGTAGCTGGGACTATGAGCATGTGCCACCATGCCCAGCTAATTTCCTTATTATGTTGTAGAGATGAGGTCTAGCCATCTTGCCAAGGCTGGTCTTGAACTCCAGGGCCCCAGCAATCCTTCCACCTTGGTTTCCCAAAGTGCTGGGATTACAGGCATGAGCCACTATGTCCAGCAGTAGTTCTAAGTTCTTTGAGAAATATCCAAACTGCTTTCCACAGCAGCTGAACTCATTTACATTACCACCAACAGTGTATAAGCATTGCCTTTACTCTGCAGCCTCACCAGCATCTGTTGTTTGACTTCACAATAATAACCATTTTGACTGGTGTGAGATGATATCTCACTGTGGTTTTGATGTGCATTTCTCTGATGACTGGTGATGCTGAGCATTTTTTCATGCTTGTTGGCTACTTGTATGTCTTCTTTCAAGAAGTGTCCATGTCTTTTGCCCACTTTTTAATGGGGTTGTTTTTGCTTGTTGATTTCCTTAAGTTCCTTATAGATTCTGAATATTAGATCTTTGTCAGGTGCATAGGTTGTGAATATTTTCTCTTATTCTGTAGGTTGCCTGCTTACTCTATTGATAGTTTCTTTTGCTGTGCAGATGCTCCTTAGTTTAATTAGGTCCCACTCGTCAATTTTTGTTTTTGCTGTAATTTTTTTGAGGACTTGGTCATAAATTCTTTCCCAAGGTTGATACCCAGAATGATGTTTCCTTGGCTTTCTTCTAGGATTTTTACAGTTTGAGGTGTTACACTTAAATTTTTTTTTTTAATTTTTTTTTTTTTATTATACTCTAAGTTTTAGGGTACATGTGCACATTGTGCAGGTTAGTTACGTATGTATACATGTGCCATGCTGGTGCGCTGCACCCACTAACGAGTCATCTAGCATTAGGTATATCTCCCAATGCTATCCCTCCCCCCTCCCCCGACCCCACCACAGTCCCCAGAGTGTGATATTCCCCTTCCTGTGTCCATGTGATCTCATTGTTCAATTCCCACCTATGAGTGAGAATATGCGGTGTTTGGTTTTTTGTTCTTGCGATAGTTTACTGAGAATGATGGTTTCCAATTTCATCCATGTCCCTACAAAGGACATGAACTCATCATTTTTTATGGCTGCATAGTATTCCATGGTGTATATGTGCCACATTTTCTTAATCCAGTCTATCATTGTTGGACATTTGGGTTGGTTCCAAGTCTTTGCTATTGTGAATAGTGCCGCAATAAACATACGTGTGCATGTGTCTTTATAGCAGCATGATTTATAGTCCTTTGGGTATATACCCAGTAATGGGATGGCTGGGTCAAATGGTATTTCTAGTTCTAGATCCCTGAGGAATCGCCACACTGACTTCCACAATGGTTGAACTAGTTTACAGTCCCACCAACAGTGTAAAAGTGTTCCTATTTCTCCACATCCTCTCCAGCACCTGTTGTTTCCTGACTTTTTAATGATTGCCATTCTAACTGGTGTGAGATGATATCTCATAGTGGTTTTGATTTGCATTTCTCTGATGGCCAGTGATGATGAGCATTTCTTCATGTGTTTTTTGGCTGCATAAATGTCTTCTTTTGAGAAGTGTCTGTTCATGTCCTTCGCCCACTTTTTGATGGGGTTGTTTGTTTTTTTCTTGTAAATTTGTTTGAGTTCATTGTAGATTCTGGATATTAGCCCTTTGTCAGATGAGTAGGTTGCGAAAATTTTCTCCCATGTTGTAGGTTGCCTGTTCACTCTGATGGTAGTTTCTTTTGCTGTGCAGAAGCTCTTTAGTTTAATTAGATCCCATTTGTCAATTTTGGCTTTTGTTGCCATTGCTTTTGGTGTTTTGGACATGAAGTCCTTGCCCACGCCTATGTCCTGAATGGTAATGCCTAGGTTTTCTTCTAGGGTTTTTATGGTTTTAGGTCTAACGTTTAAATCTTTAATCCATCTTGAATTGATTTTTGTATAAGGTGTAAGGAAGGGATCCAGTTTCAGCTTTCTACATATGGCTAGCCAGTTTTCCCAGCACCATTTATTAAATAGGGAATCCTTTCCCCATTGCTTGTTTTTCTCAGGTTTGTCAAAGATCAGATAGTTGTAGATATGCGTCATTATTTCTGAGGGCTCTGTTCTGTTCCATTGATCTATATCTCTGTTTTGGTACCAGTACCATGCTGTTTTGGTTACTGTAGCCTTGTAGTATAGTTTGAAGTCAGGTAGTGTGATGCCTCCAGCTTTGTTCTTTTGGCTTAGGATTGACTTGGCAATGCGGGCTCTTTTTTGGTTCCATATGAACTTTAAAGTAGTTTTTTCCAATTCTGTGAAGAAAGTCATTGGTAGCTTGATGGGGATGGCATTGAATCTGTAAATTACCTTGGGCAGTATGGCCATTTTCACGATATTGATTCTTCCTACCCATGAGCATGGAATGTTCTTCCATTTGTTTGTGTCCTCTTTTATTTCCTTGAGCAGTGGTTTGTAGTTCTCCTTGAAGAGGTCCTTCACATCCCTTGTAAGTTGGATTCCTAGGTATTTTATTCTCTTTGAAGCAATTGTGAATGGGAGTTCACTCATGATTTGGCTCTCTGTTTGTCTGTTGTTGGTGTATAAGAATGCTTGTGATTTTTGTACATTGATTTTGTATCCTGAGACTTTGCTGAAGTTGCTTATCAGCTTAAGGAGATTTTGGGCTGAGACGATGGGGTTTTCTAGATAAACAATCATGTTGTCTGCAAACAGGGACAATTTGACTTCTTCTTTTCCTAATTGAATACCCTTTATTTCCTTCTCCTGCCTGATTGCCCTGGCCAGAACTTCCAACACTATGTTGAATAGGAGCGGTGAGAGAGGGCATCCCTGTCTTGTGCCGGTTTTCAAAGGGAATGCTTCCAGTTTTTGCCCATTCAGTATGATATTGGCTGTGGGTTTGTCATAGATAGCTCTTATTATTTTGAAATACGTCCCATCAATACCTAATTTATTGAGAGTTTTTAGCATGAAGGGTTGTTGAATTTTGTCAAAGGCTTTTTCTGCATCTATTGAGATAATCATGTGGTTTTTGTCTTTGGCTCTGTTTATATGCTGGATTACATTTATTGATTTGCGTATATTGAACCAGCCTTGCATCCCAGGGATGAAGCCCACTTGATCATGGTGGATAAGCTTTTTGATGTGCTGCTGGATTCGGTTTGCCAGTATTTTATTGAGGATTTTTGCATCAATGTTCATCAAGGATATTGGTCTAAAATTCTCTTTTTTGGTTGTGTCTCTGCCCGGCTTTGGTATCAGAATGATGCTGGCCTCATAAAATGAGTTAGGGAGGATTCCCTCTTTTTCTATTGATTGGAATAGTTTCAGAAGGAATGGTACCAGTTCCTCCTTGTACCTCTGGTAGAATTCGGCTGTGAATCCATCTGGTCCTGGACTCTTTTTGGTTGGTAAACTATTGATTATTGCCACAATTTCAGAGCCTGTTATTGGTCTATTCAGAGATTCAACTTCTTCCTGGTTTAGTCTTGGGAGAGTGTATGTGTCGAGGAATGTATCCATTTCTTCTGGATTTTCTAGTTTATTTGCGTAGAGGTGTTTGTAGTATTCTCTGATGGTAGTTTGTATTTCTGTGGGATCGGTGGTGATATCCCCTTTATCATTTTTTATTGTGTCTATTTGATTCTTCTCTCTTTTTTTCTTTATTAGTCTTGCTAGCGGTCTATCAATTTTGTTGATCCTTTCAAAAAACCAGCTCCTGGATTCATTGATTTTTTGAAGGGTTTTTTGTGTCTCTATTTCCTTCAGTTCTGCTCTGATTTTAGTTATTTCTTGCCTTCTGCTAGCTTTTGAATGTGTTTGCTCTTGCTTTTCTAGTTCTTTTAATTGTGATGTTAGGGTGTCAATTTTGGATCTTTCCTGCTTTCTCTTGTAGGCATTTAGTGCTATAAATTTCCCTCTACACACTGCTTTGAATGCGTCCCAGAGATTCTGGTATGTGGTGTCTTTGTTCTCGTTGGTTTCAAAGAACATCTTTATTTCTGCCTTCATTTCGTTATGTACCCAGTAGTCATTCAGGAGCAGGTTGTTCAGTTTCCATGTAGTTGAGCGGCTTTGAGTGAGATTCTTAATCCTGAGTTCTAGTTTGATTGCACTGTGGTCTGAGAGATAGTTTGTTATAATTTCTGTTCTTTTACATTTGCTGAGGAGAGCTTTACTTCCAACTATGTGGTCAATTTTGGAATAGGTGTGGTGTGGTGCTGAAAAAAATGTATATTTTGTTGATTTGGGGTGGAGAGTTCTGTAGATGTCTATTAGGTCTGCTTGGTGCAGAGCTGAGTTCAATTCCTGGGTATCCTTGTTGACTTTCTGTCTCGTTGATCTGTCTAATGTTGACAGTGGGGTGTTAAAGTCTCCCATTATTAATGTGTGGGAGTCTAAGTCTCTTTGTAGGTCACTCAGGACTTGCTTTATGAATCTGGGTGCTCCTGTATTGGGTGCATATATATTTAGGATAGTTAGCTCTTCTTGTTGAATTGATCCCTTTACCATTATGTAATGGCCTTCTTTGTCTCTTTTGATCTTTGTTGGTTTAAAGTCTGTTTTATCAGAGACTAGGATTGCAACCCCTGCCTTTTTTTGTTTTCCATTGGCTTGGTAGATCTTCCTCCATCCTTTTATTTTGAGCCTATGTGTGTCTCTGCACGTGAGATGGGTTTCCTGAATACAACACACTGATGGGTCTTGACTCTTTATCCAACTTGCCAGTCTGTGTCTTTTAATTGCAGAATTTAGTCCATTTATATTTAAAGTTAATATTGTTATGTGTGAATTTGATCCTGTCATTATGATGTTAGCTGGTGATTTTGCTCATTAGTTGATGCAGTTTCTTCCTAGTCTCGATGGTCTTTACATTTTGGCATGATTTTGCAGCGGCTGGTACCGGTTGTTCCTTTCCATGTTTAGCGCTTCCTTCAGGAGCTCTTTTAGGGCAGGCCTGGTGGTGACAAAATCTCTCAGCATTTGCTTGTCTGTAAAGTATTTTATTTCTCCTTCACTTATGAAGCTTAGTTTGGCTGGATATGAAATTCTGGGTTGAAAATTCTTTTCTTTAAGAATGTTGAATATTGGCCCCCACTCTCTTCTGGCTTGTAGGGTTTCTGCCGAGAGATCCGCTGTTAGTCTGATGGGCTTTCCTTTGAGGGTAACCCGACCTTTCTCTCTGGCTGCCCTTAACATTTTTTCCTTCATTTCAACTTTGGTGAATCTGACAATTATGTGTCTTGGAGTTGCTCTTCTCGAGGAGTATCTTTGTGGCGTTCTCTGTATTTCCTGAATCTGAACGTTGGCCTGCCTTGCTAGATTGGGGAAGTTCTCCTGGATAATATCCTGCAGAGTGTTTTCCAACTTGGTTCCATTCTCCACATCACTTTCAGGTACACCAATCAGACGTAGATTTGGTCTTTTCACATAGTCCCATATTTCTTGGAGGCTTTGCTCATTTCTTTTTATTCTTTTTTCTCTAAACTTCCCTTCTCGCTTCATTTCATTCATTTCATCTTCCATTGCTGATACCCTTTCTTCCAGTTGATCGCATCGGCTCCTGAGGCTTCTGCATTCTTCACGTAGTTCTCGAGCCTTGGTTTTCAGCTCCATCAGCTCCTTTAAGCACTTCTCTGTATTGGTTATCCTAGTTATACATTCTTCTAAATTTTTTTCAAAGTTTTCAACTTCTTTGCCTTTGGTTTGAATGTCCTCCCGTAGCTCAGAGTATTTTGATCGTCTGAAGCCTTCTTCTCTCAGCTCGTCAAAATCATTCTCCATCCAGCTTTGTTCTGTTGCTGGTGAGGAACTGCGTTCCTTTGGAGGAGGAGAGGCGCTCTGCGTTTTAGAGTTTCCAGTTTTTCTGTTCCGTTTTTTCCCCATCTTTGTGGTTTTATCTACTTTTGGTCTTTGATGATGGTGATGAACAGATGGGTTTTCGGTGTAGATGTCCTTTCTGGTTGTTAGTTTTCCTTCTAAGAGACAGGACCCTCAGCTGCAGGTCTGTTGGAATACCCTGCTGTGTGAGGTGTCAGTGTGCCCCTGCTGGGGGGTGCCTCCCAGTTAGGCTGCTTGGGGGTCAGGGGTCAGGGACCCACTTGAGGAGGCAGTCTGCCCGTTCTCAGATCTCCAGCTGCGTGCTGGGAGAACCACTGCTCTCTTCAAAGCTGTCAGACAGGGACACTTAAGTCTGCAGAGGTTACTGCTGTCTTTTTGTTTGTCTGTGCCCTGCCCCCAGAGGTGGAGCCTACAGAGGCAGGCAGGCCTCCTTGAGCTGTGGTGGGCTCCACCCAGTTCGAGCTTCCCGGCTGCTTTGTTTACCTAAGCAAGCCTGGGCAACGGCGGGCGCCCCTCCCCCAGCCTCGTTGCCGCCTTGCAGTTTGATCTCAGACTGCTGTGCTAGCAATCAGTGAGATTCCGTGGGCGTAGGACCCTCCGAGCCAGGTGTGGGATATAGTCTCGTGGTGCGCCGTTTCTTAAGCCGGTCTGAAAAGCGCAATATTCGGGTGGGAGTGACCCGATTTTCCAGGTGCGTCCGTCACCCCTTTCTTTGACTCGGAAAGGGGACTCCCTGACCCCTTGCGCTTCCCAGGTGAGGCAATGCCTCACCCTGCTTCGGCTCGCGCACAGTGCGCACACACACTGGCCTGCGCACACTGTCTGGCACTCCCTGGTGAGATGAACCCGGTACCTCAGATGGAAATGCAGAAATCACCCGTCTTCTGCGTCACTCACGCTGGGAGCTGTAGACCGGAGCTGTTCCTATTCGGCCATCTTCGTATGACTCTTGTAGATAACCTACACTTAAATTTTTAATCCATCTTGAGTTGATTTTGTATATGGTGAAAGGTAAGGGTTCAGTTTCTTTCTTTTGCATATGTCTAGCCAGTTACCCCAGCACCATTTATTTAATAGGGAGTCCTTTCCCCATTGCTTATTTTTGTTGGGTTTGTCAAAGATCAGATGGCTGTAGGTATACAGTTTGATTTCTGGGTTCTCTATTCTGTTCCATTGGTCTACATGTCTGTTTTTGTACTAGTACCATGCTCTTTTGGTTACTGTGGACTTACATTACTAGTTTGAAGTCAGGTAATGTGATGCGTCTGACTTTGTTCTTACAGCTTGGGATTGTTTTGGCTATTCGGGCTCTTTTTCTGTTTCCATACGAATTTTAAAATAGATTTTTCTGATTCTGTGAAAAATGATATTGGTAGTTTGATAGGAATAATACTGAATCTGTAAATTGCTTTGGGCAGTACGGTATTTTCAGGATATTAATTCTTCCAATCAATGAGCATAGGATGTTTTTCCATTTGTTTGTGTCATCTCTCATTTCTTTTAGCAGTGTTTTATAGTTCTCCTTGTAGAGATCTTCTATCGCCTTGGTTGGGTGTATTTTTAGGTGTTTTTTTTTTTTTTTAGTTTTTGTTTGTTTTTGTTTTGGTGTGTGGCTATTGTAAATGGGATTGTGTTCTTGCTTGGGCCCTCAGCTTGAATATTACTGGTGCACAGAAATGTTACTGATTTTTGGACATTGATTTTGTACTCTGAAACTTTATGGAAGTCATTTATCAGTTCCAGGAGGCTTTAGGGTTTTCTAGGTATACAATCATATCATCAGTGAAAAGAGAAGTTCGACTTCTTCTTTTCCTATTTTGGATGACTTTTATTTCTTTCTTTTGCCTGATGGCTCTGGCTAGGAATTCCAGTACAATGTTGAACAGGAGTAGTGAGAATGGGCATCCTTGTCTTGTTCCATTTCTCAAGGGGAATGCCTCCTGTTTTTACTCATTCAGTATGATGCTGTCTGTGGGTCTGTCATAGATGGCTCATATTATTTTGATGTATTTTCCTTTAATGCCTAGTTTCTTCAGGGTTTTTCTCATGAAGAGATGTTGGATTTTATTGAAGGCTTTTTCCAAATCTATTGAGATGATCACATGGTTCTTTTTAATTCTGTTGATGTGGTGAATCACATTTATTGACTTGCGTATGTTGAACCAAACTTGCATCCTAGGAATGAAGCCTACTTGATTGTGGTGAATTAACTTTTTGATACACTGTTGGATTTTGTTTGCTAGTATTTTGTTGAGGATTTTCCACCTTAACATAGATAAGCATAGGCAATGAGTTTCTCAGGGATAATGGCCTAAAGTTTTCTTTTTTCATTGGGTCTTTACCAGGTTTTGGTATCAGGATGATGCTGGTTTCATAGAATGAGTTAGGGAAGAATTCCTCCTCCTCAACTTCCTTTTTTTAATAGTTTCAGTACAATTGGTACCAGGTCTTACTTGTATGACTGATAGAATTTGGCTGTGAGTCCATCTGGTACAGAGCTTTGTTTGTTTGTTTGTTTGCTTGTTTGTTTAGGCAGAGTCTTGCTCTGTCACCCAGGCTGGAGTGCAGTGGTGCGATCTCGGCTCACTGTAACCTCCACCTCCCAGGCTCAAGCGATTCTCCTGCCTCAGTCTCCCACATAGCTGGGATTACAGGTACCTGCCACCATGCCCAGCTAATTTTTGTATTTTTAGTAGGGACAGGGTTTTGCCATGTTGGTCAGGCAGGTCTCGAACTCGACCTTAAGTGATCTGCCTGCCTCAGCCTCCCAAAGTGCTGGGATTACAGGCGTGAACCACTGCATCCAGCCTCTGGGGCTTTTTTTAATTGGCCAATTTTTTGTTACTGATTCAATTTTGGAACTTGATATTGGTCTGTTCAGGGTTTCAATTTCTTCCTGTTTTCAATTTCGGGAGGTTGTGTGTTTCCAGGAATTTATATACTTCCTACAGATTTTCTAGTTTGTGTGCATATAGGTGTTCATATTTGTCTCTGAGGATGCTTTATGTTTCTGTGGGATGTGTTGTAATGGCACTTTTGTTGTTTCCGATTGTGCTTATTTGGATCTTCTCTCTTTTTTTCTTTGTTAATTTAGCTAACAGTGTATTGCTCTTGTTCATCCTTTTAAAGAACCAACTTTTGGTTTTGTGAATTCTTTGGATTTGGGGGTTTCAATTGCTTTCACTTTCACGCTGATTTTAGTTATTTCTTTTCTTTTGCTAGCTTTGGGGTTCGTTTGTTCTTATTTTTCTAGTTCCTGTAGGTGTGATGTTATATCATTAATTTGAAATTATTTTTTACTTTCTGAGGTAGGCATTTAGTGCTATAAACTTTCCTCTTAACACTGCTTTTGATACATCCCAGAGATTTTGGTATGTTGTATCTGGTTTTCATTTATTTCAAATAATATTTTGATTTCTGCCTTAATTTCATTCTTTTCCCAAAAATCATTCAGGAGCAAATTGTTTAATTTCCAGGTAATTTTGTCATTTTGGGAGATCTTCTTGGTACTGATTTCTATTTGTATTCCACTACGGTCTGAGAGTATGTTCATATGATTTCAGCTTTTTTGAATTTATTAAGACTTTTTTGTGGTCTGTCTTTGAGCATGTTCGGGGTGTAGATGAGGAGAATGTGTAGGCTGCGATTGATGGGTTGAGCGCTCTGTAGATGTTTGTTAGGTCCAATTGGTCAAGTATCAAACTTAAGTTTAAAGTTTCTTGGTTAGTTTTCTAACCTAACCTCAATGATCTGTCTAATACTGTCAATGGGATGTTAAAGTCTCCCACTATTACTGAGTAGCTATCTAAGTATTTTCCTAAGTCTAGAAGTAGTTGTTTTATGAATCTGGGTGCTCCAATGTTGGGTGCTTATATATTTAGGATAGTGAAGTCTTCTTGCTGAATTGAACCCTTCATCATTATGTAATGCCCTTCTTTTTCCTTTTTTCCTGTTGTTCATTTAAAGTCTGTTTTATCTGATACAAGAATAGTGACCCCTGCTTTTTTTTGTTTTCCATTTGCATGACAGATCTTTTCCCAACCCCCAAAATAAAGGGTTGGGAAAAGATCTGTCTGTCGTGCAAATGGAAGGACTATGGATATCCTTAGAGGTGAGATGGGTCTCTTGAAGAGAGGGGATGGATGGTTTTTCTTTTCTAATTCAACCTTGCAACTCTGTGCCTTTTAAGTGGGGTGCATAAACTGTTTACATTCAAGGTTAATATTGATATGTGAGGTTTTGATCCTATAATGAAGTTTGTTGGTTGGTTGCTTTGTAGTTGCTATTGTGTGGTTGCTTTATAGGGTCTGAGGGCTATGTACGTAAGTGTGTTTTTGTGGTAGCAGGTATCTTTCTTTTTGTTTCCAAGTTTAGAACCTGCTGAAGGGTCTCTTGTAAGACTTGGTGTAATAGTAACTAATTCCCTTGCACTTGCTTTTCTGAAAAAGATTTTATTTCTTCTTCACTTATGAAGCTTAGTTTGGCAGGATATGAAATTCTTGTTTGGAATTTCTTTTCTTTAAGAATGCTGAAAATAGGCACCTAATCTCTCTTGTCTTGTAAGATTTCTGCTGAGAAGTTTGCTGTTAGCCTGATGAGGTTCTCTTTGCATGTGATCAGATAGTCACTGCTTAATCCCAGTATTTCTGGTAAAGAAAGGAATGGTGAACTCTGAAAAGAGTGAAGGGTTGTCAGAAATATTATGGATAAAGGATATATAATCTGTCAAAGGTTTTGACTAATTAAATATGGACTTCCTATATGTGATTGAAAGTGAGAAGGAAAAATAAAGTCAAAGCAATTCTCAGGTTTCTAATAAAAAATGATAGTGTTAGTCACTGAAACTGGAAACCTAAAAGAAGAAGTAAGCATTTAGAAATGTGGAATTACATTTCATGATAGATGTCTGGAATGAAGAAATATCTGAATGTTATAAGAATATGAGGAATAAGATAATTAGAGGATTTGGGTAAGTCTACCTAGGAGACAACTTGGAATGAAGAAGAAGGTAGCGGATAGAGCATTACTGTCTGGCATCAACTAAGGGTTTATTTTAACAATCAAGAGCATCCAAGTAGACTATAAAGGCTCAGTTTAAAACACAACTCAAGCCGGGCGTGGTGGCACATGGCTGTAATCCCAGCACTTTGGGAGGCCGAGGCGGGCGGATCATGAGGTCAGGAGATGGAGACCATCCTGGCTAATACGGTGAAACCCCATCTCTACTAAAAATACAAAAAAAATTAGCGGGTGTCTGTAGTCCCAGCTACTTGGGAGGCTGAGGCAGGAGAAAGGCATGAACCCAGGAGGCGGAGCTTGCAGTGAGCTGAGATTGCGCCACTGCGCTCCAGCCTGGACAACAGAGCAAGACTACGTCTCAAAACAAAACAAAACAAAACAAAAACAAAAACAACTCAAAGTGTAAGCACCCAAAGGGAAGGTACTTGTATTGCTTGCCATTGTATATATCCATAGCACCTATTACTCTACTTGGAACACAGTACATGGCCATTTGTTAAATAAATGAACAAACAAACCAAGATAGTGATGTTATGAAAACCAAATGCAAAGGGAGTTTCAAGAAGAAGGAATCACTTATAGTGGCATTAAGATGTCCTTGGATTAGGCAATTAGAAAGTCATTAAAAACCTCATGATGAATAGCTGCTGTGGAGTTTTGTTGGTAGAACCCAGATTGAGATGGATAGAGGAGCAAATGGATAATGAAGCAGTGGAGATGTTGAAAACCGCTTTCACCTTCAAAAATACTGTCAAAGAGCAGGAATTATTAATAGATAAAACTAGAGGAGGAAGTATTATTGAGAACACTTTTTGTAAGTTAGGAGAGATGTAAGCAGGTTTATATGTAGGGAAGGAAGCCAAAGGAAGGAAGAAATTCAAGAAGCAAAAAAGGGCATGACTGATAAGGTATGGTCCCTGGGACATGGAGGAGATGAGTTCTAAACCAGAAATGGAGGAATTAGTTTAGGACCAAAAATGGGACTTCTCTATCTATAGAATGTTAAATTGGGGCAGTGAAAGTAAATGAAGAGATGATGATAACCCCCAGATTTATGATATAAGGTGGTGATCTCTCTCTTTTACATTTGTAAGGAGGTAAGAATAAGAGGAAATACAGGCATGATTTCTGGTGTAAAAGTAGAAAGTTTGAGAACACTTATTCTCAATATGTAGCAATGCTGCTATCTTTTTAAAAGGGTTAGAAGTGAAGTAGGAATTCTGAAGAGAGTGGTAGATATTTGGAGCAAACCCTGGCACTAGATTATGGAGTTTAACAAGAATATGTGAAAAGAGCTACTGCTATCCAATGGAAGAGTAAATAATAAATTCTAGTTGCTTGCACTAATCTTCTCAATGATTGAGTTTTCTTCGGTGGCATTCAGTGTTTTTAGTATAAAAACCAAAAAATAAAGAGCAGACTTAGTCTAAGGCTAGCTGTTGGCAGAGAAGTATGATAGAATGGATAAAAACCAGGGAGTTAAAAGCACTTGGAAGCTAGCCTGGGAGGAGGTTGGCAATCGTTTAAGTTGGTGGAGATAACTGAAGCGCTTTAGCATTTGAACAGCAAGGGGAATCAGAGGGACAAAAGGAGTATGGGAGCCTCAAGGATAAGAGATCATGGTTTTGAATCATAAAAGGCAGATTTAGCTGGGTGTGGTTCCAAACTGAGGTGGGAGCCTCAGATGCAGATAGAGGTTGGCTCAGGTGCTTACCTGAAATAGCCAGAAGCAGCAAGAGCTAGAAGATACCTTTGAGCACTCAGGGCACAAATTAAAAATGCTAATATTTGTCTGGCACACTGGAATACACAAATGAGGCTGGCTGAAGCTGCAAATGACTAGATCAAGGGGTCCTCCTGCTGGAATGACATAATATTCTAGACATGCATGTAACCCCCTCCAACCTATTCCCTGCCTGTGCTCCAGAACACACAACTTAGGAAAACTCTGCCTTTAGGAAACACTGAAGGTTGAAATAAGGAAAATCGGGTGATTAATGATGTAGCTCAGAAAGTTAAGGTGAGAGATTCAAAACAAAGATAATCAGATCTGAATCCAGACAAACACTGGACTGAACATGAGTGAAAACAGAAATGATAGGAATAAAGGAAAAGTCAATGACTGTTGTTACAAATTGGTCTCATGCACCATCTGACATAGGCCTTGTGGTACATGGATGAGTCAATGCAGAAGCAAACATGAAGGTAAAATTTAGAGTCCATAATTACAGGAAAAGGTATTTCAAGGTGAAAAGAAAAAAGGCCTTTCTCACTAATTTTAATTTTAGTTACTCATGTAATACACAACCAAGGGTACCATAGAAAATTGATCAGGATTTTTTTTTAACAGGTAATTAAAAAGCTGTAGAGTCAAATGAAGTTATTGTGCTCTGGAAAAAAACCCCATTATTAAAATACAAAAATGTACTTCTCAAAATATATCCTAATATTTTCCTGTTTAGCACTGTACAAATTGGAAGTTCTCTTAAGTTTGAAATGTTTATAAAATAACAGCTTTGTGTCTCAATAGAATTTTAGATGCTTTATTCTTCTTGAACATCTTTGAAGGAATCATCAAAGAAGCAAAATGTCATCTGCATTGTCAAATGACCTTGCTCTGTGATCTTCGCAGAAAATAAACAGCTTTAAATGAGAAGAAGCTGTCAATTCAGGCCCTGTTACAATAATGAGAGTTCATCACATGCTTTATCCTGTGGTTCTGAATTATAGCACTCTTTTATGTAGTTACATTGTAAATCACCACCCACTATTTATAACATTTCTGTACTTCTAGCCAAAATATCAAGTAAATCAAATTGGAGATGAAATATTTTTGGCTTAAACCGATCCAATATGTTCTTGCTCCTGACAGCTGTAAAACTCAAGAGTTATTTTACATCTTAGTGTTTGAAGTCTAAAAACCACAATTTGGGATGACCTGATGTATTCCAACTAAAATCCTGGAAATCTCATAATGTCGGGAAATTAGCTGAGAGGAGCATGGACAGATCATCGTTACTGGATGAAACTTACAGGAGAATCACTGTAAGGGGCCATTAACTACAAAGCCAAAAGCAAGAGATCACGAACAACAAAATTTAAGAGGTACCCAAATTGGAATTAAGGTGTGGCTGTTAAGAGGCTTATAACACGTAGAGGTATAATTCTATTTATTCTAGAAAGTCAGCTAAAGGATAAAGAGTCAGAGCCCCTGGTTGAGCCTGGTAATTATTCTAACAAAACATTTATGTAGAAAGTAATCGCTCTTCTTCAAGGCTGTTGTAACAATTAGCGAAAGAAATAAAAGAGGACTAAAGGGATGAGCTGAAGCAACAATATAAACAAAAATGAAACTGTTCACCACCCCAGGGGAATATTGTCATAACTTTGTGAGGTTTGTAAGTAAAAACGGCTATGTCAGTATTATTATCTTAAAATAATTTAATGAAGCCACAGGATGTCTCACGTACATACAATAAAACAATTTAAATTTTGGAAAATAACATGTAATCTAGTCTTTGCTCTACTACTAATTGCTGGGGAATATGATACTGGCTGGGGCCCTTCTGTTCTTATATTAGCTGTCTCTATTCATTGGAATATAACCCTTGGAGACTCAGTATTCTATGTCGAATATTTCTGAAATCGTTTAAGTGCACTTCTCTTAGCGGTTCTGCCTATGCTTTTAAAATACCAAGGAAACACTTTGGGATTCTTGCCAACCTGTTTTTCCAGTATAGGCAGAATTTAAAAGTGAATTTTCATTCACAGGTATCTAGGAACACATATTTCTCCTCCATACCTCTGGATTGATAGCAACTGCAGTACCAAGTGGTGCTTTGGGAAGGCTTAACCTTCCATCTTTCTTTCAGCTTCTCCCCACCCCCTCCCCAGTCAGCATCAAGATTAATATTCAATATATAAAAATAGTATATGCCTGTTATACAAAAATAAGCTTCAGGAAGAGTTATCTTGCTTCCCTTCCAAGGAAATTACCATCCTACACCCATCCTACATCTAGTATCATCACTGAGAGTAGCTTCGTACACTGACCAAATGCATGGACAGACACTGACCCATTCCAGGGACAAGCTGGAAGGGACAGATACCATCTTTATGTGTAAGACTCTGGGAAACTTTTAACCTTCCCAAGTCTCACATTGTTCAGGGTTGTTGCAAGGACTAAAATGAAATAATGCATTGCGAAGTGTTTGGCCAGTATATGGCAAATAGTAAGAGCTCAATTAAGGCCGGACATTTTTAATATTATTGTTATTGTTCTTATTACTGTTTATTGCAATTTTCCCTTGCAAATGGTTTATCCAATGAAAACATCTAAGCTAAGAACCATGGAGATGTATAGGAAATGAAAATATCATATAGGTTTTCTTGGATGACAAAAAGCAAAAGAACAGACTATGACAAACAAGCAAACAAACAAACAAACAAAAAACAAAAAAACACACAAACAAAAAAACACAATTCTAAAATATGCTGACTCTGATTTGATTATTTAGAGAACATTTCAGTCTCTTCAATTACCTCAGAACTATCAGTATAACCATTAATTTTCATTTTTCTAGCAAAGAATGGAAATCTTTGCTACTAAACAATGCTGAATGACAATGTTAATTCAACAAGTATTAACAGAATGGTGATCATATAGAAAACTCGTGTGCTTACCGGAAGGGACTGTATGTAGGGGGACTGGATAAAGATAAGTAAGAAAGTGTTTCAAATACTTTGCAATATAAGGAAGAGGGATAAGAACAAGAGAGAGAAGAAAGAGAGAGAAAGAGGAACAAAGTTGTAAACAATCATAAGATAAGACAGAATTGAAGTGCTGTAATAAAGGTGAAAATCTAAGGATTTGAAAGCACAGCTGTGGGAAGGATTGATTTTAACTGGCAAGACTGATGAAGGTTTAGTGAGAGGGTTCATTTGAGCTGGCATTTAAAAGATGAATAGGATGTCAATAGGTGTGAAAGAAGACATTTCCAGGATGAACTATAGGATCAAAATATTTTGGAATATTTGGAAAACATAAGGACAACAGTCAAAAAAGCAGAATAGGGTGGGGATGGAGCGATGAAAAACCTGAAGGGTGTTGAGTAATGGGATGTAATAATAACAATATTAATAGTAATAGCAGTGGGAACAGTACTGAGGGTTATATTACTAATAGTAGAATTCATTAAGTAGTTAATACATACTTAGTACTTTTATCTCATTCAATTCTCGAAAACCACCACTCTTTAAGAGATGTACCATCTCTGCCTTTTTTAGAGGCACAGGGAAGTTAAAAAAGTTGCCAGTGCACACCTAGGTAGTAAGAGACAAAGTCAGGATTCAAAACCCATCTAATGTCTAGAGCTAAAAGTCACTGTCACACTAGCTAATATTACTATGAATATTATTTCTTTCATATGAAAACTAAGAAATAATACAATCTATTTTCTCCACATAAAAGTTGGATCCAATGTATTTCCTTTTTAGCAAATAGATAGCATACATTGTACTCAATGTGAAAATATATGCCGATTTTTGTTTCTATGGTAAATGTTATTACGAGTTTAAATGACATCCTTGAAACATAACATATACCATTATTTCCAGTGAGGAAATCAAACCCTGGTTTAGAGGCCCTTCTTGTAATAACAAGGGATTATAACTCAGCCCCACCATTCCTATAATTACCAGAGAATACAGATGCTAGAAGGATGGGGTAGGGGTGTGAAGCAGAGAAATGTGTGTGTGAAGCAAGTTTGTGAAAATAAAAGCTCTTTATTCTTCATTTTCATGCTTCTCAGACCATGAGGATCTGGAGTTGGTTACAATTTGTGCAGGGAAAAACTCAAGCTGTGAAGCAGGCAACCACGGCAAACTTGTCTTCAGTTCTATGTACCAATCATCAAGTCTTCCTTAATAGGCAGATTCCCTTGTACCTAAGATATTGCAGTGCATTTCATAAAACACAGACATACCAACCATAAGATGAAAAACACTCTTGTGTAAGTAATAAAGAATAATGAAATGGCCATCAAGCTATAGTCTAAAACTTTGGTCACTGGACCATAAATGGGGATGCCAAATTGTATTATGATTGGGATTTTGAAGTCTTCTCCAATAGGGACAGAAGTTATGCATGTGTGTAAACATTCCCCTCCAAGCAAAGATGACGACTAGAAGTCACTGCCACACCAGCTAACAGAATAAACTACCACCAGTTTGATGCAAAATCCTGACCCAAGCTTTTGATCCTCCAGTTGAGATGCAGCTGCCACATGGCAATCTTGCTCACAAGCAAACAGAAACCTACATGCCTGCTAGTGTCTGGTTTTTAATTTTTTGAAATCAATATAATTTTCTCCTACTAAAGGGAATAAAAGGTAGCTAACTGATAGTGATCCATTCTTTAGGCTTGATTTTTTTAATCCTCTAAATAAATCTTCACTGATTAGCAATTGTAGTAGTTCTAAAAATTGATTGATGGAAAAAAGACACAGGCCATATGTGTGGTAAGATATCTTAATAAAATGCTGTTTGTAAAGAAAATAAAAACATCCACAGTTTCAAGAGATATTTACTGGAACCTTTATTTTATATCCTCTGGTTATGGCCATGGAGCCAAATGAATTAGAAAACAGAGGTAATGATATAGATATGCCATGTAACCTTCAACTACAGTCTCAAATGATACCCACACTTAAGAATAGATATTTTGCTCTGGTTGACTTACCTAGAGGGAAAGGGAAAAAAAAAAAAAAAAGAACAGATGTCTCGGAACAGTAATCAAAAGGAACTTAGAAGGGAAATATTGCTAAGAAAATATTTAGCAGAACCATTTGTAAATGCTTAATAGAAAGAGCTTATAAGTAATTTATATGAATTATAAAAGTAAAGGTTTATGCTAAATTTTGTTATGTTGCTTCAATATCATTTCTAGTTATTTTCTGTTCCTTAAGTAATTCTGCTTACCAACAACCTCTCAAAATATTGTAGAACATTTGGGACATTTGAACCAAGTTGTGGCTGTTGTCAAAATATCATTTCATCTTTTAAGCACGGATAATTAATATTTCAAGATTTATTTATAAGTATAAAACAGATTTCAAGTGATCACCATTTATCTGGTTGGCAATTAAGTTAGTGTGGCTTTCTACCTGAAATAAGATTATGCTTTTGAGTTAAGGACAATTATTAGCTAGATCCTGCCCTATATATGACTCTACCAAACTAAGCTTAGATGGGGCAAAAGTAATGTCAGAGCCAATGCCTTAACTTCCAAACTGGGTATCTTCAATGACATCTTTTGTGAAGCACTCCTATCAAGAAATTTTACTGTGTTATATTCAGGAACATTCTGGAACCAAAGTTTCTGTTTGCTACATTGTAGGAAAGCAACAATAGTATGCACTGCTGTAACTTCTTTTAAAGTAATGTTGCAGCTTCTCTGAGGAATGTTGCAGGTGGATTCTCCAAGGTTGCTAAGGATAAGAGAAAATGTCTTCAGCATTTTTTTTTTTTGCATCAGGAAAGAGATATTTTAAAAATCAGATTTAGTAAAGAAAATGGCATTCCAATAATTCCAATAGTTTTGTAAATTTGTTTTTATAAATATGGTTCTTAGCTCCTCAGCTCCTCAGTTTAAAACAAAAATGACTATTTAAGTTCACAAGAACTAAACTAAACCTCCCCTCATCAATAATCACCTGTCAACTCCTTTTCATCCAAGAATCACTGCTATTAAGGGTATCATACACCTGTGAGTGGCGTATCAAGAATTGGCTGTGAGATGTTAAAACCTGCACGACCTTGACTAAAGTAAAAACATTTCCAAGTACAATTCATTTAACTACGCCATTATACTGGATGACAGGGCTGAGACTGAGGGAGTATAGAATAGCAAAGCTTTAAGTCGCTTGGGATAGACAGATAAAATGAAGCGGTACCTGTCTAAACAACAGATTTGTTATAACTAGTCATGGTATCCTCAAAGTCTTTACTCTGGGAACTACACTGATTATGCCAGAGTTCACCTTATCACTGACACCACAAAGGCATTTCAGACACGGATCACACTTGCCCATCTTGATTTTACAGACAGGAAACCAGAAACGACAATTTGTATGAAAAGTGGAATCCAGGCTTTCATTTGGCATTAATATGATTTTAGTTACTAAAGAAATTCTTGTTCTAAATATTTTGCTTTTTACTTAAATAAATCAGTATTTTGGTAAATTTTGGCTTTTGTTACAAGCTGTACAAAATGAAATATGTTTTCTTGGCCTCCTATCCTTTGGAAATAGATGAAAGATTTTATTAATAATTAATTTAAAATTCTTTTAATTTCCATGGTATTTTCCTTCGACATCCAAATTTTTAAAAGAATATTCTTATTTTATAATATTGTAAAAATACTATATATTCATTTTTAGATTTGAAGAGTTAGATTCAACCATTCAACAAAAATAAGAGGGGAAAGAACTAACATTTGCTGATCATGTCTACTATGTTTAAGCACTGTGTTCAGCAAGAAATACAATAGCCTTGAAATAATCACTTGCTAATGGAGAAGGTAGATAGCTAACACTAACCTTGGTCCCCTGTGACAAGGGTGGCAGTAGACCATTCATTCATTCTGAGTCCATGGATTAGAGGCTGGTTTATTCTGATTGGGAGAATTGCAAAAGGCTTCACAAACTACGTAATATTTAAACTGAAACTTAAAGAATGAATACCAGTGGTATTAGTAATCACAAGTACTGCTACTGCTGCTACTACTTACATAGCACTTGCTATATACCAAGCATTGTTCTAAAAGTCTTATATATATTAACTCATCTAATTCTCACAACTCTGAGAGGCAAGTACTATTACTCCCATTCTACAGATAAGAAAATTGAGGTTCATAGAGATTAAATAACTTGCCCAAAGACACACAACTAATAAATTGTGGAGCTGGAATTTGATCCAAATGGTCTAACCCCGGACTCTGTGCATAACTCCTATATCAAACTGCCTCTCATATGGAAATTCACCAAGGAAGACCATTAACAGGCCAACCCAAATGGAGGGAATAATAGCATATCAAGAGTTATGAGATAAATGATTGTGCTATCTTCAAACACTGGGCTCCTTGAACATCTCCCTCACCATCTAAATAGGTATGTGAAATATATAACACTCCTTTCTTCCCACCATATGGCTCCAATTCAGTTGTTCTGATAGGAGAGAAAGAGAAGAAAATAAAGTGCACAAAAGCATGGAAATCGATTTTATCCAGAAGTAATAATTATATATAATGGAATATTAAAATGGAAGTTTTGGCTGTAGCCCCAAGACAATAATTAGCACATTCCCAAAGAGGTGTAAGGCCATATGTTGAATTTCCAAAGGAGGATTCTGAGAAACCAGTTACACAATTCTAAAATGCTATACCTACATCAAAGTCCTAGTATCTGAAATTAAAAAGGGGAACTTATTTGGAAAAAGTTATTGATAAGCTGTGATTTTTGCTCTGAAGAATAGGAGATCTCTTTCCTCACCTCAGCGTGGGGAAAGAAACTTCAACAGAACCTCTTTAGAATCCCTAATATGTGTCCCCTGCATTTTGATGTGCGTATAGACTGGTGTCTGACCCATGTATATGAGAAACCTAAAGTCCAAGTGACTGTCTAGCTCTACTTATGCTGGAGCAAAGAGAAATTTGCTGAGTGGGGAATCACCAATGCCCAAATTACTCTGGGGTTCATAATATGTGAGTGTTTCCCTACGGACCAGTTGTGGGCATTTTGTAAGAAGGAGTCAGAATGGGGTCACATCTGGTCATGTCAAAGAAGATCATCTGGAAAGGGTCAAGATCTCAACAAAAAACACAGGAGGGACCATTGGCTTTATTAGCAAGAATGGAAATGCTTCCTTAGGCATTAAATAATTGCAGACGGCAGAGTCAATAAAAGCATTCAGAAGTCAGTGAGCTTTAAAATCCTCCAAGTCCAGGCTGGGTGCAATGGCTCACGCCTATAATTCCAGAACTTTGAGAGGCTGAGGTGGGTGGATCACCTGAGGTCAGGAGTTTGAGACCTGCCTGACCAACATGGTGAAACCACGTCTCTACTAAAAATACAAAAAAATGTAGTTGGGCAGGGTGGTGCATGCCTGAAATCCCAGCTACTCAGGAGGCTGGGGCAGGAGAAGCACTTGAACCCAGGAGGTGGAAGTTGCAGTGAGCCGAGACTCTGCCACAGCACTCCAGCCTGGATGACAGAGTGAGACTCTGTCTCTAAATAAATAAATAAATAAATAAATAAATATTAAAAATCCTCCAAGTTCAGACAGCACCAATGCTAGACTAACATTATGGAACTTATCAAGGAAGAACTTTCCTATCACTGTTTCCTCCTCTCCCTCCCAGTGCTCCAAACCAGTAAGAGTCAGAAACTGATGTTAGCAAATTGAAGGTAGAGGAGAAGACAAGGTAGGGAAAGAGAGAGGAGACCAAGTATCCTTTCCCCACTGCAGGTTTCCTGCCTCAAGGAGAGAAGCTTTAACTTTAAAAAATATTAGAATATTAAATATAACATGAGCTAGATATTTAAATTATTAAATTGAATCCGTATTCTTACCTCCGAAGCTACTGTAGAGAGTATTATTATCTAAGAGAGTCTGGGAAAGTCATGGGACTTACCTGAACTTATATCAAGGCGTAAGAAAAGAATTGCTTCACCGAGTGGATTTAAACAGATATGAGGTAAATTTTTACAAATAATTACATCTAACAAGTTGTGCTAAGTCAACATAACAGCTACATACCTAACAAGCTCTGCATTGCATACCCACACACATGTAATTCTGCTCACTTCTGTTAACATTGTAAAAGGCAGCACAGGAAGCTTGAGTCTGGCTTTGGAGCCAGTTTACCTGAGCTTGCCTCAATTTCTTCTTCTGAAGAACAGGGGTACCAACAATATATACTTCATAATGTTGATGGGAAGATTAAATAATATGCAAAGGCATTTAATTTAATGCTTGGCCAATAGTAAGCATTCATACATAATATCTGCCATGCTTGTTGTTGTTGTTATCAATATTATTAATAATCTTAAAGGCGACTGGGAGTGGTGGTTCACGCCTGTAATCCCAGCAGGTTGGGAAGCCAAGGCAGGCAGATGGCTTGAGCTCAGGAGTTTGAAACCAGCCTGGGCAACATGGCAAAACCCTGTATCTATAAAATATATAAAAATTAGCTGGGCATAGTGGTGTGTGCCTGTAAACCCAGCTACTCGGGAGGCTGAGGCACGAGAATCGCTTGAACCTGGGAGGCAGAGGTTGCAGTGAGCCATTATCACATCACTGTACTCCAGCCTGGGCAACAGAGTGAGACTCCGTCTCAAAAAAATAAATAAAATAAAATAAAATAACAATATTAAAGGCCCCTTTTGACCCACCTTACCTGCAAAGAATAATCAGGGCAGAAGGCTCACCATTATCACATTTTATCTAATCACCTCCTAACTACTTTCAAACCAACAAACCCAAATATTGCCACTGATCCCCCTCCTATGCAAAGGACAGTAATAAGTCCAGTCTCAAAAAAGTATTGTTTGTACTGAATGCCTATCTCCATGCACTGTACTATGGGTTCTGTGCATATTACCTCATTTGTTTCTCACCATATTCGTGAGGTGGCTACAATCATTACCCCCATTAAATGATGAAAAACTAGGACTTAAGGTCCTTGTCCATGGTAATACAAATAGTATATGGTAGAAGTGGGATAAACAGTTGTATTAGTCTGTTTTGTTTTGTTTTGTTTTGTTTTCACCCAGGCTGGACTGCAATGGCGCGATCTCAGCTCACAGCAACCTCCGTCTCCCAGGTTCAAGAGATTCTCCAGCCTCAGCCCCCTGAGTGATTACAGGCACATGCCACTATGCCTGGCTAATTTTTGCATTTTTAGTATAGATGGGGTTTCACCATGTTGGTCAGGCTTGTCTCGAACTCCTGACCTCGTGATCTGCCCGCCTCAGCCTCCCAAAGTGCTGGGATTACATGCATGAGCCACTGTGCCCAGCCGTATTAGTCTGTTTTTACACTGCCATAAAGATACTACTGGAGACTGGGTAATTTATAAAATAAAAGAAGTCTAATTGACTCACAGTTCTGCATGGCTGGGGAGGCCTCAAGAAACTTATAATCCTGGTGGAAGGTGAAGGAGAATCAAAGCATATCTTAGATGGTGGCAGGAGACAGACAGCGCATGGAGAAACTGCCAAACACTTTTTAAAACCATCAGATCTCAGGAGAACTCACTCACTATCACGAGAATAGCATGGGGGAAACTGCCCCCATAATTCAGTCACCTCCCACTGGGTCCCTCCCTCAACACATGGAGATTGGAATTGGAGATGAGATTTGGGTGGGACACAGAACCAAACCATACTAACAGTCATTGTCAACATTTCTGCTAATTTATGATAATCAAAGTTATTTTCATTTTGGGGTGAAGTCTTTAATGTACTTTCTGTCATAGGGACTTCACTAAAGGTCACTAGTAACTCAAAGCAATGTATCTGTTCTCACTTATAACTGGGAGCTGAATGATGAAAACACATGGACACATGGGTGGGGGGAACAACCCACACTGGGGCCTATCAGTGGTTCCGGGGGAGGGAGAGCATCAGGAAGAACAGCTAATGGGTGCTGGGCTTAATACCTGGGTGATGGGTTGATCTGTGCAACAAACCACCATGGCACACATCTACCTATGTAACAAACCTGCACATCCTGCACATGTACTCCAGAACTTAAAATAAAAGTTGATTTTTTTTTTTTTTTAAAAAGCAACGCATCTTTTATGAAGAAGCAATTCTTCTTTAGTTTTGGGAATCTATTGAACATTATGAGGTAAAATCAAAGAGGTTGGCTTTTAATTTCAAAAAGATTAAACATGAAAACATGAAAGATTAAACATGAAAGATTTTCATGTTAAGAGTATTGTGATGGCTAATATCCAGTGTCAACTTGATTGGATTGAAGGATGCAAATTATTGTTCCTGGGTGCGTCTATGAGGGTGCTGCCAAAGGAAATTAACATTTGAGTCAGTGGACTGGGAGAAGAAGACCCACCCTCAATCTGGGTGGGCACCAGCTAATCAGCTGCCAACGTGGCTAGAATAAAGCAGGCAGAAGACAATGGAAAGAGCAGACTCGCTGAGTCTCCCGGCCTTCATCTTCCTCCCGTGGTGGATGTTTCCTGCCCTCGAACATCAGACTCCACATTCTTCAGCTTTTGGACCCTTGGACTTACACCAGTGGTTTGCCAGGGACTCTCAGGCTTTCAGCCACAGACTGAAGGCTGCACTGTCAGCTTCCCGACTTTTGAGGTTTTGGGAGTTGGACTGGCTTTCTTTCCTTTTCTTTTTCTTTTTTTTTTTTTTGAGACGGAGTCTCGCTCTGTTGCCCAGGCTGGAGTGCATGCCATCTCGGCTCACTGCAAGCTCCGCCTCCCGGGTTCAGGCCATTCTCCTGCTTCAGCCTCCCCAGCAGCTGGGATTACAGGCGCCAGCCACCACGCCCAGCTAATTTTTTTGTATTTTCAGTAGAGACGGGGTTTCACCGTTTTAGCCAGGATGTTCTTGATCTCCTGACCTCGTGATCCACCCGCCTCAGCCTCCCAAAGTGCTGGGATTACAGGCGTGAGCCGCCGCGCCCGGCCGGGACTGGCTTTCTTACTCCTCAGTTTGCAGACACCCTCTTATGGGACTTCACCTTGTGATCGTGTGAGTCAATACTCCTTAATAAACTCCCCTTTAAATTTACATGTATCCTATTAGTTCTGTCCCTCCAGAGAACCCTGACTAATATGAGTATATACAAAACTAAATCATAATTAAACACATGTTGCAGCTGATGGGCGTGACTAGAAAGAGGTATCAATTTAAGTAAATTTAAAACACAATATCCAATCAGCTGAACTCTTTGAATGTCATATTTTACTTTATATCTTCATTTAACTTCTCCTAGACTCAGGTCCCTAGTATCTAAAATAAATATTTGCCATGAGAATTAAGGGAAATTACATATACATATGTAAAAACTACTTTTTTAATCTAGAGAAACCTATAAAATGTTAACACTTATTATGTTTATAAGAAATCTTACTGTATTTTAGTATATAGAATATCATAAAAAATATAAATATCTAGCTGCCCAAGTGTGTATAGTGCTTGATCTATAGAAGGTGCTCAATAAATGTTAAATGAATGAATACAGATGCTCTGAGTACCTTGCTAACAGCAAGAATGTATTTAGTATTTATTATTGTTATTATTCCCCCCATCATAATAATAGTGGAGGATAGTGCCCTTATCTGTTTGTCATTGCAATAATGAACTCTACCAGCAGTCTCTGTAATTTGGGGGTGACACAGGAGAGGGAGCTCACAAAGACACACTATACACGCAATGGTCCTGAATCCTGAATTCAAACTGGTGTCTCTGTTTTTGTAGCTTTTCTTCCCCCAAATATGTAGGCAAACATACTAATACAACCATGAAAAAATGCCATTAAATATAATACCTTGCAATAATTAGGTGAAGAATTCTTGACATGCTCAAATTTTATAGTAATTATTTATATCATAAGTATGAGATTATAAAGCCTGTTTTCTCCGTTGACTTCAGGATGAAGTCGATAAAAGGGACTTAACTAATTATTATAATCTATTAATCATTCCATACTTACTGAGCACCTACTAGGTGCCAGCTACTGAACTAGGTGCTGAACAAAAAAAGTAGTCTCTTTGTAGAGTTCTTAGACTAGTTAGAGACACAAACAGCTCACCAGCAATTAGAAAACAGCATGTCTGCTACAAATGGGGAATTAATGAAGACTATAAGAGCATACAAGAGGGATTTTTCAGAAGAGTTCTCCAGGCATAGTGATGTCAAAGCTGAGACTGGGTGGGGCGGGGTTGGAGAAACTGTACTGGGAGAACATGTATGACGGTGAAGTTCAAGGGGCTGGAGAGCATGAAGAATTCAGTATCCTGGGGAAGGGGGTAGTGGGTAGAGAGGGAGCTGAAGAGGCAACAAGGGACAATTCATAAAAGGACTTATGAGCTAATACTCCTCAGGTAATAACACTGAATGAAAATATTTCCCTATATGTCAAGCATATTCATTTTATTTCTTCCATTGATTATTAGTAATAGCTAGCTGCTTTCAAAGAAGCTTTCAGAATTTAATCAAAACAGGAAGAATACAAAGACCTAAAACAAGTCTCTATAATCTTTTTCTAATTACAAACAAAGAGGTCTTTGGAACTGCCTCTCCCTAATTTGGCATGTGAATTATGATTTGAGAGCTTGAAATAGATATGGTACTGAATTCATTTGCTCTGAGGAAGAATAGACACAGATAGAAAGAAGTCTTTTCCTCTAGGCTTATACCAGTTTGCTTTTATAAGGATTTTGCACCTTGTCCACAAACATTTGGAACTCATGGGAAAATTAATACTCCCTAAGCAAAATAACTGGTTTTTTTAGGAAAATGTCTTCAATTTTTCTGATAGAAAGTTATTTCCTAGGTGCAGAACAAGCTACTACATATGCTTCGTAAATGATCTTGATATGTGGTAAAAGTTGATGAATGGAAAAGATGAAGGCTCAAGCACAATGAATTTCTTTTTTTTTTTTTTTGAGATAGGGTCTCTGTCACTCAGGCTGGGGTGTAGTGGCATGTTCACAGTTCACCGCAGCCTCAAACTTCAGGGCTCAAGAGATCCTCCTCCCTCAGCTTCCCAAACAGCTAGGACTATAGGCACCTACCACCACATCTGGCTAATTTTTAAAAATATTCTGTAGAGAGGGGGTCTCACTATGATTCCCAGGCTGATCTCAAACTCCTGGCCTCAAGTGATATTTAGCCTTTGAACGTGCTAAGATTACAGGTGTGAGCCACTGCACCTGGCCTTCAATTGCTTTGATACCTTATCAGTTAAGATTGGATTAGTTGCAAAAAATAGAGAATCCTAAAACAGTGATTTAAACAAGATACAAGTCATAGTTATGCTGTCTGGTGCTAGTACGACAGCTCTACAGGGTTGTCAGGGACTGGTCTCCTTCTATCTTAACTTTCTACTATGATGGTTATTATTCCCAAGCTAGCTATGTAAGTGTCAGTTATCACATGTAGAATTTATGCAGTAAGATGGATGAAGAATTGAGGAAAGCATGCCCTCTCCCTGTCAAGGGAACCTCTGCGAGTCTGTACATAGTTCTGCTTACATTTTATTAGCCAAAATTTAGTTGCAACACTCTACTTCACTGACAAGAGAGCCAAGGAGTGTTTTTTTTTTTTTTAGATAGGTTGCAAAGAGCCCAGCTAAAAATGTGTGTATTTCTAAGAAAAGAGGAAGGAAGAGAAAGAGAGAAGGACAGATTTTAGAAGCCAATTCCCAATCTCTGCCATAAACATATATTCATATAAACTTAAAAATGTGAATGTGTGCTGTGGTTTGTATGTTTGTGTACCTCCAAATTTCATGTTGAAACTTAATCTCCAATGCAACAGTATTAAGAGGTAAGGCCTTTAGTATGTGATTAAATTGTAAGGGCTCTATACATTAAGGGGATTAGTGTACTTAGAAATGGGCCAAACAAGGCTGTTTGGCCCTTCTTCCCCCTCTGGCCCTTCCTCCATTATATGAGGGCAATGCATTCATCCATTCCATCATGTGAGGATACAGCATCCAGGTACCATCTATGAAGCAGAGGGCAAGCTTTCATCAGACACTGACTCTGCCAGCACCCTGACCTTTAACTTCCCAGCCTCCTGAACAGTGAGAATTAAATTTCTACTATGTAGAAATTACCCAATCTAAAGTATTTTGTTACAGTAGCATGAATAGACTGAGACAAAAATTTGCACCAGAAATGGGGTGCTGCTGCAGCAAATACCTAAAAATGTGGAAGCAGCTTTGGAACTGGGTAATGAGTAGAAGCTGGAAGAATTTTAAAGTGCATTGCCATGAACAGAGGGGCATTGAGGGCAATACTGGTGAGAGCTCAAAGAAGAAGAGAGCTGTAAACAGAGTGTTGATCTTCTTAGAGATTATCTAAGTGCTTTTTAACAGAATGCTGGTAGAAATAGACAGTAAAGGCCATCCTGATGACATCTTAGACAGAAATGAGAAACAACTTATTGGAAACTGGAGAAACAGCCATTCTTGTGATAGCATGCAAAGACCTTGGCTGAACTGTTTGTCTCCTAGTGTTTCATTCAAGTAAGAACTTAACAGCAATGAAATAGGGTATTTGGCAGAAGAAATCTCTAATCAAAGTTTTGAGAATGTGGCATGGCTTCTTTTGACTGCTTATAGTAAAATGCAGGAAGGGATAATAAATTAAAGATGCAATTTATAATCTAAAGGGAAGCAGAACTTAAAGGTTTGGAAAATTCTCAGAAGAAAAAAGCATGTTCAGAAGAAAACACCAAGAGTGTGGCCAAATGACCATTTAATTAGAAAATCAGGATGGATAAAAGTGAAAGAGGAGAAAGGAAGAAACCAGTCAGGCAGACAGTTAGGGTGGGTCCTCAGTTAATTTGTTTCAAACAAACAAACAAACAAACAAACAAAAAACCAGCCTAAAAAATCAAGTTGCTGGCACAAATAAGGGAACTTGCCCAGGTGGCTTGCCTAAGACATGCCCTCAGCTGCATAGGTAAGAAAGGCTATAGAGAAGACTGGGCTGTTTGCAACTATATAAACAAAAATACTCCTTGGCTCTCTTGTCAGTTAAGTAGAGTGTTGTGACTAAATTTTGGCTAATAATATGTAAGCAGAACTATGTACAGACTTGCAGAGGTTCCCTTGACAGGGAGAGGGCATGTTTTCCTCAACTCTTCATCCGTCTTACTGCATAAATTCCACATGTGATAACTGACACTTACATAGCCAGCTCGGGAATAATAACCATCATGCCTGCAATGGAAATAACCGACATGCCTGCAACAGAAAATTCCATCTCCTGACACGTGCGCAGTAAGGGGAACAAAGCAAAATGGAGTAACTCAAGCTGAGCCTGCATGTGCACTAGGAATATGCGGTGGAACTACCAAAAATGCACACCTTATGCAAAAGAGATGCCCAGCCCCTTATCAGTTTCTTATAAAAACCTCTGTATCCAAACTGTGAATCAGCAACCATTTTTCCAGGACCCCTCTCTGTAGCAGAGAGCTATTCTCTTTCTTTCACCAATTAAACTTCCACTCTTAACCTCATTCTTTGTGTGTCCACATCCTTGATCTCTGTGGCCCTGAAACAACCAACTTCAGGTGTTACCCCAGACAATGAGGCCACTTCAAAAGGAAGCCAGATGCTATTCATCAAGACAATGAATGAGGCTGGGTGTGGTGGCTTGTGCCTTTAATCCCAGCAATTTGTGAGGCTGAGGTGGGTGGATTGTTTGAGCTGAGGAGTTCAAGGACAGCCTGGGCAACATGGCAAAACTCTGTGTCTACAAATATATATATATTAGACAAATATATATATATATATATAGTAGACAAATACACACACACACACACACACACACACACACACACACACACGAAAATTAGGCAGACATGGTAACGTGTGCCTGTAGTCCCAGCTTGAGCCTGGCAGATGAAGGTTGCAATGAGCCAAGATTGTACCACTGCACTCCAGCCTGGGTGACAGAGTCTCACTCTGCCTCAAAAAAAAAAAAAAAAAAAAAAAAGGAATGAAATAATGACCCCAAAAGCATTTCAGAGATTGTTGGGGCTGCCACTCTCATCATAGGCCCAAACTGCCAGGGCCTTGAGGGCAGAAAAGTTTCAAAAAACAGCCCAGGGCTCCTGTGTGAAAAATTTCAAAAAGCGCTCAGGGGTTCCTTCCCAGCACCACCTCAAGTCTCTGCTCCCAAAATTCAGGTGCGGTGCTCCTCAGCTGCACCAGCTGTGGCTCAAGTAGGCCCAGGTGCAGCTTGGGCCACCCTGCTGGAACATAGTGACAACTCTGCAGGCATGCAGAGTACAAGAGCTATGGGGGCTTGGCTACCTCCACCTAGATTTCAGAGGATAACCCCAAAAGCCTCAGGGTCCAGGCACAGGCAGGGCTATCACAGAAAGCCCCTAGTAAGGTAACACCCAGCAGATCCATGGGGTCAGGCTCAGGGTCACTGCAGAGTCCCCATTGGGGCAATGCTCAGGGGAGCTATAGGGCTGGGGATGCCGAAAAGAACTTCCACTAGGGCAAATATCCAGTAAAGCTGTGTGGGCAGGACTACTTCCAAGACCCTGGACCAGCAGAGCCACCAGCATGTAATTTCAGCCCAGGAGAGCTGCAGGAGTACCACTGCAATGCCATGAAAGCTGCTGTGTGGGCTGTGCCCAGCAAAGCTAGGGGGCAGGACTGTTCTGAGCTTTGCGGACCCAACTTCCACCCCAGTATATCCAGAAAGCAGACATAGAGTCAAAGATCATTCTCAAGCCTCAAGATTTAATGTTCTTTGCCTTGGTGAGATTTGTACTTACTTGCCACCTGTTTCCATTTCTTCCTTCCTATTTCTCCCTTTTGAAATGGGAACATCTATTCTATGCCTGTCCTACCGTTGCATTTTGGAAGCAAAAACTTGTTTGATTTCACAGATTCACAGGTGGAAAGCAATTTGTCTCAGGATAAATCATACCTTGAGTCTCATCCATATCTGATTTAAATGATATTTAGATGAGACTCTGGACTTCAAACTTCTGAGTTGGTGCTGAAATAAGTCAAAAATTTGGGGGATTTTGGAATGGAATGAATGTATTCGTATGTGAGAAGGTCATGAATTTTGGGGGATCAGGGGCGGAATGCTACGGTTTGAATGTTTGTGGCAGTCCAAAATTCATATTGAGAAATTGAGGGTTTAAGATGGCAGATAGGAGGCAGGACTAGCTTGCAGCTGCCACTTGGATGGACAGAACAGCCTGTAGAGACTCACATCGTGAACTTTTGCTCCAGGAACTACAGCAGGAACACACCAGAAAGCCAAGATAATCCACAGACCCTTTGAAGGAACTGGATCACCATGGCAGGCTCCCTGAGATGCCAAAAAAACTGTGAGTCTGCTTAATTTCTCAATGGGGAGGTTTGTGGTCTGGGGCAAGTTTTCAGCCCTGGTCACTGGCTGCCTGGAAACAGACTCAGTGCCATTGGTGGGGCACAGTGGGAATGAGACCAGCCTTTAGGACTATGGGCTTTATGGGAGCAGGGTGAGGCCTGTGACTGCTGGCTTTCCTCCACTTCCCTGGCAACTCAGCAGAGGAAACCTTAATCCTTCTGGGAATATAACTGCATTGGACTGGGAACCATACCCCCATCTGCCACAGCAGTCGCAGCAAGCCCACCCCAAGAAGAGGTTGAGCTCAGACATGCCTGTCTCTGCTCCCACCTGGTGGTCTTTCTCTACCTGCCCTGGTAGCTGAAGAAAAAGGTCATAATCCCTTGGGAACTCTATGGCCCTGCCCACCACTTGAGAAACCTGAATACTTAACCAGTTGTCCCTAGAGCAAGTTTGCATCCTCCATATAGGACCACAGCTGATGTGCTCTTCAGCTCCTGGCTGAAGGCCAACCAACAAAAACCAGCGCACTAAACAAAAACACAGCCAAGGACCCTCACAGAGTCCACTCCATTCCCCTGCTAACTCCCCGAGAGCAGGTGCTGGTATCCACAGCTGCAAGACCTGAAGACAGATTACATCACAGGAGTCTTTGTAGACCCTCGCTAGTACCAGCCTGGAACCTGGTAGCTCTGCTGCGTGGCTAGACCCAGAAGAGCAGAAATAGTCACTACAGTTCAGCTTTCAGGAATCCCCATTCATAGGGGAAGGGGGAGAACACCCCATCAATGAAGCACCCTGTGGGACAAAAAATCTGCACAGCAGCCCCTGAGTCCCAGATCTTCCCTCTGATGTAGTCTACCCAAATGAGAAGAAAGCAGAAAAACAATTCTGCTAATATGATAAAACAAGGTTCTTTAACATGCCCAAAAGATCACACCAGCTCACCAGCAATGGATACAAACCAAGACAAAAATCTCCGAATTGTTAGAAAAAGAATTCAAAAGGTTGATTATTAAGCTAATCAAGGAGGCACCAGAGAAAGTTGAAGTCCAAATTAAAGAAATCAAACACATTATACAGGATATGAAAGTAAAATTCTTCAGTGAAATAGATAGCATAAATAAAAAACAATCACAACTTCTGAAAATCAAGGGCACACTTAGAGAAATGCAAAATGCACTGGAAAGTCTCAGCAATAGTCTCATCCATCAAACAAGCAGAAAGAAAGAACTTGAGAACTCAAAAACAAGACTTTCGAATTTACCCAATATGTCAAATACGAAGAAAAAAGAATTTTAAAAAATGAACAAAGCATCCAAGAAGTTCGGGACTATGTTAAACGTCCAAACCTAAGAATAATTGGTGTTTCCACAGAAGAAGAGAAGTCTAAAAGTTTGGAAAACACATTTGAGGAAATAGTCGAAGAAAACTTCCCCAGCCTTGCTAGAGATCTAGACATCCAAATACAAGAAGCTCAAAGAACACCTGGGAAATTCATCACAAAAAGATCCTTGCCTAGGCACATAGTCATCAGGTTATCTAAAGACAAAGGAAAGAATCTGAAGATCTGTGAGCCAAAAGCATCAGGTTCTGTAATGGAAAACCTATCAGATTAACAGCAGATTTCTCAGCAGAAACTCTACAAACTAGAAGGGATTGAGGTCCTATTTTAAGCCTCGTTAAACAAAACAATTATCGCCAAGAATTTTGTATCTAGTGAAACTAAGCTTCATAAATGAAGGAAAGATAGTCTTTTCCAGACAAATAAATGCTGAGAGAATTCGCCACTACCAAGCCAGCACTACAAGAACTGCTAAAAGGAGCTCTAAATCTTGAAACAAATCCTTGAAATACACCAAAATTGAAACTTCTTAAAGCATAAATCTCACAGGATCTATAGAACAATAAGACAATGAAAAATATCAAGGTGTTCAGGCAACAAATAGCACAATGAGTAGAATAGTACCTCACATCTCAATACTAACATTTAATGTAAATGGCCTAAATGTTCTACTTAAAAGATACAGAATGGCAGAATGTATAAGAATTCACCAACCAAGTTTCTGCTGTCTTCAGGAGACTTACCTAACACACAAGGATTCACATAAACTTAAGGTAAAGGGGCGGAAAAAGACATTCCATGCAAATGGACACCCAAAGCAAGCAGGAGTAGCTATTCTTATATCAAACAAAACAAATTTTAAAGCAACAGCAGTTAAAAAAGACAAAGGACATTACATAATGATAAAAGAACTAGTCCCATAGGAAAATATCACAGTTCTAAATATATATGCACCTAATACTGGAGCTCCCAAATTTATAAAACAATTACTACTAGACCTAGAAATGAGATAGATGGCAACACAGTAATTGTGGGGGTCTTTAATACTCCACTGACAGCACTAGACAGGTCATCAAGACAGAAAGTCAACAGAGAAACAGTGGACTTAAACTATTCCCTACGAAAAATGAACTTAACAGATATTTACAGAACATTCTACCCAACAACTGCAGAATATACATTCTATTCATCAGCAAATGAAACATTCTCCAGGATAGACCATATCACAGGCCACAGAACAAGTCTCATTAAATTTAAGAAAATCAAAATTATATCAAGTACTCTCTGAGACCACAGTGGAATAACATTGGAAATCCACTCCAAAAGGAACCCTCAAAATCATGCAAACACAAAGAAATTAAATAACCTGCTCCAGAATGATTGTTGGGTTAACAATGAAATCAAGATGGAAATTTAAAAGTTCTTTGAACTGAACGATAATAGTGACACAACCTATCAAAACCTCTGGGATACAGCAAAAGCAATGCTAAGAGGAAAGTTCATAGCATTAAATCCCTACATCAAAAAGTCTGACAGAGCACAAATAGACAATCTAAGGTCACACCTCACAAAACTGTAGAAACAAAAACAATCCAAACCCAAACCCATCAGAAGAAGAAACATAACAAAGATCTGAGCAGAACTAAATGAAATTGAAACAAACAAAAAACAAACAAAACCCACAAAAGATAAATGAAACAAAAAGCTGGTTCTTTGAAATGATAAATAAAATTGATAGACCATTAGCGAGATTAACCAAGAAGACAGAGATCCAAATAAGCCCAATTAGAAACAAAATCAGAGATATTACAACTGATGCTACAGAAATACAAAAGATTATTCAAGGCTACTGTGAACACGTTTATGTGCATAAACTAGAAAACCTAGAGGAGACAGATAAATTCCTGGAAATATACAACCCTCCTAGATTAAACCAGGAAAGCATAAAATCTGAACAGACCAATAATAAGCAGTGAGATTGAAATGGTAATTAAAAAAACTGCCAACAAAAAAAGTCTGGGACCAGATGGATTCACAGCTGAATTCTATCAGACATTCAAAGAAGTCTTGGTGCCAATCCTATTGACACTAATTATCAGGGAAATGCAAATCAAAACCACAGTGCAACACCACCTCACTCCTGCAAGAATGGCCATAATTTTAAAAATAAAAAAAAATAGAGTTGGCATGGATGCTGTGAAAAGGGAACACTTTTACACTGTTGGTGGGAATGTAAACTAGTACAAACACTATAGAAAATAGTGTGGTGATTCCTTAAAGAACTGCACATTCTGTACATGTAACCCAGAACTTACAGTATAATAATAAAAAAGTTACTGTATATTAAAAAAAAAAAAAGAACTAAAAGTAGATCTACTCTTTGATCCAGCAATCCCACTACCAGGTATCTACCCAGAGGAAAAGAAGTCATTATATGAAAAAGATACTTGCACATGCATGTTTATAGCAGCACAATTTGCAGTTGCAAAAATATGGAACCAGTCCAGATGACCATCAATCAACGAGTGGATAAAGAAAATGTTTATATATACCATGGAATACTACTCAGCCTTAATAAGGATTGAAATAATGGCATTTGCAGCAACCTGGATAAACTTTGAAACTATTATTCTAAGTAATTCAGGAATGGAAAACCAAACATTGTATGTTCTCACTCATATATGGACACGACCTGTTCCCCCAAAACCCATTGAAATAAAAAATAATAAAATAAAATACAAATAAATTGATGAATAAAAACAACCAAAATAAAATTCATACTGAAGCTTAATTTCCAGTGTGATTGTAGCAAGAAGTGGGCCTTTAGGAGGTAATTATGCCATGAGGGCAGAGCCCTCATTAATATGATTAGTGCCCTTATAGAAGATCCAAGGGAATTTATTTGTCCCTTTTTGCCCTTTTTCCACGTGAGGACACACAGCAAGAAGGCACCATCTTTGGAGCAGAAAGCAAGCCCTCATCAGACACTGAATCTGTTGGTGCCATGATCTTGGACTTGCCAGACTTAGAATTGTAAGCAATAAATGTCTATTGTTTATGAATTACCTAGTATAAGGTATTTTGTTGCAGCAGCCAGAATGAATTAAGACAGTATGTAACCTCAATATATTTATTTATAAATTATAGACATACTCCATTATGCTATTATTTTATAGAAATTACAAAATATGAACAAATAATTTTGTTAAAGAATAAAATAAAAATTAAACATAAATAAAATGTTTATATTGTCTTTCCAATCTCAGGGGATTGTAATGTATAAATCAATTTGGAGACTGCTGCTCTAGGAGGCAATAAGTATAAACATTTAGATTCTACTTCTTCAAATTGGCAAGAAAATAATCATAGAATCTAGAAAGTCTTAGGGGTGTGAGGTATTCCCTAGTCTATTGAGGGAAAGTCTATGTCCACTTAGGTTACTACTCAGAAAGCTGGACTAATATTGAGTAATGGCAAGGCTAGACGCTTAACGTAGCCTCAAGAATTACAACACTAGCATGTGAGAACAACAGTATTATAAAATAAAAACATGAAAAACAGAGTGACAATATAAATTAGTAAGTATTAGTTACATGAAGACTTTGAGGTTATTTTTGTATATTTGCTTCAAATGGTAACTTTTTTCTAAAAATGTGTTTATAGCAACATTTCTGAAAAGCACAATGGCAATAACATAACCAAAAGGCTTAAAAATGTTTATATATCGTAAGTAAACTTCTTAGACTTCTAAGAGCCCAGGGAAAGAAACTATGATATCATGAAAATTTTATAAATAAAGATATCCCAATGATATTCATTATTAGAAACAGGCAAAAATGGTTAAACAAATTATAATACAGCCATGCAATGAAACACTATGCGACTATTAAAAATTATACTTTCAACCGCTGGGCATGGTGGCTCACACTTGTAATTCCAGCACTTTGGGAAACCAAGGCAAGCGGATCACAAGGTCTGGAGATTGAGACCATTCTGGCTAACACGCTGAAACCCCATCTCTACTAAAAATACAAAAAATTGGCTGGGCAGAGTGGTGGGCACCTGTAATCCCAGCTACTCAGGAGGCTGAGGCAGAGGAATCACTTGAACTGGGAGGCAGAGGTTGCAGTGCGCCAGAGATCACACCACTGCACTCCAGCCTGGGCAACAAGAGCTAAACTCCGTCTCAAAAAAAAAAAAAAAAAAAATTTATACTTTCAGAGACTATTTGCTGACATCATAAAATGCCCAACATTAAGTAGGGGATGCAATATAACAAATTAAGTCACATATCTCCTTACAAACCTTTCTCTCCCCCTCTTTCACACACATGGACATTCCTACGTACATTACGCTGATAAATTCCTAAAAGGAAAAACCACCTGAATTTTAATGCTATCTAGGGAATTCTATTAGTGGTGATTTTTATCATATTCTTTAATGTTTTCTGTATTTTCTAAATTTCCTAGCACAAATACATGTAACATTCATATAATTAGAACTCAATGCTACTGAAAAGCTTACTGAAAGTCATCTTGAAAGAAAATATATTAATGTAGGTTCTCAAAATTAAAAAATATGTTAAATAGTTTTATAGGTCTAGTGTTGGGCAGTGGAGAGCTATGTGGTCTCTAGGTCTGAGAAAAGGTAGTTTGAAGGAAATTCAGATAGTCAATTTGACTTCATGTGGCAGAATATGTCTAAATTATATTTTAGATAGTAATTATTCACATTATAGTAATAATGCATTATCAAATCTTTCATTTGAATCTGAATTTGCAGAATTAACATTGACATTACTTAGATAAAACTCTCAAGTATTAAATGAAAGTTAATAAAAATAAGATGTGCTATTATTTAAAATGTTTTTTTAAAAAAAATAATTTCCAGTTGCTGGCAAGATGGCCAAATAGCAACAGCTCTGGTCTTAGCAACAGCTCTAGTCTGTAGTTCCCAGCGAGATCGACACAGAAGGCAGGTGATTTCTGCATTTCCAACTGAGGTACCCCGTTCATCTCAATGGGACTGGTTGGTCAGTGGGTGCAGCCCAAGGAGGGCGAGCTGAAGCAGGGTGGGGCATCACCTCACCCGGGAAGTGCAAGGAGTCGGGGAACTCCCTCTCCCAGCCAAGGGAAGCCATTAGGGACTGTACTGTGCACTCTGGCCCAGATACTGTGCTTTCCCCACGGTGATTCCTTCTGGTGCCTACACCACCAGAGCCCTGGGTTTCCAGCCCAAAACTGGGCGGCCATTTGGGCAGACACTGAGCTAGCTGGAGGAGTTTTTTTTTTTCATGTCACAGTGGCGCCTGGAACACCAGTGAAACAGAACCGTTCACTCCCCCTGCAAAGGGGGCTGAAGCCAGGGAGCCAAGTAGTCTGGTTCGTCGGAGCCCAGATGGAGCTCAGCAAGCTAAGATCCACTTGTTGAAATTCTTGCTGCCAGCACAGCAGCAGTCTGAGTTCGACCTGGGACACCTGAGCTTGGTGGGTGGTGGGGACTCCACCATTGCTGAGGCTTAAGTAGGTGGTTTCACCCTCACAGTGTAAACAAAGCCACCAGGACGTTCGAACTGGGTGGAGCCCACCCCAGCTCAGAAAGGCTGCTGCAGCCAGACTGTCTCCTCTCTGAGCAGGGAATCTCTGAAAAAAAGGCAGCAGCCCCAGTCAGGGACTTATAGATATAACCCCCACCTCCCTGGGACAGAGCACCTGGGGAAAGTGGTGGTTGTAGGCGCAGCTTCAGCAGACTTAAACGTCCCTACCTGGCAGCTCTGAAGAGAGCAGTGGGTCTACCAGCACAGCGTTTGAGCTCTGATAAGGGACAGACTGCCTCCTCAAGTAGGTCCCTGACCCCTGTGTATCCTGACTAGGAGACACCTCCCAGTAGGAGCCAACAGACACCTCATACAGGAGAGCTCTGGCTGGCATCTGGTGGGTGCCCCTCCGGGTTGAAGCTTCCAGAGGATAGAATAGGCAGCAATCTTTGCTGCTCTGCAGCCTCCGCTGGTGCTACCCAGGCAAACAGGGTCTGGAGTGGACCTCCAGCAAACTCCAGCAGACCTGCAGCAGAGAGGCCTGACTGTTAGAAGGAAAACTAACAAACAGATAGGAATAGTATCAACATCAACAAAAAGGATGTCCACTCAGAGACCCCATCTGAAGGTCATCGACTTCAAAGACCAAAGGTAGATAAATCCATGAAGGTGGGGAGAAACCAGTGCAAAAAGGCTGAAAATTCCAAAAACCAGAATGCTTCTTCTCCTCCAAAGGATCACAACTCCTCGCCAGCAAGGGAACAAAACTGGATAGAGAATGAGTTTGACAAATTGACAGACGTTAAGCTCCAGAAGATGGGTAATAACAAACTCCTCTGAGCTAAAGGAGCATGTCTTAACCCAATGTAAGGAAGTTAAAAACCTTGAAAAAAGGTTAAACGAATTGCTAACTAGAATAACCAGTTGAGTGAAGAATACAAATGACCTGATGGGCTGAAAAACATAGTACGAGAATTTCGTGAAGCATACACAAGTATCAATAGCTGAATTGATCAAGAGGAAGAAAGGATATCAGAGACAGAAGATCAACTCAATGAAATAAAGCAAGCAAACAAGATTAGAGAAACAAGATTGAAAAGAAATGAACAAAGCCTCCAAGAAGTATGGGACTATGTGAAAAGACCAAATCTACGTTTGATTGGTGTACCTGAAAGTGACGGGGAGAATGGAACCAAGTTGGAAAACACTCCCAGGATACTATCCAGGAGAACTTCCCCAACCTAGCAAGGCAGGCCAACATTCAAATTCAGGAAATGCAGAGAATACCACAAAGATACTCCTCGAGAAGAGCAACTCCAAGACACATAATTGTGAGATTCACCAAGGTTGAAATGAAGGAAAAAATGTTAAGGGCAGCCAGAGAGAAACGTCAGGTTACCCACAAAGGGAAGCCCATCAGACTAACAGTGGATCTCTCTGCAGAAACCCTACAAGCCAGAAGAGAGTGGGGGCCAATATTCAACATTCTTAAAGAAAAGAATTTTCAAACCAGAATTTCATATCCAGCCAAACTAAGCTTCATAAGTGAAGGAGAAATAAAATCCTTTACAGACAAGTAAATGCTGAGAGATTTTGTCACCACCAGGCCTGCCCTACAGGAACTCCTCAAGGAAGCACTAAACATGGAAAGGAACAACCAGCACCAGCCACTGCAAAAACATATCAAATTGTAAAGACCATCGACACTATGAAGAAACTGCATAAACTAATGGGCAAAATAACCAGCTAGCATCATAATGGCAGGATCAAATTCACACATAACAATATTAACCTTAAATGTAAATGGGCTAAATGCTCCAATTAAAAGACACAGACTGGCAAATTGGATGAAGAGTCAAGACCCAATGGTGTGCTGTATTCAGGAGACCCATCTCACATGCAAAGACACACATAGGCTCAAAATAAAGGGATGGAGGAATATTTACCAAGCAAATGGAAAGAAAGAAAAAAAAAGCAGGGGTTGCAATCCTAGTCTCTGATAAAACAGACTTTAAACCAACAAAGATCAAAACAGACAAAGAAGGACATTACATAATGGGAAAGGGATCAATGCAACAAGAAGAGCTAAGTATCCTAAATATATATGCACCCAATACAGGAGCACCCAGATTCATGAAGCAAGTTCTTAGAGACCTATCTAGAGACTTAGACTCCCACATAATAATAGTGGGAGACTTTAATACCCCACTGTCAACATTAGACAGATCCATGAGACAGAAAATTAACAAGGATATTCAGGACTTGAACTCAGCTCTGGACCAAGCAAACCTAGTAGACATCTACAGAACTCTGCACCTCAAATCAACAGAATATACATTCTTCTCAGCACCACATTGTACTTATTCTAAAATTTACCGCATAATTGGAAGTAAAACATGCCACAGCAAATGCAAAATAATGCACATCATAATAGTCTCTCAGACCACAGTGCAATCAAATTAGAACTCAGGATTAAGAAACTCACTCAAAACTGCACAACTATATAGAAACTGAACAACCTGCTCCTGAATGACTACTGGGTACATAACAAAATGAAGGCAGAAATAAACATGTTCTTTGAAACCAGTAAGAACAAAGACACAATGTACCAGAATCTCTGGGACACATGTAAAGCAGTGTGTAGAGGGAAATTTATAGCACTAAATGCCTACAAGAGAAAGCAGGAAAGATCTAAAATCGACATCCTGACATCACAATTGAAAGAACTAGAGAAGCAAGAGCAAACAAATTCAAAAGCTAGCAGAAGACAAAAAATAACTAAGATCAGTGCAGAACTGAAGGAGACAGAGACACAAAAAACCCTTCAAAAAAATCAGTGAATCCAGGAGGTAGTTTTTTGAAAAGATCAACAAAATTGATAGACCACTAGCAAGACTAATAAAGAAACAAGAGAGAAGAATCAAATAGATGCAATAAAAAATGATAAAGGGGATACCACCAATTCCCACAGAAATATAAACTACCATCAGAGAATACTATAAACACCTCTACACAAATAAATAGAAAATCTAGAAGAAATAGGTAAATTCCTGGACACATACACCCTCCTAAGACTAAACCAGGAAGAAGTGGAATCCCTGAATACACCAATAACAAGTTCTGAAACTGAGGCAACAATTAATAGCCTACCAACCAAAAAAAGTCCGAGAACTGATGGATTCATAGCCGAATTCTACCAGAGGTACAAAGAGGAGCTGGTACCATTCCTCCCGAAACTATTCCAAACAACAGAAAAAGAGGGAATCCTTCCTAACTCATTTATGAGGCAAGCACCATCCTGATACCAAAACCTGGCAGAGACACAACAAAAAAGGAAATTTCAGGCCAATATTCCTGATGAACATCGATGTCAAAATCCTCAATAAAATATTAGCAAATCAAATCCAGCAGCACATCAAAAGGCTTATCCACCACGATCAAGGTGGCTTCATCCCTGGGATGCAAGGCTGGTTCAACATATGCAAATCAATAAACGTAATCCATGACATAAACAGAACCAATGACAAAAACCACATGATTATATCAATAGATGCAGAAAAAGCCTTCGAAAAAATTCAACAGCCCTTCATGCTAAAAACTCTCGATAAACTAGGCATTGATGGAACGTATTTCAAAATAATAAACACGATTTATGACAAACTGACAGCCAATATCATACTGAATGGGCAAAAACTGGAAGCATTCCCTTTGAAAACCAGCACAAGACCAGGATGCCCTCTCTCACCACACCATTCAACACAGTATTGGAAGTTCTGGCCAGGGCAATCAGGCAAGAGAAAGAAATAAAGGGTATTCAATTAGGAAAAGAGGAAGTCAAATTGTCTCTGTTTGAAGATGACATGATTGTATATTCAGAAAACCTCATCATCTCAGCCCAAAATCTCCTTAAGCTGATAAGCAACTTCAGCAAAGTCTCAGGATACAAAATCAATGTGCAAAAATCCAAAGCATTCCTGTACACCAATAACAGACAAACAGAGAGCCAAATCACAAGTAACTCCCATTCACAATTGTTACAAAGAGAATAAAATACCTAGGAACCCAACTTATAATGGATGTGAAGGACCTCTTCAAGGAGAACTATAAACCACTGCTCAAAGAAATAAGAGAGGACACAAACAAATGGAAGAACATTCCATGCTCATGGATAGGAAGAATCAATATCATCAAAATGGCCATACTGCCCTAAGTAATTTATAGATTTAATGCTATCCTGATCAAGCTACCATTGACTTTCTTCACAGAACTAGAAAAAAACTACTTTAAATTTCATATGGAACCAAAAAACAGCCTGCATAGCCAAGACAATGCTAAGCAGAAAGAAAAAACCTGGAGGCATCACGCTACCTGACTTCAAACTACATTACAAGGCTACAGTAACAAAAACAGCATGGTACTGGTATCAAAACAGATATATAGACCAACGGAACAGAAGAGAGGCCTCAGAAATAATGCCACACATACACAATCATCTGATCTTTGACAAACCTGACAAAAACAAGCAATGAGGAAAGGATTCCCTATTTAATAAATGGTGTTGGGAAAACTGGCTAGCCATATGTAGAAAACTGAAACTAGATCCCTTCCTTACACCTTATACAAAAATTAACTCAAGATGGATTAAAGACTTAAACCTAAGACCTAAAACCATAAAAACCCTAGAAGAAAACCTAGCCAATACCATTCAGGACATTGGCATGGGCAAAGACTTCATGACTGAAACACCGAAAGCAATGACATCAAATGGCAAAACGGACAAATGGGATCTGATTAAACTAAAGAGCTTTTGCACAGCAATAGAAACTATCATCAGCGTGAACAGCCAACCTACAGAATGGGAGAAAATTTTTGCAATCTATCCATCTGACAAAGGGCTAATATCCAGAATCTACAAAGAACTTAAACAGATTTACAAGAAAAAAACAACCCCATCAAAAAGTGGGCAAAGGATATGAACAGACACTTCTCAAAAGAAGACATTTATGCAACCAACAAACATATGAAACAGAGCTCATCATCACTGGTCATTAGAGAAATGCAAATCAAAACCACAATGAGATACCATCTCATGCCAGTTAGAATGGCAATCATTAAACAGTCAGGAACAACAGATGCTGGAGAGGATGTGGAGAAATAGGAACGTTTTTACACTGTTGGTGGGAGTGTAAATTAGTTCAACCATTGTGGAAGACAGTGTGGCGATTCCTCAAGGATCTAGAACTAGAAATACCATTTGACCCAGCAATCTCATTACTGGGTATATACCCAAAGGACTATAAATCATTATACTATAAAGACACATGCAAACGTTATGTTTATTGTGGCACTGTTCACAATAGCAAAGACTTGGAACCAACCCAAATGCCCATCAATGATAGGCTGGATAAAGAAAATGTGGCACATATACACCATGGAATACTATGCATCCATAAAAAAGGATGAGTTCCTGTCCTTTGCAGGGACATGGATGATGCTGGAAACCAACATTCTCAGCAAACTAACACAAGAACAGAAAACCCAAACTTGCATGTTCTCACTCATAAGTGGGAGTTGAACAATGAGAACACATGTACACAGGGATGGGAACATCACACACTAGGGCCTGTCAGGGGTTGGGGGCCCAGGGGAGGGATAGCATTAGGAAAAATATCTAACGTAGATGATGGGTTGAATGGGTGCAGCAAACCACCCTGGCACATGTATACCTATGTAACAAACCTGCACATTCTGCACATGTACTTCAGAACTTAAAGTATAATAATAATAATAAAAACAATTGCCATTATGTTAAACTTCAGATTAGAGCAAACCTTTTGCAGCTAACATTTAGCTCCCAGAAAGTAATGCTTTTACTTAGACAAGCTGCCAGGACTAAACTCTAACAGCATAAATATGTCACTAAAATAAAAACTTTTCAATAGACAAACACTGTAAGGATTACCTGGTTTAAGTTTCCAAGTGTAAATTCAATTTGAAATGATATAGTTAAAAATCTCTGTGGTCTTAAGGAATTTTTTTAAACTTCTACAAAGAGAATGAACAGTTACAGCTTCTACTCACTGATCTGGGTCTTCAGAAACACATCAATACACATAGTACATAAGAACCAGCTGTAAGAGTTTTTTTTGTCAATACAAAGCAAGGTCACTGCATTATAGAAAGACTCAGCACTCTGTTTATTTCACTTCCATAAAGGGATTGTTCAAGGGCAGATTCTAAAAGAATAATTCTGAGAAGCATTGAAACCCCTGGAAAAACAGACAGCTTTAGTAAAACCCTGAATATCTATTGGGATATTCTTGGATTGCATTGTAAATAGAAGCAAAGAGTATATTTAAATAAAATTGTTTGCATTTATCTTTATATATTTTAAACTAAATGCCTTTACTCCTTATTTCAAAGCAATGGAAAGGAACATAAATACCAAGAAAATAATAAATTAATAGCAATTATGGTGACTCACTCTGGAAAATCAAGATAAATAAGAAAAACTTACAACAATTAAATGCTGACAAAATTGTAATTGTAATGAGGGCCTGCCCCATGCTAGACACTGTAGGTTGCTGAGATTACTGTTAATGCTTCCCAAATACTGTATTTTCTGTACACAGGCCACATTAATGATAGGGAACAAGGCCGGACGAGGGTGAAACTAGTGAGGTGTTTAATTTGGGCACCAAATTTAAGGAGGCACATGCACACAAAAATCCCCTTAGTAATCCAAACAAACAATATTTTAATGAAATATTTTTAAAATCAAAAAGCAGAAAATCCATGATGAACAAAATATTGAAATTTTAATAAATGTCTGTCAGAAATCATATACCAAATACTACTTGGTTCAAGTGGAAATGATAAAAGCAATTTCACATCTAAAAATGTTTTCAGAGTGAAAAGAAGATAAACCTTTTCAGTAGAATGTCTTGTTTCTTTTAATACTTTCAGATTTTCCTTAACGAATACTCTCTTGAGAACATAATGGGAAAACAACATCCAGAATCTTTCCACTTCGTCCCTCACTAAGAGACTTAAAAAAAAAAAAAATCATGTGTAAGACACAGGGATCTTTAGGAGACAGTCATTATGGAAAGACAGTGCATTAGTATTTACAAAGCAAATCTCATTATATATGATAGACGGTTAGAACCAGAAAAAAAATTTTAAAAAGAAAAATATCATGACAATACTCCTTTAGAAACATACTTAATATTTGGCTAACCTCCTGTTTTCCTGTTTTTTCCATTGTCTAGATGTTTCAACTGATTTTTCTAAGCCTTTTACAAACAATCTTTTAGAAAGCCAACATTCAAGCAACTCTAAGAGGCCTTGAGGAAATAAGATGAAACATTCATAAAAAACAAAAACAAGAGCACTAAAGAGAAAAAAAGAATAACCTTGATAACCAGCCAATGTTCTAGGAAATTTTCTTTGGAACACTGAAACAAGATCTAGCTGTAACATAATAAATTGTAATAAGGTAAAGAAGGTAGCTGCCTCACAGCTGTAACACGGCAAGTTAGTAACCAGGAAATTCTAATATTTAATGACTAAAGATAGGTTTGTTTAAGCCTAGATTGCATTTTGTGAATGAAAATAAATACTTCTAAATTAATGGCTTTCTGATCATGTGTAACATTAAAATATTTTATATCCATTCATATTAAATGTCATAAGATTTAAAAAAACCTAATAATATTTTTAAACAAAATGAAAGAATACATGGATTATGACCTTATATAATCACATGCATCCCAAAACCTTTAACTTCCGAGTGGTTCTAGAATTTAGAACCCACAAAATTCTCATCCCAATTGGCGGGAAAGATTATTGAAATTGCTGATCCTAAGTCCCACACTAAGATTTTCTAAATCATTATCTCTAGGATTAGCACCTCATAAATGGCACTTTTAGGAAAAAACCCCTGTGATACTTACATGTTTGTCCAAGTTTGAGAACCACTGCTTAATATAGAATTTTAACCCAGGCTTTTAGAAATAGGCATGAAGAAAATAGCTCCTGGGATGGATTTTGAGGTTTAGTGCTATAGAAACGGTCAGCTACAAAGCATTATATAGGATATATAATCTCTTCTGGTTCAGTCTTATTACTGATGGTAATTACAATAGATTTCTTGGGATGCATAATTGGCCATTACTGTAGAAAAAAATTTAAAAGTATGTTTTGATGCCTTTATTGTCTTGATCTTAAACTGTCTAACCAATGATCATAGAATTTTTGGTTTTGTCTTTTAAAAATATTTCTGTGTCCTAGATTATGAGACACTATAATTACCAACTTTTCTATTTATATATACACATTTATATATCTAATGATTTTACTTGCTGTGTTTAAAAATCCTGGTTATGATTATATTAAACAATACAAAGTCACTGGGACACTCACTCTATTGTTTTCAAGTCTAGTATTCCAGGGTCTTTGGATTCTCTGGCCCTCCATTACTACGGCAGCAGGGTTGTTCTGACATCATGAAGATCCTCTGATACACATCTCCTACTGCTTCAGGGACAAACTGGTAGAGGCAGGCAGGCCCACTTTCAGCCAATCAAAGAAGAAACCCCCAAACTCTGAAGGGATGTGGGGAAGAGAAGAGAAAACAGCTTGCCTAAAAGAAGAGGTTGGGTTGACAATGTATCTTGATGGTCAGCGGGAAATAGAAGGAAACCTGAATTTGTAGTAAGACAAACATCACAGATTATTGAATATTACAGCTGGAACAGATTTGAGGGAACAAATAAATAAGGCCTTTCATTTTACCAATGAAGAAGTAAATACAAGAAGAGGTTAAGTAGATTGCTAAGTCCTTTAAAGGAAAGAATCTCATAGGTCACCACACTAACACTTGTTTATCATGGTTTCCATGAAGTTGCTTTAACTTATAATGGAGTATGGAGTATAAGCTTTTCCTTTGTAGCAGTTATGCTTTATAGGAAATGCTTGGTTGATGCTGGGGGAGCAGAAGGTAAGGAGAATGAAAGAAATCACTGCAAATATTTCCAAACTCCATTGCTTTTTTGTAAATCAACAATTAGTTTTAAAATCACCTGGAATCCTTCTACCTCAAATAATCTAGTTAGTCCAATGTGCTTTCAAACTACCTACTTAAATAGAAGACTCTACTCAACATGATCTTAGATATTAGAAAAGGGAATAGAGGTAAGTATGGATGACCCACGGTGGCTTCCTTTGATCAGAATACTTCTTTTCATTTGCTAATTCATAGCCAAGAAGTGGAGACCAGGTTTACTTTCATTACGGATTCCTGCAAATGGGCATAATGCCTTCTGACATTTAACTTGTATGACCAAAATCCCATATAGTGTTATATAGGATTTGTGTATAAAGAAGCTCACATTTCAATGAAATGCTGAATTCTAAACTATTACAGCAATATCATGATACCTCGATTTTCTAACAACCACATGCAGGAATTGCAAATGTATTCATTACTTGTGGCCCTGAAGTGGACACTCATATTGGTAGATACCAAGAACACAAGATAGTACATCATGTCTGATTTTTCAAAAGAAAAGCAGCCAAAGAGAAATGGCCAAAAAGGTAAGAGGCTTTCATTTGAAAGTGTGTGTGTGAGTGTGGGGTGTGTGTGTGTGTGTGTGTGTGTGTGGTTAGTAGAAGACGAAAAAAGACAAAATAGGGCGGGAATATAGACAGCGGAGGAAAATTGTGTCTAAACACCACTATAATTAACTTATTTTTTGTTCAGGAATCATTATGGCAATAAAAATAGAAGGACAAATGGGGGCCCAGCTATCTTTACTTCTTGTCATAAAGGTTTTGGGGCACCATCTAAGCATCCCAGTAAATGGGTCTTAAGTTTCTTTCTACAAAATCTGCATAGTTTGAAACCATCATCACATTTATTTCACTATCAAAGAAATTCTTCGATTATCATTTTTCCTGTCCTCTTTTCAAGATTATACATTTCCATCAAATAATCTATCTATTTTGGGAGGCTGTCCTTAAAAATGGGTCAAAAGGTAAAAGATAATCAACATTCAAGTCATAGTGCCACAGGAGGAAAAAGTAAGGTAATGAATGGTTTACCAGCTTTTTCTGTGTTTTACTGCTATTGTAAAAATAATGATGTCCCAATTAATATAATCAGTGAATATGGATGCTACAACAAGATGAATAATACCTTATTTCATAGATGACCGGGGTTAACTAATGGTCCTTGTTCAGAAAGTCCAGATTTAATAGCCTGTAGAAGTAGAGTACAGTTTTTCTATCTATGAATTGTACTTTTTGTAGAAATCTGTCAGCTTTACTCAGCAGCTATCTCTACCTAAAGGCATATCTGTTCTGGATTAAATGTCAGTCCTCTCTTCTCTTCTTCCTGCTTTTCTATGGGTACAGAAATAGTTTATAGAAAATGAAAAGTTATTTTTGGGTCTAGGGATATTAACTTGGATTTTGAATTTTGGAAATTCTTGTTAGAATTTTTTAAGTGAACAGATACACATCTGCTTACCGCTTAGTATAAATCTAATTATAATCAAACTCATAAAATAATGTTAGAAAAACTAATATACAAAAGCAAATTTTCAAGGTACTGTAATATATTTGCCATAAGAGCCTTTTGCTGGTAATTGGAAGATTCAGCTTTACTTCACTGTTTAATCACCCACAAAACTGTTTATTGCCCTATATATTCCTCCAACAAGAACATTATGCTCTTAACGTGGCCCTCGGAGAACCAGGGAATACAGCAGGGTTACAGCACGTTCTATTTTTTTTTTCAAATATTACATTTGAAATTAAATTCAAAAGACAAATTTTAATCTGACCGTCAGGCTCTGATAACACATACTCCAATTAGTACATGCTTGAACTGAAAGAGGTTATTATTTGATGCAGAATGATACAGGCAATGGATTAAGGCATAAATAACAATATCTGCAACATAAGCTATGGGTCTAAAATATTAACTTTTAATTACATATGGTCAATCCTCAGTTTAGACCATAAAACTATAGTTTTTAAAGAAACTGTTAAATATTTTGTTCATAAATATGTTTACTGCATGTTTGTATATATTCATTTAGGTATATTTAGTTTTCTTTCTAAAGCTTTTAAATAAATACAACAATTACAAACTACTACTTTTTTATTCAAAAGTAACTTTCTTCACAATCATTAGAAAAATAAAACTAGCTGCCATTAGTAATTTCTAGACAAAAATAGAGAAAAGTTAACAGACTGGTTATTTAAAATACTGTTTAAAATACTTTTTAAAACTTAAGTACTTATTTGCAATTGTAGTTATGTAGTTCTACACCTGTAGTTTAAGTTTTTACACAGATATGCATATTGTGTGATAGCCACAATCTAAATATAGCATCACGTATTTATAGAGCACCTAATGTGTGCTGAGCACTGTACAAGGCATAGGGATACAGAGATTTAAAAAATGTCTCTTCTCTGAATGAGCTTTAGCGTATAGTGGTGTGAAAGATATTTAAACAGATCCTTACAGTGTTCTATGTAAGGCTATAGTGGAGTTGTTAAAAGGTGTAGCGGAACTGAGGAGAAGAAGATGGGTCTTAGAAGAGAAGCGGAAGTTTGCTGGGTTGATAAGACTGGGACAAGCATACCTGGTAGGTGCTGTAGGAAACAACATCAGGTGCTACAGCCTGGAGGGATTAGAGGCCATGCAAAAGATTTGGTTGAATAAGCACTAGTACTGTAGTTTGGTATTTCTGGAGCAAGAATGGAAAAGACACAGAAGGAGAGAATATCTGGAAGTATTCTATATTGCCATTTTAAAGGAGGTCATTCATGCTATAGGTTATGAGGAGCCATTTAACAAACTTTATGCAAAAAAGATGTGGTAAGATTTGCATGTAAGATAACCTTATTAGCAGCTTTGTGGATGACAGATTTAACAGCACAGTTAAAGGCAAGAAGACTACTGAAGGGACCACTGTTAAAATCTAGACTAGAAATGATGAACGCGTGAATTAGGATAGCAGATGTGGAGATAAGAAGGAAGATGCAGACATGAGACATATTTAGGAGGTGGAAAACAAATAGTCTGCTCTGATTAATCAGATGGTACATGAGGAAAAGAGAGAAGCCACCAGTGATGCCCAGGTTCTGTTCTGGCTCATGGAGAATAAAGAGGTTTGTCTTTAGAGACAAAGCAGAAATAGGCTAGTGGCTGGAGTAGAAGGAGGTGCAGTTACATCCATTCTGAGTAAGCTCTAGATCCCTATATTTACAAGTGATGATATTTAGTAGGCAGTGGAATGTAGCATATATATTTTGAAGCCCAGATGGAAGATATAGGATGGAAATAGTGTTTGTGCCTCAGCTGCTTAAAATGTTATTTTGAACCCATGGCTAGAGTATACTGCAGAGTCTGAATAGTCAGGAAAGAAGTAGGCCAAGCACCGAACCCTGAGAATGACTGATTCTGGAATGGGCAGGCCATAAAGAATATTAGATAGGTTCATGTCAGGGAAATAAACCTTACAAAACTTTAAAATTATACTCATGCGTACATTTCTATTCTACATGCCAACTGTTAATTTAAGTTACAGGACTTGTTTTGATTACTGCCTTTATATAGAAAATTGTTAAGAAAGATGATCTTAAATACTGAGAGTTTTAAAAATTATCCTTTCCAATGAAAGATACTGGCTTGCACTTAGCTTTCAGTTATGGCTAATGAAGAGAGGATTTCAGGCTGTGGAAAGGGAACCCACTCAGTAAGGGTTTGATCTCTTCCTGTAGCCTTTCTTCTTCCATTTTTTAAGAGAATGGTTTATACATTTTATTTGTATGTATTTATACATATTTATTGTATTTACTATGTGCCAGGGAGTGTCTGAGGCACTATATGCAGTATGTAATGAAAGATACTGAAATTCCTGCCCTGGGGAGCTTAAATTCAAGTGGGTCAGATAAATAACAAACCAAATAAATAAGTTAAATGATATAGCATGTTAGTTAGATTGAAATACGCGTAATGGAGAAAAATAAAGTCAGAAAGAGGCATAGGGAGGGAATCCAGTGTTGGAGGCAAGGGGTGAAATCAGGGCTGGCTTCACGGGTGTGCAATCTGGGGAGTCACTGAGGGAACCACATCCAGAAGGGCTTCGTATTTGGTTTAATACTCACCATCACCATCTAGAGCTTAATAATTTTTTAACAAGCTATTCTGCATTTTCATTTTGCACTGTACCCCTCAAATGATGCAGTTGACTCTGGTTGTAATTTTAAATACGGTGGGCGAGGGAGGCCTGTATGTGATGTCTTTTATTTGGATCACCAGATACGCTCTCCACATTTCTCTTGAACTCTTTGTCCCAGGAGGTTATGTGGATTGTAGTAGTGGGCTCCTTTGCCCTCTGGCTTCCGATTTGGTACACATAATGAGGATCCCCAGTTGAAGTTCAAAGGTCACTGCTTTTCTCAAGGGAGGCCTGTCTACCCATATCTCATATACCGGGTTCTATAAGTGCTCCCAGCCCTTGTCCAGCAGTGGTAACAGCTCTGCTTTATCAGGCCTGGGATATGCATATCCTTCCTAGACTCCCTCTGCTCCCTGCCCATACCTTTGTTAAATCTTTCTTAAATTTTTCTACTTTGAGTTTGTCATCTGTGTTTTGTCAGCACTCTGACGGAAAAAACCTCATTAGGAAGGCAGCACTGGAGTAGACTCCTGAAAGTGGGGAGGGGAAGCCATGCAGCTGTTTGGAGGAAGAGAATTTCAGGCACTGGAAATAGCCGAGGGGAAGGTGGTAGAAGGAAGTGGGATTGGGAATTCTTGGGTAGAAGTAGGAGTGATGTAGTAAATGAGTTCAGTTTCATTCATTTAAAGCTTGAAATTTCTACTAACCACCAAGTAAATATGAGATAGGAAGAAAAACTAGAAGAATATGTTGCCCTAGGAGTTAGGGAAGAAAATGTTTCAAGGAGGAAGGAAGGATGGAGCTAGTATGTTAATGTAGCTGAAGGTCAAATAAGATGAGGATGAAGAATGGATAAGTGAAGTTAGCCTCTTGGAGTCATTATTAACACTGAGAAGACTGGTTTCTGTACAGTGATGTGGGTGAAAATCTGACTGGAGTGGACTTAAGAGAATGGGAGGAGAAAAAACACCAGTTGTGAGTAAAGACAACTTTTTGAAGGAGTTTCACAGTGAAGAAAAGGAGAGAAATAGGAAGTCACTGGAGGCAGAAGCAGAGAGACAGAGATTTTAAAAAATATATAGGATAACAAACAGCACGTTAGTATGCTATTGGAAAAGATCTTATAGACAGGATAATATTGATGACTCAGGAGAGAGCATAAGAATTGCTAAAGCCATGTCCTTGTAGGTGAAAGGGGATGAGTCTAGTAAATAAGTAGAGTGCAGGCCTGGCTATGAGCAAGAAGAGGTCTCAGGGCATGTGACATTGAGCTATTTAGCAGATAATAATCAATCAATATTGACTTTCAGTCTTCCTACAGTACAATCTTCCAATACTTTGTGAGCAGTTAGGACGTTAGTATATAATCAAGATCTTGGAGTTTAACTCACTGTTTTGTCACTGATGAGCTCCAAGACCCCAGACAAAAACATCCAACCTTTGTGAGACTTAGTTTGCCTTTAATTATAAAACGTAGTAACTACTGGTCATTGCAGTGCCTGGAAAATTAATGAGTTATATAAGTAAACCTCCCCAGGTGCCAAATCTCTCTGACATTGCTGCTACAGAACTTCATGGAGAGAAAAAAATGAAAAGTGCTTATAGACAGAGACGTCTAGAAATGACCAGTGGAGATCTTTTCACAGTCTGTTACCCGATTTTGTTAACCTTAAATTTCCTCCAGATGAAAGGTATTTAGTCTCTATGCCTTAATACTCACTGTAATTTTCATTTCTGAGAAAACTGTTTTGTATAAATGCACGTTTAGTATTCTACTTGCCATTATTTCCATGAGAATCTTGCATGTGACACTTGACCACAGATTCATCATCCTTGGAGACACAGCTCAAATGTCACTGCCACTGGAAGACATTCCTGAGTCACCCCCAGGGAGAACATCTCCTTCTTGTTCCTATTGTACTCTGTTCATACCTGTGCTATGACACTGAACAGGCTGCCTTGTAACGATCTGTTTACATTTCTATCTCTTCCAGACCATGAGCACCTTATCTTACCTTCCTCTGAGTCCTCAGTGACTTGCACAAAGTAGATGTGAGATAAACATTTGCCGAATGAATGAATTTAAATATAAATTTCTGAAAGGAGGCTGGTCAAATAAAATAGCATGATATGCGAGGAAAGATATGGACTAAATGGATACTAAGGCAGAAGGTTTGTATAAGTGTTCATGAGAAAAGGAGGTTCATGATGCATATTCTTATTAATTCTAAGTATTTTATAAAGAGGCCCTATTTTCAAAAATGGCTATGGTAAAAAGAGTCAGGGAACACATTCTTGACTAGGCTTTAATATTAAAAACAGATTTTGGAGCTGCTTTATTTCCTTTCTTGGTAACATGTATGTACAGACAGACTTAGGGATTTACTTGTTTCCTTAAGAAAGTATATACATGCCCTTGTTCAACTTTTATTTCTAGGGGAACCCTGACATCAATGAACTACTGAAGTTATAGCTTCAATAATTTCAAATAAGAGAGGATACAAATGAATTGAGTTTATGTTGTGTGAATTTTCAGAATTGAACTTCCTGGCAGAAGCAAAGTTGCTTATTATTATTAGATTCATTCTTTCCCAACCCAGTTACTCCTTTTACCCCTGCTGTGAGGTCTCTGTCTTTGAATTCTTTATTAAGCTTTTTAACAGACAATCTGCTCCAGCACTTTCTGAGGAGAAAAAAAGCTTCCTTTTCTCCCCACAATGCCAGTTAAGCCTTCCATTTAATATGAAATCAAGTGGAGACATCTGTGCTTTGTCATCACAAAAGAAAACCGTTTTATTTTTCTAATTATTATCTACTTATCAGCCTTGGGTTGAGAATTCACTTGCTTTTGTGCCACCTTGAGAATTCAGTCTCAATTCTCCACGTCCAGGCCTAAGATAGTATCATTCCCTTTCTATTAGTGTTTATCTGCATCTGCCTTAGAGAAGTTGTTTACATCCAATATTGGACTACCCTTCACATTAAGTTTAAATTGGAAACTTCTTTTTCTAATAGAGATAATCTGTATAGTGTTCAGGAAACTACAATAATTCAGCAATAGATGAAAATGTTTTAAAACTGTGAAGGGCTCTGAAGCTGATGTTTTCCATTATCAGTTGTTTGTTTAGGTAAATTACATTAAAGGTCAGAAATGAAATGCCCATACCAACAACTAGACTGAGAAGTGGTCTATTACTCACTGCTTTCAGCTTATATAAAAGAGTTTTTGTTGTCCCCAACTCCCAGGAGGGCAACTGCTGGGAAGGAATGAAGTTCCTAGAAGATACCAATCCATATTGAAAGGGAGCAACGTGTTGGTTACGTTTTCCTTCCAACATATCACAGAATTGAATCTTTTTTGGTCTGTGCTTTCTTTTTGTTCTACAATATATTTATTTCAAAATCTCTCATAGCACTTCAATACCTGGAATATCTCAAAAGGTTTGCTGACTATTGTTAACAGCTCTGACTAAACACCTATTTCTTACTACAAGTGTAGAACGCCAGATAGGATCATCACAGTAGGCACCTCACAAAGGTCATGCAGACCTTAGAGGAAATTATGGCCCAACAAGCCACAGGAGCCAGAGAAGTCAAACCAGATGTATAAGTGACATAAGTGGGTTGGAGAATAGAGAAAGCAAACATTGCAATGCAGCGATATCAGGTGAATTTGAAAAGCATCTGCTACCAAATACAGGGCTTGCTGATGAGTAAGGGAGAATGAGAGCTGTTGGTGTATCAGAGCAGTTCTTCCTATGGATGGCTGAGATTCAAAGCTGGTCCACCTTTCAGCCAGTCAAACTTTAAACTTTTGGTGGCAGCAAACATCTCTAACATAGTGGGATTCCAGAAGGGGACTAAGTGGTTTCTCAGTCTGTAGAATATGAGCACTCCACTAGAAAAACAAATGGGAAATAATGACTTCTTGACGATGGGGATGGTAAAAAACGAAAATATAGCCATTCCTCTTTATCTACCTCACATCAAGCCCTGCTGACTGTTTAGCAAACAAAGCTTTCCAATGATCAATGATGTCCTTTCCATGACAGAAGAATCTTGAACTCATCAACCTAGATTCGATATAGTACTAGGGTGGAATTAATGCCATCTCTATTTAGGCTGGTTATAAGAAATCAAGAACACTATGCTGAAGTCCTTCCTAATGATCTCCAAAAGTAAACATATTCTACAGGAAGGATTCACAGTGTCATAAAATTGAAGTAGATATGCATCAATCAAGTACCTCTCAGGAGATTTTAAATTTTTATGAAAATAACCATTTATACTTATCAGATGCTTACTGTAGGCTGGGAACTTACTATGTGTAAAGGCTAACCTCATTGACATGTATTGTCTAATGTAATCCTTACAACTATCTTGTGAAGCAAATATGATTACAAATCCAATTTCACAGATGAGGAACCTGAGGCTTAAAGAGTTTAAACAAACACTTAGCTGTTAATTGGCAGCTTGAGCCCTTAACATCTATGCCATGCTGAGTATAAATCACAGCTTATTCATTTCTCTAACTTCTGACCTCTAGTGTCATCATGACAATTGTCAGGTCTACATAACATACCTTAAATGTTCTGTTTGTACCAAAGCTAAACACTGCCAGCATAGCTCCCTGGTCAACACGGGGTCCGTACCTCTGCCCCTGTCCCACTCCTAGCTTCTACCTAGACTGGGGTCCTAAAAGCAGATAATGCTTTGAATTCTTTCTCTAACAGCCATCATCCCTTCCTTTCCAAAGAATCACGGAACTTGGCAAATATTTTAACAGCTATTTTAAGGCATTTAAAAGATTTAATTGCAACTTATTACATTTGCCTCCTAATGTATTTCCAAATTTTATTTCTCCCAAAAGTTATATAAAATAACTTCTTAGAGGTTTTATCTGGGAAAGAGACTTCTGGTAAATGTATCACTTTTTTTTTTTCCCCATCGGCAAGGTGCTTCAGAGTGCTCAAAAATGTATAAAATACTTGAATTATAACTACAAAATTTTAAATTTCTAAAATTGTGGGTCCACAAAAACTATAAATCCTAATCAATCAATCTATGTAAGAAAACAAGCTTATGGCCTTCATGGTAAGACCACTACTGGCTGCAAAATGGCACGTTCTGTGTATAACGAACATGTTCATTTGAAGAGCTTATCACATTGCCTGAACATCAACTCCCGTCTAGGCCTGCCTCGGTGTCATTCTCCAAGTCACCTTTGCTTCAAAATCTTGTATTTATCCTTCACTCTTTTGTATCCTTCTTGACCTCTTCACAAGCACCAAATATTATTTTTTCTTTAAGTAGCTTTGTCTGGGAGGGCAGAGGTCAGAGGCAGGCTGCTAGGAATGGACTAGTGAAATCCTATGGAGGTTTCTAAGGAAATCTTATCTGCTGAACTGAGTTAATGTCCACTTGTATTTTGGACACATGCCCAGAAGCTAGTGGATAGCAGGGTCTTTTATAAGCAATACAATTCCCAAAAACCGAAAGCAAAAAATAAAAGATAATGTTCGGAGAGCAAGAGCAAGGGCAACCATAAACATATACTCCACCCTGCATTTGTTTTTGAAAGCATTTCTCCCATTTCCTATTATTATTAATCAGGATTTGTTTAAAGTTTAATTTTAACCATTCTCTTTTCCTGTAACACTATATGTAATAAAACCATCCTTTGAGCTGGGGAATAGCTCCATGGTAACAGATTCTCAAACATCAGCACAGGATGGAGCTTTTAGTGTGTGATCACAGTTCAGCAAAGGAGGAGGAGGAGGAAAATGAAGAAATCCACATTGGGTTTCTTTCCTTCTTTGGGATAACATCCTGAGAAAAAGAAATCAGAAATCTTGAGAGGTTACTGAGAGTGGGGGAAGGAAAATGGAGTCAAGTGATAGAACAAGCTTAACATTTCAATATGCTAGTTATGGAATTTCCTTTGTTTTAGCTTCCTGAAGAAATGAAAAATACACTTCCTATTCAATGGAGAAGAAAATAACTTTCAACCCTGACGACACACTTTCCGGCATATACTGAATTTGATTCATTCATTCACTTATTCAGCATTCATTGAGTGCCTACTCTGAGCAAGCAAAGCCCTACGGTGGGCAGTGTACTAGGGTCCAGGTTCATTAGTTTTTAATAGGATAAATCTTTGTGAAAGAGTGTTATATACACAACAAATTAAATGTTTCCATCTCAAATATCTGGCTATACTAGAAGCCAGACATCAAAATCCCACCTGAACACTACTAAATGGGAAGGTCTTTTATACACTTTTCTAATAGTTACCATATAACACTGACAAACCACTTAAATCTTTATAAAAACTTCATAATTTGCCTGCCAAGTTCAGCCAAACCTCACAAATTGGAGTAACTTGATTTAAAGCAGGGCAATAGTAAATTAGGGAAGTATTTCAAATAAGGGCCATTTTAAACTATCATCATTGTTGTTGGACAGAAATCCTCCTTAAAGAAAACTGCGAATATTTTATATATGGAGCTTAGATTGTCTGTAGGTATATGGGTGCTTCTAAAGTGCTTAAGGGTGTTTAATATAATTTGTTCTTCCAATCTTGCTTGCACTATTAATTTGGTTAATGGGTTAGTAATCCTTTCTTTATAGATAGCAGGACAGTAAACTTCAGCCCAGCTCTTTGCTAAATTATTACACTCTCTGAACAAATGGGGTGCAGATTAATGACGTTTTACTCAAAGGCTTTAATTCACAGAAGCCTTAAATGAAGCGATACATCCTTGTTTCCATTTAATGAAAATAATAAAGAAATGAAAACTGACTTGAATACAAGGTAACAGAACTGGATAACTACCTGCCAACATTGAAATCATCTTCAAAGTATGCCTTCTGGCAAATGAAAGGGCTCTGACCACCTACTGACAATGCCAACTATATAACCACTTAAAGATGAACAAAAAAAGTACTTACAATCCTTTCTTGGGTGCAGTGAGTCTCACAATATGTCATAAATACATAAAATCATATGGCACATTAACAATAAACTAAAGGGGTTTTCTGATTTTCAAGTTTTTAAATTCATTTAATCATAAAGCAATATATGAGTCCCCCCACTCAAAAAAGGCAAATATTCCTATTTGCACTATTCAGCCAAAAATAAAGTGAATAGATGAAAGAATATCATCACATGTAATATTGTCTACATCAGTATATCACGATTGAGCTTTTAAATAACTCACTGGTATTAAGAATTCTCTGTGTAAGGCACAATTAATATCAACAAATCCTGTATTAAAAAATTGTGAACCTGACAAGTCAACAAACATTTTGAAATATTTGCTCATAAGGTAGCACCTAATTATAATAAAAATCCAAATGTAGGATAATGAATATGTCAATGAAAGAGAATTATGACTTCAAAGTGGGAAAAAGAATATGTAGCTCCTTTTTTGTTACTAAATTACTCAGGGAGAAAATGTTAGTATTTAAGTGCAGCATCATTACTCCTGAAAGAATTACTCATAAATCCATCAAGCTCAAAATAAATGCTACTATTATTCTTTTACTTCTAATCTTCTAGCCAACCAAGATGTTATTAAAAACATTAAAAACTAGTTAATGTCTTTGTGGTTTCTTGTATTGATCGAAGATGATGAAGGGAAGAGCTACTGGAAACTATACCGATCCAGTAACAGGCTTGAACTTGAATCCCAAACCTCAATTTTTACATCTATAAAATGAAGAAATACTGCTGACCTAGACATTTTGCCGCTATATTCTTATTCAGCAATCTGAAAAGAAAAGCTTAATTAACCTGTAGAATAGATAGCAAAATCAAGATAAAAGATATCTTGTAGATTTGAAGAGTACACATCTACTATGTAAAAGCAGGTAGGATAAGAGGAACAGTTTTCATTTCTCCTCATAAAATATTCTATGCCTATAATAAATTAGATTGCTAAGGTTAATGGTGAATAGAAGTTTCCAACCATAAACATTATCATAGGAAATTAAATACTCACAGAGGAAAGTTATAGACATATTTATATCCCAGAAGAGAAGACAAGATTACTAATGAGATTCCAAGTTTGCAAAAATTGTGGCTGGGCTGAAGAAGTTATCATGACTCTCAAGATATGCCCATTAAATATCATATTGGGGGGACACAGTATGGACTGAAGAGAATCATCAATGTTTTCAAAATTTTTTTTTCTTCGATATGACATTACCACAACCACTTTCTATTTAGGATTCTATATTCAGTACTCAGTATTTTGTCTATGGTTAGGGTATGCTGCTAGTAGATGGAGTAATGGCTAGGTCATAACTACTGGAAATCATTCACTCATTTGAGAAATCTTAAAATTTCTTTTATTTTTAATTTACATCTAAACATTGTGCAGTGCGCTGTCTGTTTAGATACATCTATACATTGTGAAATGATCAAATTGGGGTAATTAGCTTATCAATAACCTCAAACACTTAGCTTTTAATACTTTATTTACTATAATAGCCATCTATTTATTAAATAGAAATTTAACACGTCTTTTTTAAAGTAGGCTAGTATTTCCATTAGATTTTTAAAAACTGTTTTTGCTAGTGCTGTAGTTACAAAGCTGTGTAAGTTTTGAGTGGTGTGCCTCATCCTATTTTTTAAAAATATACTTGATTTGCAGTGTGTGGTTGTGCACATTGTGGGTGTTTTCAGGACCACATATAGCATGTTACAGCAGAAATTCCGTATCATGTGGCTATAATTTATTGACCACGTAATTATTAGTTCTAATGATTTAATTAAATATAATTTGTTGTGACTGTATTGGTTATTGAGTTATCTACAAATAGAATAAATTACACATTTCCAAATAACATAGGAGAGATTTATTTAAATAGTTTAATTGGTGAAATACAATCTAAAGATAGACTATTTCTGACTAATTTCTGGCTCTTAATAAACTTGTATTTGACTCCAATCTGGAAAGGCTTTAACTTGTCAAAAATTAAACAGTAAATGTGGCCGGGCGCAGTGGCTCAGGCCTGTAATCCCAGCACTTTGGGAGTCTAAGGCAGGCAGATCACTTGAGGTCAGGAGTCGAAGACCAACTTGGCCCACATGGCGAAGTCCCGTCTCTACTAAAAAATGCATATATTAGCCGGGCGTGGTGATGCGCGCTTGTAATCCCAGTTACTTGGGAGGCTGAGGCAGGAGAATCGCTTGAACCCAGGAGGCCGTAAGCCGAGATCGTACCACTGCACTCCAGCCTGTGTGACAGTGTGAGACTTCATTTAAAAAAAAAAAAAAAAAAAAAAAAAGATTTTTCATTTCTTATTTGGGAATAGGAAATTTTCATGGTGGGAGTCAGGGGAAGAAATAAAATCACATTAATTTGCCATTTTTAATCCTTTTTGAATGGTTTCCTTTATGAAAACTGAGAATTTACATTTGTCCTAACTTTTTATTTCATTAAGAGAAAATGCTTAATATCTTGCTTTTTGGTCTCTCTACACAGAAGGCAGAAACGTAACTGATTAGAGATTCTGATGAATTCAGAGCAGTTGTAATCAGAAACTTCAGGCAATTAAGTATTCAAGGGTGGAACCTAATGTTTGGGTTCCCAGGGCTTCTGAGGAAACTTACAGCAATTTTCATGCTTAATTGGGCCATTGGATCCTGTCTGCGTGAGGGGAGAAAAACAAGGTCCTCCTTGTTTGGCATTTAAAATGACTTCATTAATGATTACGTGGAAGCATTAACTTCAGAGTCATTACAATGCTATCAGCATTTCCTGTTTTTCTTGTTCTAGTATTTATTTTGCAAGATGCCAAACTGACCTTTCAGTCTGTCATATAATTTATTTATCCTATTAAGCCATATTGTTGTTGCTTATGAGTTGGACAGACTTGCCCAAAGATAACCTTACCTACAAAAGAACCAGTTTGTGTTTTTGCAAAATGGAAAAGATTGATGACAGACACAAGCAAACAGAACCAGAAAGAGATTTCATGCATGGGAGAAACGATGTTCCTAAACCAAGTTTTTAATTACTTTAATTTACTTTCAGTATGGGTTTAAACTGGTTCATTTTTAAATAATTGATTTTGAATTGATCTGTATACCTTAGGATTTTAACGTTAACTCTCTCCTAGTGTCACTCTCCACCCTTTCCTCAGGCTAAGCTCATCCACTATAACAGTGTCCTTTACCAAACTATTTGCTGATGACTTGCAAATCCACTTCTCCTGCACACATCTCTCTCCTACACTCAGTTATACAAGAACGATACTTAGATATAATCTTGATTCTTCATTCTCTATCTTATGCCTATCAATTAATCATCACATACCATATATTCAGTCTCTACCTCTATTTCCAATGTTATTCTCTTGATGCAAGTCAGCACTAAGCAGGGGAAGGACTGGAACAATCTCAATAGTTTCCTAACTAGTCTTCCTGCTCCCATCAAGCCCTACTAAATCTATGCTTCATGCTACAGCCAGGAGGGTTTTTCTAAAGCACAGAATCCTGGTAATGTCCCTACTTTGTTAAAACCCATTGCTTTTGTCATAAAGCCCCTGGCACGGCACTTAAGACATTTTTTTGGAACTGGTCCTCTGCTTAATCTGTTTATCAGTGATTGAAGAGAATTTTATTGATTGTCTATTATGTGCCAAGCACTGTTCCAGATGCTGGTAATATAGCAGTAAACTAGTGTGCAAAATCCCTGCCCATGAGGTCTGTTAATACAGAAAAGTAGAAAACAGATAAACGCATACTTAAGAGTTTCAGGACTAATAGGTGCTGTAACTAAAACAGATAAGAGAGCTTTACAGAAAGTGACTTGGGATGCTGCTTTAATTCTACAGTGATTGGGGAAGGCCTCCAGGAAGGGGTGACATTTGACTAGATCTAGAATAATCAGCAGAAACGTGAAAAACGGAAAGAAGACCCTGCCTTTAAAGAGCCTGGGACTGGAATGACCTTGATATGTTTGAGGAAGGGAAAAGAAAAGAAAGGAAAAAAAAAAAAAAAAAGAATGACCACAGTAAAGGATATAAGGCTGGAGTGATAAGAAGCGGCCAGATGCACAGGGCTCTGCAGGCCACTATGCAATTTCAGTTCCATTCTGTGCACTATGGGAAGCTAGCTACTGGAGGGTTTTAAGTAGAGAGAGGAGTGACCTGATTTTCACATTAAAAGCTTCCTTCAGCTTTCTTCACTTCCCACTCTCTCCTGATGCTAGGCTTTAGCCATAATGAACTACTTTTGGCCCCACAAATTTCCATACTCTTTCTCCAGGATTGTATACATGTTATTCCTTCAGCTTGGAATATCTTCAATGCCTCCCTCCCGGGCCAGCTTCCGCTTATCCTATGGACCTCTCAGTGCAGACATCACTGCAGGAAGGAAATCTATTCTCCAAGCTGAAATAGACATCCCTCCTTTCTCGTTTTAAGCTTTAGTATCATAGCCCTTATAGCGACATGTTGTGATTGCTTACTTTCCTATCTCTCCCACTGGATCATCAGCTACTTCAAAACCCATGTTGTCTAGTCCGTTCCTGTTTACCCAGCACTAGCTCAGAGCCCTGATGTTTACATATTTACTGAATAAATGAAGGAGTTTTTTAAAAGTAATAATGACTATTGATTGCTTACAGGGTAGAGATGGCTTAATGGAAACATGCACAGAATTAGGTGTGCTTAAATTTTTTGTTAATGAAAATAAACAGAGTATGCTGCTAAAGTCCATGTAAATGTTCTGGTACGTTTTTGCCTGATAGCACAATTTCATATATTCCTCTGGTCCAGTCTTTTGAATACATTTTCATTCTCGCAGCACATTTCTTCTGCTGCTTTTCTAAATTATTTTCTTGAATGCTAGTGCTCTTTCCTTGTTATTTTCGTTACCTGCCTAGAATTGTATTTGTTCTTTCCTGGTCACTTCTTATACTTTATGTCCAGCCTTTTTAGCTCTTAAACATCCACATTCACTTCCATGCCATTTTGCATTCATCTGGCATAACAGGAATGACCTCTTGTACAGAGAACACACATGCTGCTGCTTTATACCACCATTCATTTGCATATAAGCTTTTAATTTAGTAGTCAACTAATTCCTCATTATGCTGGGATTGATTGTCCAGTTAATAAATTATCTAGGTCTCCTCCTTCCTTTTTCTGCTGTCTTTTGGCCACAGCATTTTTGTATTCTGCTAGATAATACGCAGAGAAGAGAGGAAGTAAAATGCAAATTAATCAATTTTGATCATTTTGAGCAGCTCTCATAAGAAGATCTGATGGAAGACAAGGTTGAAATTATTGGCTCAACTGAGAATTATAAGCTGTCTATGGGTGTCATTTATCCATGCTATTCTGATCACCACTTAACATGGATAACTGGAAAGAAAACGAACGGAAGAAGAAAAAAGAAATAAAAGTTAGTGAAAAATAAAAAGAAAGAAAAGAGAGCTAAAAGTAAGATAGACGTTATATGACAATACTGCTGACCCAATAAGTGAGTGAAGTCAGCCCCGGATTTGAATCAATTTCTTCTACTGTATCTCCTGCTGGGGAAACAATCTGAATCTTGGAACAAATAACCACTCATCTGACTGACTTAGCACACCAAGGATGAAAAAACCAACGGGTTGACTATCCGAACTGTTGGGTTTCATAATGGGTCGCCCTTGTTCAAGTAGATAGAAGCCAATGAAGAGTCCCCAGTCCCTATGCATTCATACAAACAGAGATGCCCACATACATACAACAGTAACGATTATGTTACTGATTACAATGGTTTCCTGATCCCAAAGGGACTTAGAGAGTTGAATTCTTTCTTAAAATCTAGAAGATAAACCTAATAGTGCTATAAAATCTCAGGCACTTAAATAAAGCAATAGCAAACTATTTTCTGTAAAGAACTCAGGGGATGGAAGTGCTCATACTTAATTCCCTTACGACGAATGTGAAGCCATGTGCATTTATGCAGGGTCATTCCTGCATAAATTCAATCCTTCATGTGCAATGTGCCCCCCAATATAATGGCACTCATTAGTGAATTACAAACATTTCTGTGAATATATTAAAAGGTTTAAGAGAAATTAGCCTTTGTTTATAATTAGGAAACATCAGTGAAAATGTATTTTATTTCATGAACTTTTCTGAATAAATTAAAATTAACAGTGAAATGCCTTCCCCCTCCCAGTCACACTTCTTCACCTAAGTTCAGACCTTTACATTTCATGCACTGTCTTGTCCCTGTCAAAATCCTTTTGATGTGTTTCATGGCAGTTGATGTTCCTGAAGTTATTTTTATACATACAATACAGCAAACGTTCCTATTGAGCAGATCTGCATCTTCACAGGAAGGTATCGAAGACTGTACTGTGTTCTTATTTGGGCAACTATTACATTAAAGATGTACACAGAAAAGCAAGTGTTCAGTGAAAGAAGTCTTCCTGAAGGCACTGGGTCATTAGGCGGATATAGCGCTCCTGGGACGTCTGACCTTCTATGACATTCTAGGAAGACTTGGGGTTCCTGTGTAGCACATGTCACTTTATGGCAAAAGGAATATCTGTCTGGCAAAATCACCATGTAATTAACATGAACATTGCTCCCACAGAGCTGTGTTGTTCCTGGTGGGATTTACATAGCACTTGCTCTGTGGGGCCTGTGCTGTACTCACAGGGTCTATCAGGGATACTCAGAATTCACCTGCCCAAGGCCTGGGCAGGGGACTGAAATGTTGACAGGAAAAGGGGGAAGACAATGATGGCAATGTCAAGGGAAAATTAACCTTTGGAAGGTTCTGACGGGAAATATCCAGAGTCTCTTCAAAGAAGGGGTTGCTGTTTTAGTGACTTTGCAGCAGAATTATTAGAAGTTGAGGGTGAGACTAGGTCAGGAAAACCACTATGAGACTGCTGGTTTGGACGAGAATCTCACTGAGGAGGATCAAGTCACACGTTAGTGTTGATGCTGTTAGTAAGGGGGATGAGGGAGCTGCCCAGGGCCTTCTTGCTACAGGTTGATGCCTCTAATCAATAAAGCTTTGAGACATAATGAGAAAAAAACAAGGCTCATCTTAACAGGAGAAAGCAGGGCTGAACAAATGAAAAGGACCTTGGCAGTGGAGCTACTGGAGCAGGGTGGTTGAGAGCAGGGACCACCAGACTGCCTGACTCCCAGCTTTGCCACTTTCAGCTGTGTGACCTTGGGCAAGTTACTTAACCTAGCTGGGTCTCAAGTTCCTTATCGGAAAACAAGAAAAATACAATTACCTATCTATCATGCTGGCCATGAAGCTTACATGAGCTAGAATATGTTCACACATAGAATAGTACCTGATACATATTAAATGTTAACTAAACATACGAGGGTAGAGTTACTCAAAGGACTTATCGAAAAACATCAACACAAAACCCAACGAAGACTCCTATAACACAGAATATATGCCAGCTATAATTCTAATGGCTTTACACATATTACAAAGTGTAATCCTCATAAAAACCCTATGAGGTAAGTAATCTTATAACCTCCACTTTACAGATGAGTAACTTGAGACAGATAAAGGTTATACAACCTTGAAGTCTAGGATATGTACCCAGCACTTGGTTACAGAAGATGTGCTCTTAACCACTATGCCAGACTTCCTCTATGGTATTAAAGAGAACTCTTAGTCATGATCTTTTGATATCGCATCCTGGGATCGGGGCTTTCTTTGAGGTCTAACTCAAAGTAGTGAGGAAATCTAGCAGCATATGAAACCCTCCAAAAGCTGCCTGGTCTCTTGAGGGTAATTAGGCCTTAATCATCAGAGTCAAGGGGGAGAGAGTGGTTCTGGAATACTGATGTGGTAGAAAATGGAATAAATCTTCCCAATGCTCCTGAAGTATCCTTCTCACTTGAGACTTCGTGGAGTCTACACATTGAGAATGGTGATCCATGAGCTTCAGGAATTTGGAAACTGTCTATATGGCATGAGGTCCCACATCTGTGGGTAATGCCGAGTACAACCATCGGCCTTCTTGTTCTCAAGGCTCTTCTCTGCTGTCTGGTCAGGAGACTCAGCTCCTGCCTGCTGGACCCCCAAGGACAGCTTCATTACTTTAAGCAGTCACCCAATTTAACCTACGGCTGCTTTAAGAACAGCACTATCCTGCCCAGGGACTCTGTCGTATCATAGCTTACTTTTCCATAGTTTCCACACTATCATCCCTACACTGGCTATGACCAGCTTGGCTACGAGCCCCTTCAATGAGTGTGATGCTGAGGAGTGGGCAAATCCTCTCTTGAAGGGAATGATGCTTCTCTAACACCAGTGGGTACCATGGAGGAGGCTCTTGTTCAGAAATTATGGCTTTAGACAAGGCTTAACAAGGTCCACTTCTCTTCAATAGCCAGGCCCCTTGACTGCAATGAGATAGGACCAAGTTGGTCTTGACTCCCCCACTCAAGTCATTTGTAAGCACTATGCAAGCCCTGGGTGTGGAGCACTGGACAGAAAAGCTCAGACTTCCCATCTTCCCAGTATTACTGGCAGGAGGCCTTATGCCTGCATATTAAGGACCAAGTGCAGTAAATGACATGCACTCAGAACTGTGCAAAGGAACACTCCAGTTTCGAACGAGAAGTACTATCGGCCATATTCATTTCTTTTTTTTTTCCCTTTGTCCTTTCAAATGTATACTACCCTTAAAATAATTACAAACATGGATTTTTAAAAAGCAATTTAACTTTAAAGCATTGAGGAGATATATATTCCCAAGGCAATGTATAAATTCCACGTAACAAGACCTAAAAAAGGGTTCTGGTCATCTTGGAGCAACGTTTCACAAGACACTGTCAAGCAGAAAAAGTGGTATTATTAGTTTAGTCACTGTGTGCTAGAAAACCAAGGATTTTCAAGGGTGTAAACAAATGAAATGTTGAACCTTTCGATGTTTCAAGGTCTCTATACTGACAAAATGTTCACAACCCGCCTGGGGCGATAATCTTGCAACTGCTTCAAGCAAAGAGCACTAAATTTACCTCCTAATTGGCTGAGACACAGCCACAAAAAATTCAGGTGTTAGAAAACAGTAAAAATGAATCATTAGATCACTCTTATCTGAAGACAGCCTGAAACAGCATCTCAATCTAATATTATGAAATACTTCATATAGTGGGTCCTGTCTAGAACATTAAAAAATCAGTCATTACGTATCAGGTGCAGGGACAGATTAAATTTAGAACTCTGGCCAAACACCGTCTGGCAACATATGAGTATAGCTATAGGAACAATTTTCCTTGGACTGTATTTCCCAAAGAGTTATAAACACAAAAACAAAAATGCAACTACAACGAAACAACTGTGCTAAAACTTTTAAGCCACTTAACCTGTTGTTTAGAAACAGAGTTAGCAACTTGGCCATCCAAATTGAGTTCTTAGGTGAGAAAGGACAGGCAGAATTAAATCAGTCATTTCACTTGCAGGTTAATCTGTCCAGGAGGGCAATTAGGCAAGTGCTCAATGCAGTTAATAGTCTATTCTTTTTTTTTTTTTTTAGTTTCTGTACTACTATTCTTTAAACTATTTTCTGCTGGAGCTCCAAATCATGACATTGGGTAAAATAAAAAAAAAAAAATGTTTATAAGTAGCCATTTAAAAGGAAGGTAGTATTGGAAACAGACATATTTTCTTTCTGTATCTCTAGAAATCAAATTACTTTCTTTTTGTCCTTGATAACTGTTGCTGTTTAAGGTTTCTTGTATCCAACAATACTATGGGAAGGGGGAAGGCTGAAAAACTTTATAAGGGTGCCACATTAAAATATTGTATGGTATTTTATAGTTTTACCAAATTTAAAACCACCAGTCTGCATAATAGGCAGAAAATATTTTACAGAGAAGATTGTGGAATCAGTAACTGGTAAACCTTCAGTTACCTAAAACCTGTTTTTCCTGAAACAGGGAACTTGTTTGGTTTGATCATGCTCTCTGGTTGGCTAGCAATTGAAACTGTTCTTCAGTGCTGCAAACCGCATCAAGCAAGCATGGAAAAGGCAAAGTTAGTATGTAAAAATGGTACTAAGTGAATAACTCCAGCTGCTTTTCCTGGCCCCAAGGCAAATAGTCATCTATAAAAATATTACTTTAACAGTATTTTTTACTACTTTTATCCAGAAGGAAACAAAAAACCCTTCACATATTATGAAATAATATAAATCTGTTTTAAAATCTTAGGAAGTTCAATTTAAATATAGTTATGTGCCACATAATGACATTTTAGTCAATGATGGACTGCATATATGGTAGCATTTTCATTGATTATAATACCATATTTTTGCTATACCTTTTCTATGTTTAGATGCACAGGTACTTACACTTGTGTTACAAGTGCCTACGGTATTTAGAACAGTAACATGCTATACAGGTTTGTGGCCTAAGAGCAACAGGCTATACTGTATAGCCTAGGTGTATAGTAGGTATACCATCTAGGTTTGTGTACATGTGCTATATAATGTTTGCACAATGACAAAAAGGCCTAAGGACTCATTTCTCATAATGATCTCCTGCATTTAGTGATGCGTGACTGTACTTATGTGTAGAAATACACACATACACATCCTTAAATTGTAAACAAAACTCCTTAGTGTAAAAAAATAATGAACTGGTTAAATAAATCAATCCTGGCAAATCCATAGGATGGAATACCATGCAGCCAATTAAAATCACACCTTCAATGATTACTTAGTGATATAGGAAAATACTTGTAGCAAGTGAAATGGAAGATATAAAACTTTATATGCTGTTTCAATTTTGGAATAAAAATTTATGCATATAGAAAATATGGGTAGGAAATACATTACCATCCCAAGAATTTACTGACTCTTGATAATGAGATCATGCCTGTTTTCTTTTACTTTTCTGCATTTTCCAAATATTTTACGAGTGCATAATGCTTAAGTCAGCTGTGTGTGTGTGTGTGTGTGTGTGTGTGTGTGGTTCTGATCTAATACAGCTTGTATGTGTAGCTTAAAGTGTGTACATTTACAAAACATAGAACTGATAGTAAGTTGAGTCAATTGCTATGGGTAGTGTCACCCGAAACAGAAAAATTCTATTTAAATTCCAAGTAAATACTTGATAACAATTGGAAACCTAAAGAAGAGGGCATTTGTATGAAGTGTTTTCTAAACTTAAACTAGTAGAGAAAACCATGACTAGAGAGCAGCCCATGGAGGTTTTATTTTGGTATTCCAAGACACACACAAAAAATGTTGAATGTTTTAAACTTTCAAATACACACATTTGTCTTTAGTTCAAAGCCATACCTAGAGGAACCCTCAAAATACTTTTCATCTTCAAGTTTCGTTCTTTCATAATTGAAAGCTCTGAAGAATAAAAATATGTTTTGTTTTTGCTACATCTAATGTTACTCTTCTTTACTTGGAGAACAAAACATTAAATGTAGAGTAAAGTAAATGTAAAGTATGGCAACCACCAAACAGCTCTCAATTTTCTCCTCTAAAAAAAAAACATGGGAATTGTTCTTAAACAGGAAGCTGTTTCTCCTTGTTAGTATTCCATGCCCACGCATTACCCTGGTTCTGTGGAACTCCAGAGGCAACAAAGTCAACTTGCTATTTTAAAATACATGCATAAAATAAGCAAAATACACACATGTAAAAAAAAACGCATGAAAAATAACTTATTGAGGAAGGAACTTATAAACCTCAAAATATAGTTAAAACATCATACTCCTGCCAATAATAAATAATCCGTAATTTGAATAAAATAATTCATAATAAACAGTGACTGTGTATGTGTGTAAATTATCTCTAATGTACACCCTATGGATGTTTAATGAACACCAAAGTCATTAGTAATTCCCACTCCAGGGCAGTTAGCATCAGAAGATCATAATCAAGAGTCCACACTACAGAGATGGTTGTGTCATGCACTTCAAATATCACCATTATTTCTGTACAACAGGGTGAGTTAATTCGCGTAAGTAATGTTAAAAACAATCTTTGATAAAAATGAGTGGTATTTAAGAGAGGCGGTTTCCCAGAAAAATGATACAGGTATCTCTACGTTCCATGAACGAGAGTCCAGCAGCCCAATAGTCAAATAGCACACTAGGTCTCGAGTTTGCTTTAGCTGTGTGGCCCCCTTAACTGAGGACACCATCACCTGAGCAGAGCAGAAGGCTTTCTGATCCTACCACTATAATACTGTTGCATCTTCTAGGGAGTGAAGTTTTCCTTAAAGCTAATTGTTGGAGTAGCTTTTCCTTAAAGCTAATTGTTGAATTGAGTAGGAATTAACAAGTTGTTGACTAACTGCACTTGCATACTGATAAATGTATGGCAGTATTCAGATTATAACTTGTTTTCATTTTTAAAATGGGGAAGAGATCTATATCTTCCACTTATCCTCAATTTCTAGAAAGTACCAATATTTCTTTTGAAAGCCTGACGACTATAAAACTCAGCCCATGGGTCACCTTCTTGGTCAAGCTTTCTCTTTATGCCTCAAGTTGAAAAGACTACTTCTTACTTTATACCTCCCACTGTATCTGGTATTGTGTTTATTCTATCTTATTGCAGAGGGTTGATTTTTAAAAAAATGTTTGTCTTCCCCACTGATTTTGTGTTTCTTTACACATTGAAGTGTGGACTAGGGACCATGTAAACTTCATGGTAACTTCCTGCAACTTTCTAAGACAGGGTTTGTTAATATGTGTGGCTATGAATTTGACAGCAGCTCTGTGTTAAACATAAGGAAGGTGTGGGAGGATAAAAGTAGTAAGAAATTAGTATCACTAGAAATTCCTGAGAATGTCTCAAATCCTTTCCCATGGGCCTTCTTATCATTGGCACACCATTCAGGGATGCATACTTCTTAAGACTGCATTCTTGTGCAACTACCACAGGAGCCCAGCTCGGCAGGTGTGCCTGAAAATCACTTGGTTGGGCCACATCTGGAAAACACAGGCAATAACTTCATAAATATGTGAACACAACTCTTCTGAGCTATGACAACCCCACGAGCCATGTTTCCATGGGGGATAAATAGATTTGTAGCAATATTAATAAGCAAGATGTAGTCATCCGGGACAATTTGAAAGCAAACCTGCTACTAATGCATATTTCCTACAGTAATATTTTTCCCTACAACCTAGTTTTAACCTTGCTGTTCCAATAAGACCCCGTAAATCGAAGTTTCTTTAGCCCGTTAATTTAATATGAATATTCTATACCAAAGATAATATTGAGGAATACTGCTGAGAAAGCTGCAGAGCTGGAGAATGAACACTGCTTCTAGAATGTCTTATGTTATATAAGCTTCATTCTATAAATATGTTTGGCAGAAGTGTCATTCTGCATTAATTTTGCTACAATATGTGTTATTCTGAGGATCTGCAATAGTGGTGGCTTACAGATCCACTATATCAAAATTTCCATATTGACAGTTACAAGGGAGAAAATCTTAACGCCAAATAAACTGTTAAAAAAGATATAGTTTGGTGGTTACATATGCAGTCTTATTTTAAATCTAATTAATTATTTTAAGAGACTGAAAATAAGTCTTTCCTGTTCTAAAGCTTTGACTTGTTTTTCATTTATTGTTCTGTTAGTCTAAAAAGGGAAACCTAACATTTTCTAACTGATGGACAGCAGTGAATTCCTTTTTACTGAAACACCCACACTTAAAACTTCTTGGCAGTTTTTAAGGTAGTGCTGGGTTAGGAAGAAGATGAGACTATGTCAACTTTACTAAGATGAACATCTGGCTTCTAGAGCCACCAAATGAAGGCAAAAATATAGGAGCTGAAAAATATTTTGTCATACAAAAGTTTTCCAGTGAAGAAATCTAATGGACAGAGAGTCTAGAAGCTTTAAGATATTTTAAATAATTCTATTTAATACTTCTATCTAATAAGAAAAACAGACTTTAAATTTTGTGTTTTTACATATGTGACCAAATATAAAACTTAAAGAAAAGAGTGTATTAAACAAAATATAGGAAATAGAATATATCAAACAATTCAGAATTTTGTCTTCAACTTAAGGAACATGTATTTAGCATCTATGTCATTATTGGAAGAAGTGCTGGGATATAAAGATGCTGATAATCTCTTATGATGCACGTATTCATCATCGTTTACTTCTGTTGTAAGTTAGTGAATGATTTTATTCTCATTGCTGTAGCATTACTATTACCACCAGAATTTAGCTTCTTTTTCAATGTAAAAATAAACTAAAATAGAGCAAACTTATTTTTATTCCTCCATATTTCAGAAAGCTCTAGGACAGCTGCTCTTAAATTTTAGTGTATACAATAATTACTTGGACAAGAGAACCTTACTGAGAAGAATAAGGATGGAACCAAAGAAATTACATTTTAAAATAAGGTAAGCAGAGGATAGAAACACAGGTGCTTTAAGAACCATCATTTTAGATATGTGGCCCTAGAACTGTAACAGCATCTATTTTTTTTTCCAAATACTATTCAGCTATAAGTGGTGTGTTGGAAAATGTTTAACACTTTGGTTTCAGTGTGGTGAAGCTGATTTGTAGTGTCTGCCTATTTTGTGGTGCAAATTCTCTCACCATGGCCAAAATCAAGTCATCGGGTTAAAATGATTGAACATCCAGCTGGGAAGTGGTGCTCAGTGTTATACCATTTTGTCCACCATGTAGAGTAGTAAAATGCAGTAACATGAATAGAAAGCGAAGTCTTGAGGATTTATTACCTTTAATTATAAGTAACGATTTTATAAAATTTGACTTTTAATCATGGCTACATTTTAACAATCAATCAAAAAACTGAAAACTTAATAACCATCTCCCAGAAGTCAATACAAACCAGTCCCAGCACAAACTGGCCATAAGAGTCATTTTATTTTGTCCACTTTACAACAGTCTGATATATAAGTAACAAATAAAGGAAGAGATTCTACTAGTTATTCTTATAGCTTTTGTTATAAGCAAATAAAATGAAATCAAAGTTATTTTTATATGCAATGAGTGTAAATAATTGTCTTTTCATTCAAACATCTTCTATACCTGAAAAATATAGTAAGTTATCAAAAAATACCAATGGAGGCAAAGCAAATTTGGGTCAGCAGGCACTGTTCTTACTAAATTTGAACAATGGAGGTTTAGTTATCGAGAAAAACATGACTTGAACTGAGGTCTGGCAGGGGGAGAAAGGCATTTCTGACTCAGGGGAATTTTTGGTGATGTGCTACTGTGTGTAGCTAGTTCTTAAACTCCAAACAGCATGTGTAGCAAAACAGTCTACAATGCACAGATTTGTGGTATTTCTAGGAACAGACAGATGGCTTATCTAGTACTTCCCAACTTTTACGGTAAGCAAGGAAAAACTATTTAAGAGGGGTGTTATCACCTTGCAGGGCCCTAGGACACCGCAGCATATTCTACCAGGGATTAACTAAAATTACCCAGGTTAAAAGAGTTAATATTTATTTTCCTGGCAGGATCTTACTCAGCCATCCATGTGCCATGCTGATAACAATTGTTACTATTGTAATAGTAAGGAAAATACAGGAGTAAAGTTCCTAGGGAACTGCCTAACTAGGAAGTTAGTAAAGGATCTGGACTCTGAATTTGATTTAAAGAAAGAGGAAAACACACGTTGGCTATAAAAGAAATAAATGAAATAACCATTGCTACAACCTTTTTAGCACGGGTACTGTCACGAACATATCTTCTAATGTTAATTAAATAAAATATTTTATTTTTCTACCTTTTGTACTGTCTTTAAAATCATCTTTGACACATGAGTTATTTATGTGGCTCGCTTAGGTAAGAATCTCTTGAGGAAGAGCTGAGATATCCTGGTTCCTTTTTCTGCTTCATTATGATTTGAATGCTTGCACCAAAGCTTCAAAAACAAGGTTGATCCAAATTGGTATTCAGGAAATTAAGTGTACTGTTCAATTCCTATAATTGAATTAGAAGCTGACTCTCTGGATTAGTTCTCTATATACTAGATAGAAAAAGGTTTTTGTGTTAAAAAAAACAAACTGTTACGGTTTACACTGGTGCTGAAAAGAAAGTTGAGAATTCACCACTGGCAAGCATATTACTTGAAAATAAGATTTTCTCAAAGTCTCTATATTTCTGCAAATATTCTAGAGCTAATTCCCACATATAAACTGAGAGTACATTCAGAGGTAAATTTTCAAACTCTATTGATTCTATTGTTTCAGGCTCCTCTCACCTCTCATCTCACAACTCTTCGAACACACAACCCTGCTTGCCTGATCTCTCTGCCTCGCTATTACCCCTTCCCCACGTTGCCAACTCACCTCTATGTTCCCCTCCCATTCTGGCTTATTCTCATTTGGGAGCTGATTAATTTCCAGAAAAGTATCAGCTGATTAAAAAAAAATCTAGAAGTCTTATCTTACAAACTTATCTGTATTTAAATGAATTTTACTTACCCAAACTTAAAAGCATATCTCTCATTTAACAAAGGAGGGTGCCTTTGCTACTCTACTTCCCCACAGAACAGGCTCAGAGTGCCAGCCTTTTGCTTCAGAGTGCCTGTCTCATTATTTGCACTCCCTGTCTTGTGAGTTCAGCAGCTGCATGAGAGAGCAGTTCCACCAGTGTGGGCTTATTATGTACAGATGCAAGCTTTTCATTAGGGGACTAATTGAGATTTGAATAGAATCTTTCAAGGAAATGGGGAAGATGCTAGAAGTTAAGATTTTACATATGTGTTCCATTTGTTAACCTTGAAACATTTAAGGATAATTATTGATCATGAGTTTATAAGAATTTGTAGATCACTGAAAAGGCTTTTAGTTATACATACTATGTTTGTTAGCAATATGGGGCAAAGCAAAAAAGTATGTATATTTTTCAACAGTAATTAATTCATCTTGTGGTATAAAAATCATCCATTTATTAAATTGGGAGTTGAAGAAAGGTGTTCCTATTTTTCCTCCAGTAATGTAAAACATCTATATCCACGATACAATACTGAGTACAAATTCCCAGCATAGTGTGACATGTTTCAGTCTACATATTGTAAATGTAAACTCCACAATTCAGATTTTTAAATTAATTTTTAAGGTGAATAAAATGCAATGCTTTTTTGAGTTAAGAATATTAAAATATATTCTCTAATTTCTAAATGGCAAAAAATAAACTACCAAATTCTAATTTGCCATATGGTATTCTTATTTTTTTCATCAAATATCTACTCAATATTGAGTCAGTATATTTTTTCTGAGATATAGATATTTTGTATTTTTCCAAGAAAACCATGCATAGAATATGCTTCCAAAATGGACTAAAATATTCATTTTCCTACGTTCAGATATAATTTAGGCAAGATATAAATGGATTTTACCTGACAATATGTTATGAATTGTCAAAACTCTTCATCCAAAATAAAACAGACCCATATAAACTATTAACAACAGACTGTGCCTAAAATAAAACTTTAAGGAGATAATTATAAGGGAAGTCAGCCTACCTAATTATACTTATTTTAATAACAAAAAGTACATATAAAGTTTCATTATAATTATATGTCTAAGGTGATATGCTATACAGCTCTTAAACTTCTTTGAAAAATTAACAGGCAATAGAAATCAAATTCTCTTTTCCAAGAAAGAGAATGATCACTTTCTTCAATTAATTTAAAGCCTTTCCCTTTGAATATGAAGTTTATCCTAGTTTCTTTATAACCCAGTAGTGGTTGTAAGAGCTGAGACCTGAAGATTAATTTAGCCGCTAGCCGAGTCAGCCCAATAAACACCTGGAATGGGCTATTCTAGTCGGCAGGAAGATCTGGCCTCCTCTCAGCCTTACTTCAATGTCTCCCCAGCATTTAAATCCAGATGTACACATAAAAGAGAGATTCTGAGATATCCACTAGGCTTATATCTTATGACAAACATATTTTAAGCCTAAGGTAGATGGTACAATTCCAATCCTCAGAAAGACTATCAAAGTGAGACAATACACATGACTATTTTAAATTAAAAATAACAGTAGGGGAAAAAATAAACAAACAGCATAAGAATCTAACCTGCTATGTGTTTCTGACAGTTTTAGTACTTACTTTAGTATTGTCAATTTGACAGTTTCATTTTCTGACAATATGTTGTTTGCTTAAATGTGATAAATGCAGCCTTATTGGTAGAGGTGGGGGACAGATGGAAAGGCACCTCTATGAACCACATTAGTCCTTTTTAAGACTTTTTTTGTAACTGTTTTTGATGGTCTGTCAAGCAGTTTGACACAGTAGTCTCTTCAGGGCATGTTTATTTGCATATATTAGGTCCCTTAAAAAAATACATAAGGAACGCTTATAAACCCAAAGCTTAAGCTAACACTTAATAGGTACTTACTATGTGCTAGGCACTCAGCTACATAAATCTGTATCAATTTGTCTTACACCACCAGATCCTTCAGAAACTCTTTGCTTAGAGGTCAATTAAATCTTCAGCTATGTACAAAACTATCACATGCCTTGGGTAAAGTATGGGCATAGGAGCATAGAAATTACTGTGTCCTTGGACTAAGAATAGAGATTCAAAGGACAGGGATGTAGAAAGATCAGAAAAGATCCTGAAAATGAAACTGAAGAAAATGCCACAATCCTGAAGCCCAATAAAATAATGAAGTAAATAAATTTTAGTGTGTAGGCTGAGGCAATGGAAGAGGAATAAGTAAGGGATTATTATGATTTTTCCTGAAAGGATATGAGCTGGAAATGTGCGTTCTTGAGTACACCGAGGTTGGAGCAGGAACAGGATCTCGAGGTGTATAATGTTAACAAGATTCTTTGTTTTCTATCTTGGGTCTAATTAGCTTAAACTCAGCTATCAGGGACCATACAGAATAGGGAAAATGATAGCATGCTAATAAGCTGAGTTTTGTCATTGTGGAGCCCTATATCTTATTGCTAGAGATTGAAGCCCAGTATTAATATTAATATTATCTCTGTGAATTTTATAATAGCTTTATCAAGTAGGTACCAACATCCTCAATTACAATGAGGAAACTAAAGGTCAGCAAAAATAATTTACTTGTCTGAGGTCACAGAGCTGGTTCTTAAGTCACAATTTAAGTAATCTGTTCTTTCTAGCTCAAATCAGATGTTGTTTCTATTACAACAGGACTAAATCATGTCAGTAAATGCCATTATCAAATGTTCACATGTTGAAATATGGGATTTTAAAGAACTGAAAAAATTTAAACAGTCTGATAATTAGAACAAACATTTAAAAAAATTACTCCTGGTATATATAGACAGTCTTACTCAATGGAAGTGTGAATGTTTAAGTAAAGGGTTTTCACAGCATTTTACTATATCAGGGTTCTGTGAAAAATTCAATATCAAACAATTGAAAGAGGAAGAAGTCTGTCTCAGGTTACATTGTATTTTCAATACAAGAAGAGGAAAAATACATAGAAGTTTAAGAAAATGCAGAAATGTATGTAAATGTGGAGAAGCAAGCTCTCTAAGGAGTCAAAGGTTTACAGAGAACAGGTTAGCACATAATCCAACAAGTTCATTGTAGTGTGGAGAAATGAAAACCATGTGACCTGAACACATTCCTAAACCCCATGGAGCTTTGGTCCCTCCATAAAAAGACATTGGACTAGCCTATCATTAAGTTCATTATAACTATTAAAATTAAAAATCAAGTACTATTAATTTTATGTCTTTTATGGCACAAATAAATATTTTCTTCAGAAGGACCTTAGTGGGTCATGCAAGAACCCACAATAAAAGAATTACTCTCCAATTTGCCCTTCCTTTGGATGACTTACTTTCTAGATAACAAGAATACAATAAGTAATATTCCTCATCATTGGTATAATTCCTAACCTCCGTCAGTGTTACAGTTAGTAATTTAAATACTCGATAGCAAAACCTATGGACTTCTTCAGCAATGGAAAGACCTTATTTTACTTTTAATGCATCTGTCTGCATGGTCTCAAAACTCATGACAAGTTTTTGCATATATTTGATCTTTAAAAAATCATGTAACGACTGCATCTACTTGCAGTATCCTCCATCACACTGAACAGCACCTCCTCCCCTCCCCTTCCACATTCAATTTGTAATCAAGACCTTTCATCTTCCAAATAACTCTTGATTCCATCTTCATCTACCATGAAGCCATCATCCATGAACTGGGCTACTGCCCAAGCCACTAAAAGGATCTGCCAACATTTACATCTATCATATTTCCCTCTAATCTGATCTCTGTGCTTTCACCAGAGTGATTTTTAAAAAATGTAAATGTGATCACCCCTCATCCATGCTTAAAGCTTTAAAGATGTATCATGGTTCTAGGATAAAAACAAAACCTCTCAATGAGGTCTCCAATTCATGCAGTGGTCTTCATCTTAGCTGCACATTGAAATCACTTGGAAAGCTCTTTTGAAAATCCTAATGCCTGGACCCCACCCTGGAGATGTTTATGTAATTGGTCTGGAGTGGGGCTGGAGAGCAGATTTTTCAAAGCTCTACTTAGAGCTCCCCTGTGCTACCAGGGTTAACAGCCAGTTCTCTAGAGCTGCACTGTCCAGCATGGTAGCCACTCACCACAGAGATTATACTCACTGACATAAAATTTAAAATTATAATTCCATGTTAAATGACGTCATTTTAAAATGAGATACAAGAAACACTTGTAAAACATTTTCTAAAACATGGTATTAGAAATTACCTTTACTCAGAAATAAGGTTAATTTTAACTTCTCATCAATATCATGACATTCTTTTTAGAAGAATAGATTCAGATATGATAAGTAAATTTTGGTGTTAAAATTACAGTAGGAGGTGGTAGAAGTCAGAATGCTCAATTATGTCTGAAGTCCTTTTTACCAAAAGCTATTGGTAAAATTAGATTAAAAATAAATGTGTTTTAGCCAGAAAAATATCCCTGAAACAAGGCTTGTCATCTTTTAAAAATTTGCATCAACACAGTCTTCTGCTTATTATCACTTTTAAGTAATGGTCATTTTAAAATAATATATCTTCTTATTAAATGTCTCTAATTCTGTTGGTGGTGATTCCACATCAGTGTGGCTGGATTTAAAAATGGTTCTGGTGACCTTGAAAATCAGATGTTCTCACCCTCTAGGATGGTAGAGTCCCAAGGATCTTTTTCAGTATTAGGACTATATACAATGAGCTTGGAGAGCAAAAATAAATCCTAAGGCACTGGACTTCCCATAGATTTTCCCATTTTGTCATTAGATTAGAAAATAGTGACTTCTTGAAGGTGACACATCTAGGAAGAGGTGAAGCAAAGATAGAATCAGTCTTTCCATCCTCTACTATGGTAGTCTTTTCAGGATACCGCCTTGCATCACCAATGAGAGGAATGCATATTTGTCAACAGAAAGCATTATAAACCATATCCACTTAATTTTATTGCAGAGATGTTTGATCTGATCAACAGGCTATATCATCATATAATTATTACAAGTAAAAACCTTTAATAATGGAAAATATGGTAATAAAATTTCAAGAAACTATGATCTATAACACTAATTGTTCCACATAATTTGTCAATGGCACATTGATATGTATTTTTCTCTCTCTTTCATATTTCTATATCTAGTTTTTAAAGAGACTTCTGATTCCTTGAAAGGGAGAGGCTATCTTAAGGATCTTTCGTATTTTCTGCAAGCCAGTCCCAAACCAGGCATATAACAGACATACTGTAAGTCCTTTTATAAATGAAAACGATGAATTCAGAAAAAGGATGCTTACTAGATTGCCAATTTCTGTATATTAACAATAAATATTATAAAGAGTCTTTTAACTAACATGTTTTCATGTTTTCCCAGTCTAAGATAGAAACAGCTTCATATAAAGAAATTAGTTTAGTCTAATGTTCCCAGAATTATTTTTATAATAAGCTGTATCAAATATAATACATAGTTACTTGAATCTCAATATATATCTATGGAAAATATCAGATGAGTTTTTCAGTTGCCCTTTGACACTCAGAGACATTTGAATGCTAGAAAAACATAATTTGCAGCAGTATTAAGTCACTGAGAACAGATGAGAGTTCAAATAGGATCTGTTTTATCTTTTCACGGAGTAAAGATGCTAAAAATAGCATGGGCTTAAGCTTGGGCTACAGTTTTGTGAAATTGCTATCACTTCACTGGAAAATGGAGGAAATGAAACAAGACTGTTTTAGGGGGCCTCCTGTAGGAGATGGACTGGCACTCACGTACCAGCCCTTCAGAGCTGTTACACCAAAGGCCTTTTACAGCTGATAGCTAAACCTAACACTAAGTATGATCTAAATATACAACACTTCATTGTACTTCTATTACAGTATGCAAATACAAATAAAGTTACCACAAATTGGCGAACAATTAATGAGATTCATTGCAGGGATATTTCATCACTGAATGCTGTTTTCCTGCCAACTGAGACATGATGTATTTAATTCTAAATGACACCACCTGCTCCCACCTCTAAGTGAAATGAAAAAGCTGCCAAAGGGCATGTTGGGAATTAACTTGCAGGCTTCCTTTTAATCAGGCATTTCTCCATAACACTGAAAGCCAAAAACATAACATAATGAAAAATAACACAGCTTTGTAAGTCAATAGTTGAATTTGGAGTGCTTGTCAAATAAAAGAAACTTGGGATACATAGCATGATATTCCACACAATAGTATTCTTTTCTTGCTGTGAAATTACTTTCTTACTCTAAAGCAGGAAAAAAGAAAAAAAATACAATTTTATCTGACATGACAAATCAATAAGAAGTGACTTATAAGGGAGAAAACTGAAGGGAATGTTTTCATTTGTCATAGTTACCATGATAATGACACTGTGAACTTAAAGAGTGTCTTTTATTTGAGAATCTGAAAGTGCTTCCCAACCCTTAATTCATAATGTTGCAATATACCCCCAGTGAAGTATTAACATGCTGTATTGCACATTTTCCTAATAGGTAAGATGAGTTAGTGTATGGACAGGTATTTTATAAAGAACCTTACAAAGCTTTTCTTGAAGCTTTTATCTCTTGATTTTCAGTCCTCTCTCCTGAGCAACTGAACTGCTACTCAATGTGATCAGTTGAGGGTAGAGGAGGGCTTACGCAGTTGCTTTATGCCAATTTCTTATCTCAGGAGTCTGTCAAATAAGGATCCACTTCAGAAATAATCAAGTTGCCAAGGACAATCTTGGTACTAGAAAATATATAATTCTCCCAAATTATTTTCCCATTAAGTCTTCTGCTAATCCCCAGGAGTCTCAAAGTGACACCCTAATTAAAATGTGAAGTCAAAATCACATTTGAATTAAATTTGTAAAATAATTTTGAGGGATGCTAAGCCAAAACAAAAAGATTCCTATTTAATTCATTCCACAATCATTCATTCACCTAAAACATTTTTCTGAATACGCTTTATATGTCAGGTCCTAGGTACTAGGAATAGGTCAGTGAACAAGATGGCAAAATCCTTGCCCTCATAGGGTTCACATTCTGATGCACTGATAAGAAATAAATGAATAAATGGTAAAGTTCCAGGAAGGACAAAAAAAACAGATTAAGAGAATGGAGTAGGCTCTTCTACATAATTAGTTAGAGAAGGTTTCTTCAAGGAGAAGAATACAGGTCTATATGAGGAAAGGGAGGGAACCCAGCATACATCATTTACACTGCATGCCTTTCCCTCCTGCCTGCTCAAGGACTTTGCTCCTGCCGATATCCCCGATCATTATTTACTCCACTTTCTACTTTTTTTCCCCACTAGTTTACAAATACGCTCTAAAGTCTTCCAGCCTAAAAAAAAATAACACCCTCCTTTGACCTAACATCTCCTCTAAAAGTCATTACTTTCATCTACTTCCCTTTACAGCCAAACTCTTCGAAATAGATGTTCACACTCAAAGTTTTATTTTCCTTTCATTTGTTCTTGAACCCTCACTAAGCTGGGTTTGAGCTTCACAACAAGGAAGTACCTCCTAAGGGTCATCAATGACCTTCAGATTGACAATTAATTCTCAGTCCACATCTTATAATAGCACGTGATGCAGTGGATTTAAGCTAATGTAAATACTTGCTTTTCTTGGCTTCTAGAACACCACTCTCTTAGTAGCACTGGCTACTTATCTCAGTCTTTTTGGATGACTCCTTTTCATCTTCCTGAGCCTGAACATTGAAGTGCTCCAGGGCTCTGTCCTTGGACCTTCTTTTCTTTACTTATACTCACTCTGCCTCATCCAGCTCCGTGCTTTCAAACAGACAAGTGGCTTCCAAATACATCTGTAGCATAGAACCCTCTTTAATCATATATCCAACTGTTTATTTGACATCTCCACTTAGTCGTCTTATAGATATCACAAATACAACAATGCCAAAATCGAATTAATTTTGCGCTCCGATGCACACCTGCTATTCTCACAGCCTTCCCCATGATGGTGGATTGTGTAGTCCAAAGAGGGCTGCCACAATATTTCCCATCTTGCTTGCTCTTCTTGCAATGTGACCTTGACATGTCTCCCATCAAATGGTAGTACATCTGTTTCCTATCCTTGATTCCGTGTGAACCTTTGTGACTGTCTCATTCCATAGAGAATAGTGGAAGTAAAGTTATGTGATGTCTAAGACTAGATCATGAAAATGCAATTCCAATTGGCTCTCTTGGGTCAGTCAGTCTTGGAACTTAGCTGCTGTGCTGTGTGGAAGTCCAAACTCACTTGCCTGGAAAGACGACCTGGGGAAGCTGTGTGTAGGTGTTCCAGCTGACAAACTAGCTGAAGTCCTAACTAAAAGCAAACATCAATTGCCAGACATGTGAATGAAGACACTTCCAGATAATTCCAGTCTCTCACCACTGAGTGAACCCCAGGCTTTGGGTCTTCCCAACCAAGGCTTTAGATATTGTCGAATAGAGGGAACAGACAAGATGCCCCTGCTGTGTCCCATTTGAATTTCTAACCTATCAAACATGTGAGTAAAATAACATGGCTGTTTTATGACACTAAGTTTGTTATGATGATGGTAAATGGAACAGATTTACCAGTTGCTCAGAACAACTTGTACTCATCTTTAGCTTCTCCCTGTTTCTCATACCCACCTTAAATCTGTTAGCAAACCCTATGAAGTCCAGCTCTTTCTTTGAAATACATCCAGGATCCTACGACTTCATACCATCATATCTTTTGTCTGGACTATTGCAGTAGCCTCTTAGCCTTCATGTTTTCACCTTCCCTCCCTTATTGTCTACTCTCAACACAATAGAAAGAGTACTTCTCTAAAAGTATAAATCAGTTATGTCACTTCAATGCTCAAAACTGTCCAATGGCTTCCTTTATGATATAGATTAAAAGCTTAAGTCCTTAATGGCCTAGAAGGCCCTTCATCCTCTGAGCCTCCACCACCTCACTGACCTTATTTCCTACCGTCCTCCCTGCCTGACATGTTACATCCTAGGCATACTGGTGCCCTTGCTCTTCCCTAAAAACACCTGGCACACTCATACCTCAGGGCCTTTGCATTTTCTATTCCTTCTCCCTGGAATGTACTTACCCCAAATATTTATGTGGCCACTCTTTCATTTCCTCCAGGCTTCTACTCATGAGTCACTTTGTTAGGTATTCTCTAAACACTTTCCATAAAGTAGCACATCTTATGCCCATGGATCTTATTCTTCTAATTTTGACTTACCATTACCTGAGTCCTTATACATTTGTTAATTTATGTTCTGTCATCCTCCTGTAGGATGAAAGCTTGCTAAGGATATAAACTTTGTCTTGTTGAAAGCTCTAGTCACTGGGCCTACAGTAGTCTCTAGTGCATAGCTCCATAAATATTCCTTATTGTTAAAGGCCATACAAGCAGAGGGGAGAACAAGTAGAAAGGGCTGAAACAGAAACCAGCCTGACTTGCTTGAGAAACAGTATAACTGGGACAGAATGAAAATGGGGGAGAGTGTATGTGACAAGGTCACAGAGGTAGCCAAAGGTTGGATCATGTAGGTCTTCAGAGGCTAAGGCAAAGACTGATGGAAAGAAACTGAAGGGCATTTGATGTGATCTGAGTGGCATTTTTAAAAGATTATTCTGGATTTTCTGTGGATAATTGTCTATATGAAGAGCAAGAGAGGAAGAAGCATCAAGGGGACCAGTCCAGAGGCTTTTGCAGTAATTCAGACAAACAAGAGATCATGGTGGCTTGAACTGCAATGGTAATGACAGAGGTACCTAAGGTGGTCAGATACAGGATGTATCTACTTTTCAACGTAGAGCTGAACAGACATGATAGCTTGGTTATAAGACAATGAGAGTAATCAAGGATGGGTTCCAGATTTTTGGCCTGAGCAAATGGTTAAACAGTGGTACAGTGGGGCCACTTCGGAGTAGGTTTACTTTAAACAAGGGTCCTATTTTAATATGATGAATTCAGAGCCGGCAAGCAAGTCCCAGAGCAATGTTCAATTGTACTATGGTTTAGTCAAACTAAAGTTCCAAAATTCAGTGAGTAAATTCTTTGATTCTCAGAATGTCTGGGCACTGAACACAGTAGCTGAATTTGAATAAAAATATGCAAAGAGACCAATAATGACACCTCACATAAGAAATACCTATGTGTGCCACTGTCTTGGAGAAGCACCCCTGACACCTGCACATACAGATGGCCTAACTGGGCACCCTGAAAACTGACAGACTTGGTATTTGGCAGGTGAACCATCAAGAAAATTCCATAAACACAAACTTCTGCCCATGAAAACATAGCTCTTCATAACATTTACAGATACTGGGGGGAAAAAATCACACTAAAAATCACAGTGAAAGGCTAAACACCACCACTCAAGTAAAGAATGAAGTACTTGCATGCCTTTCTCCCAACATGCACATAATAGAAAAAGAATTTGTAAGACAGTTGATGACTAGGATCATTATGGAATGTAAAATAATGAAACATTGTAAGTATAGCTCTTAGGGAGCAGCCTTTAAAATGGGTTCCACTGGCTTGGTGCTATCCAAGCAGAAAAGGCAAGCTTACCTGACTATCTCTACTCTTCCATAAGCCAATAACCCTTTAAACATATTTGTCACTCAGTCTCTTTAAAATATTTTGCCAGGGATTTTTCTTACCCTCTCCCCTAAGGGCAGAAATGAGAACTATTACTGTGTTATCTTTAATGATAATTATTCTGACATACATATATTTTAACATATGAATCCTTTAGATTTTTATCCTACCCATTTTTGAGATTTTCAGGGACCAGTAAGCAAAACAATATTCCTCTTTCTCTCCTAATTTGGAACCAACTGTGTGATGGATAAATAAAAGATCAAAATGCCAGCTTTATTACTAATAAAGTTGATCAAAGAACATGACTCAGAGGTACCACCACAGTAAGCCCCCTAATACCTTCTAATACTCCTGAATTTAACAATTGCCAGATGCTCTCTGAGAGGAGACCCTAGCCTGAAAGCTCACTGAATACAGAAGCAGAGAATGTGTCCAGCAGACAGGAGCCAGAAGGATGATCTGAGCACCATCATTTCCTTCTCTGAAACTCAACTATCAGAGAAGTCACTCCTCCTGCCCTGGAAAGGGCAAATGATGAGGTGGAGAGAAGCAGGGGCATGTCTTCCTCACATGGTTTTCCCTCCTGGAGAGCAGAGTAGAAATGATCTCCCTCTATGAGAACATGGAGTTGAGAATAAATATTCTTGCATCTTACCCTTCAAAGTTGGGCAAGGGAACTAATTTTATCTACAGTCAGAGAACTGGATTTCTACCTATCATCTATGTACACTTCATTTTTTCATTATTCCTTATATACATGAATGAGGTAGCTGGTGGCTATTGGGCACAGAGAGAGGCAGACAGGTTTGACACGTGCACCCTCTACCCTTAGCTTGTTGAATTTAGCTAATAATCTAACTTCTCAGAATCTAATTTTCTTACATGAAAAGGGATTATACATACTTACCTCCTAGAGTTAGAATTAAATGGAAATAAATGTGAAAGGACTGGCATACAGGTACTGAGTTGATACCATTTTTTTCCCTTCTCTAAGTCTTATTCAGTACTAGTTTAGAAATTAAAATCTGTATGAAATCAAACCCTGTAAGTTTTTTCCAGACCCTGCCACTTGGTTGATCTCTTGATAGTCACTGAGACTAAACATCCGGCTTTTCTGGCCTTTAAAAAAATTTTTTAAGTAGACTTTATTTTTTAAGCAGCTTTGGGTTCTCAGTAGAATTGGACAGAAAACACAGAGAATTCTCATATACTTCGATCTCCCCCACAGTACAGTTTCTCCCACTAACAATGTCTTTCACGCTGCTTGCACTGCAGTGGTACATTGATTATTCTTCCATGAACCTTTTCTGACACATCATTATCTCCCAAAGTCCACAGTTTACAAAAAAAGGTCACTCTTAATGTTGTACATTCTAGGGGTACATTCTATTGACACACATACAATGAATGACATGTATCCACCATTATAGTATCATACAGAGGAGTTTTGGTGCCTTAAAGATCCTCTGTGCTCCACCTAGTCATCTCCCCCTCCCCCAGCCCCTGGCAACCATACAATGAAATCTTATTCAGCCTTAAAAAAGAATGTCCTGCCACTTGCAGCAACATGGATAAAACTGGGGGGCATTGTGCTATACGAAATAAGCCAGACACAGAAAGAAGGAGACTGCATGATCTCACTTACACATGGAATCTAAAAAAGTTGAATACATAGAAACAGAGAGAAGAATGGTGGTTACTGGGGTGGGCAGTTGGGGAAATGGGGAGAAACTGGTCAAAATGTATCCAGAAATCACCCCTGAAGAACTTATCCAGCTGAGCGTGATGGCTCACACCTGTAATCCCAGCACTTTGGGAGGCCGAAGTGGGTGGATCACTTGAGGCCGGGAGGTACAAACCAGCCTGCCCAACATGGTGAAACTCCGTCTCTACTAAAAACCTCCAAATTATCCTGGTGTGGTGGCATGCCCCTGTAATCCCAGCTACTTGGGAGGCTGAGGCACGAGAATGGCTTGAATCTAGGAGGTGGGGGTTACAGTGAGCCGAGTCCACACCACTGCACTCTAGCCTGGGCAACAGAGCAAGACTCTGTCTCAAAACAAACAAACAAACAAACAAACAAACAAAACAACTTAAAAGAAGTTATCCATGTAACCAAACACCATCTCATCCCCAAAACCCTATTGAAATAAAAATAATAAAAATTTTAAATTAATTTGAACTAAAAGAAATCAACAAAAATGCACAATGCCACAGTAATAAAAACTTGTATCTTCTCTAGAACAAAAAAAAAGTATAAAGCTGCAGTTATGTAGAATGAGTAAGTCTAGAGATGTAATGTATAGCATGATACAGTTAATAATCCAGTGCTGTATACTGGAAATTTGCTGAGAGAGTAGATTTTAGGTGTTCTCACCACATACATGCTTAAAAATAATTACTATGTAAGGAGATGGATATGTTAATTAGTTATCATTCACTGTGTATATGCATATCAAAACATCACGTTTTATACCTTAATTATTAAAAAATTTATATAAAAACTTTAAATGCATATATACAGATGGCAAATAAGCACATGAAAAGGTGTCCAACATGATATGTCATCAGGGAATTGGAAATGAAAACAAGTTACCACTACATAACTATTGGAATAGCAAAAAGCTGACAACTCAAAATGCTGGAAAGGATGTAAAGCAATAGGAAGTTTCATTCATTGCTGGTAGAAATGCAAAATGGCACGGCCACTTTGGAAGACAATTTGGCAGTTTCTTTCAAAACTAAACATACTCTTGCTATATGATCCAGCAATGGTGCTCCTTGGTATCTAACGAAATGAACTGAAAACTTATGTCCACACCAAAACCAGCACATAGATATTTATAGCAGCTTTATTTATAGTTGCTAAAACATGAAAGTAGCCAAGACGTCCTTGAGCAGATGAATAGATTTAGTAAACTGTGGTACATACATACAATGAAATGTTACTCAGCACTAAAAAGAAATGAAATTTCAAGCCATAGAAAGACATAGAGAAACCTTAATATTACTAAGTGAAGGAAGCCAGTCTGAAAAGGCTATCTACTGTATGATTCCAACTATATGACATTCTGGATATACACAAAACTACGGAGACAGTTTTGTTTTAGTGCCGATTAAAGATTCCTTAAAAAAATGTATCTTCCATTATTATCAAATGGTACTTAAATGCGATCATCATATATTCCTATTTTTGAGTTAAGACATTTAGGATATTAAGCTTGGAAAAAACCAATAAGACAAAACATCATCACAAAACAAAATCCCCAGCCTCCTAGGGATTCTACCACAGTATATGACTATTGCTATTATCACCTTGGAAGAAAGTTTCCAGGTTTACTTAGAAGAAAATAAGGAAAGTGTAAGAATGTTTTGATTATGAGATGAAGACCCCGTAGAATCATACATATGAGTTAAAAGAAACTTTTAGCTCCAACCCCTTCATTAAATATAAATAAATAACGAATACATATATTCATTAATAATAATGAATTAATTAATAAATAATGACTAGATATATACACACACATACAGGGAAACTAAGACAAAGAATACCTAAATGACTTGCCCACAGTTTTACATTTAGTTAGCAATTGGGCCTGGTCCAGTCTTTGACTTCTGGCTCACTGCTCTTTCCTCTGGTTCAGATACATGGAGGGAAACAGATGGGGAGATGCAGTGAAGACTCTGGGCAGTCAGGGTGATTTAAGACACCAGGTGCTTTCCAAACAAAGAGAATAAGAAAAGGGACAAAAGTGGCTGGAACATGTTGAAGACAAACATTGCAAATTTTATGATGGAGCCCCAAATGAAATATGCTTTAAGATTATGGCTGAGTTCCTGAGTTTTCTATTTGGACCCCAGCCTTGCTTTTTTTACTGGCCACTACCAAACCAAGCTAGTAGGTTTTCCTAGCTGTTGACTCAGTATTTGTCACATGATTACAGATTCTCCTACTTAGTGATGATTAAAAGTCTAAAGCAAGATTGGTGTTTTAAAAAAATCAGTATCCTATCATGGTTTAAATATAAAGTATTGAGCAAGTGGGCCAGAAACAAGCAAGGGACTTTCTTTCCTATATCAGTAATAATAAACATTGTCATAAAATTGAAGTTACATCCTCTCTTGAGGGCAAGATACTGTGCTGACAGTGCTTTTTACTTAACAGCCCTAACAACCAACTCAAGCATAAGCATAGCAGCCATAAAGAAACATCTGCTGAACCAGAAATGTAGAGACAAATGAAATTTGTGACAAAAAGAGAAGATGGCACTGGATGCACAGTCAATCTGGGATTCAGGTCCATATCCTGCTTTTTAACCCCAGAGCTGATGCCTTGTACAACTGAACCAGGGAATCACACTAAGATTTTTGTCATACATCTGGGAACTGAATAGAAATCAATCAACATTTAGAAACCAGCTACTAAATCCCAGGCTCTGGGATACAGAGAAGGAGAAAGCAACTTTCTTACCCCCAAGGAGAGCATTATACAAAGCAATGCTTGCCTTGCAGTAGGACAGAGATAGGTGGTGATATGGTTTGGCTGTGTCCCCACCCAAATCTGATCTTGAATTGTAGTTCCCATAATCTCCACGTGTTGGGAGAAGGACGTGGTGGAAGGTAATTGAATCATCAGGGCGGTTACTCTCATGCTCTTCTTGTGATAGTGAGTGAGTTCTCACGAAATCTGATGGTTTTATAAGGGGCCTTCCCCTTTCACTCTCATTTCTTCCTGCTGCCACCATGTGAAGAAGGATGTGTTTGTTTCTCCTTCCACCATGATTATAAGCTTCCGGAGGCCTCCCAGCCATGCTAAACTATGAGTCAATTACACCTCTTTCCTTTATAAATTACCCAGTCTTGGGCATGTCTTTATTAGCAGCATGAGAAAGAACTAATACAGATGGACTTAGAACTCATCCAGTGCTCCACCTGGATGCCAAGCTTCAGAGAGGTAAAGCACTGTAGAGAGGTAAAGAAATGAGTTCAAGGCAGAAATAGAACTCTATCTTCTTGCTTCCTCGCCCAGTGCCCTTTCCAACACAACAATTCAAAATGGTATGTTATTTTACTATCTTTTCTTGTCTTCATTATTCAAAATCTTTGTTTCTGACTTTTAGAAAGAGATTTTCTAACAAAAACTCTCCAGTTAAATATTATTGGACCAAGTTCTCATCCTATGGTAACTTAAAACACAATCTCAATTTCTTTCAAATACTAAGAATATACACTATATTATGTTATTTCATAGACTACTTTTCTGGAATATAGTTTTTCCTTTTTGGAAGAGGAAACAGTTTAAGCTAGATAAGGAAGAACTCAGATTTCACATACCAACAAAAATCTTTGTATTACAACCCACAGCTCTGCTTACCTAGAAAGCAAGACCTGCAAGATCACAGGTGAAAAGATAGGGTTCCTTCTTTCAATACTTGGTTAATTAACCAAGGATATCTACAAGGTGTTAGCCGAACACTCCAGAAAATATCACATTTACAATGCATACAAAGTATAGCTAAATGCCTTTGCCTACATTAGCCAGCCATTTATTGCTTATTGCGACCTCAGCAAGTATTGAGTTGATTCATTGTAAGCCTCTGGTTTGTAGAGCAAAGGCAGCAAAAAGTAAATCAGAACTCCCCACTTCCAAGAAGAGTGCCAGTTTCATTTTCCTGACTACCTATGAGTAAACAACTCCTATGTAAGTACTAAAATGCAGGATCTATGGAACTTTGATTCTCAATTTAAAAGGTAAAGAGCAAGGTGATCTTTCATGATCCTTTTCCTCAGGAAGCAACAGTTCTGTCTTTGCTTCTGTCTCAGAAAATAAAAAAAAAATGCTATGAAATTTAAATTATTATTACCTTATTTCACAAACTGAAAGTCTAAGTGAAATAAAAATCCTGAATGAAACATTTCACCCCATTTGACTCCTCATCAAAATTACACAGTAGAACATATGTGTAGTAGAGGAGCTTTAAGGAAGAAATAATATTGGTTTTAAGTGTCTACCTTTATTCAAGAATAAATTATTAATGGAAAAAAGTTTTAATTTTTAGGTTGAATTAAAGCATGCTTTCAATATCATCTTCCCTTCTCCCTGATGTAATTAACCAATTCAGCAGATAAAATTCATCTTATGTTGAAACATGCATTTAAATGAAGTCTGAAAAATAATTAACTAAGAGAAGAGGCAATTAGACAACACGTTTCTGTTGTGCCACAGCAAGTTCGTGCTTGTAAGTGTGAGCACACTGGGTACTAGTATAAGAATATCTGCCATTCTAAATACCTATATTATTCACTGGGAACTGATTACTTTATTCACATGCTATTTATTGGTTCCCTGCTATATGGAAGACACTGCTAGTCCCTAGAGGAGAGTTGAAAAGTTATAAACTAATCCCTGATATCCTAGAAGTTGAAATCTGCTAACAGAAAGAAAACACATGAAGGATCGCAGTGCATGACAGTATAAAATAAGTGTCATGTCAGCATCAAGAAGTGATAAATAACCTAAAAATCAGTTGTTTTGAAATGGATCTTGCATTGTGCCCATGAAAAATTAAATGATGTAGAAGAAGGATTTGAAGAATAACTATTCTGCCTGATAATAACAGAAGGGCAAACAATGGTTATTAACACAAAAGAAATGCCAAAGTATAAGAAAAGGTACGAGATGTGCAATTAATCACAAAGCCATAAGAATCTTACAGCGGTCATATAGTTTATATATAACTTTTATTTATCAAAATATAAAATATTTTCTTCTTTGTGATTCTAATCACACTAGGACACAATTACAGGAAAAAAAAGAAAAGCACAAAATATTAAAATCTAGGCACTGTGATTAACTAATTCAAACAGATAAAATTCATCTTATTTCAAAACATTCAAATAAATGAAGTTTCAAAAATAATCAACTAAGAGAAGAGGCAATCATACAACACATTTCCGAGGAACATTTACTATGTGCTTGGCATCATGAAAGGCACAAAGAAGAAATCAGAAGGGAAGCTTTTTGAAGGAAGAGAATATACCTCATTCACAATTTTATCCACAGTGCCCATACTACCTGACTCATAGGAGATCATCAACTAATATTTTTAAAGAGATAAACTTAGACGGATGAATGATTGAATAAACAAATGAAGGAGAGAATCTCTAACTTTTGGCATTCATATTAGTAACATATTCATTCTAGTTCTAGAAAAACGTTATACCAATTTGTAATAGAAAATTGAGATTAATGCTAGAAAACTAAATTTAAAGCCAAATAGGAAGAAAGCGGGGGTGGAGGGGAATACTAAGATCTGAGGAAAGATGGTGACTTCAATTGAACATTATATTTATTTCTGAGTTTTCTACTAGTTAAGGAAAAAGAGAAGCAATTACTTTTTCAGTTCTTATTATCTGATTAAAGGGAAACATCTCCACAAACAGACGTTTTTTATCTGGAAGTATAAGAGAAATTTACATATAGAAACATACATATAAAAATTTATATATAAGGAACTCTGTGATTAATGGGCAATGACATCAATAGCCTCTTGCAGATAATATAGAAAGGCTTTTCATGTGGTCCTTTGTTTTGCTGACTTTTGATAAAAACTAAAACAATGGTAATACGCTGTAACTCAAATAAGGCATTTTATGTCAGTTAAGCTTGTTGTTTTCTAGTGATTTACCGAATTATAAATAAATTTTGAAAAAAATGTAAAGGAATAAGTGAACACTGCCAATCTCAAATACCAGTTATCTCCCTTTGATACTATTAGCCCGAGCTGGGTAGTAGTCAACTTAACATTGAGGTCTTTACAAAGAATGCCTAGAGTATGGACTCCTTCGCCTGCTAACTGCATGCTTACCATATGTATATCTAGAAGCTTAGAACCAAAAACTGAAGAATTAAATTTGAGGGTGCTAAAACCAGTTTTTGAAAGGGTGACTCCTTCACTAAAACCAAGTGAAAGGGGACTTTAAATTGAAGAAAAATTAAATGAATGATGTGCCTTTTTTCTGAAACTCAAGTCAGGACATATTTGTAGACTAATTGACTGAGTATATTATAAAATGAATTTAGATTGTAAAGTTGTTTTTAAAAGAAAGAGGATAAAATTATCTTCTATTTTTATATCATTGAATTTGTTTTTGGAAGCATGTCATGTAATATATAGATTACCACATCCTTTGCATTTAACATATGATTGCCCAAATACTTTAGTAAAGGGAAACATACTGGAGTCACATTTACTCGAGGAACTACAGTATATAATTTCTGGAAGAAAAGATCAAAGATGACAATTTATCATTTTTATTTACCGCTAGTCATTTTATTTCTCAAATAAAGACGGAAAATGTTCAGTGGTAGCCTTTTCAGGCAAAGTCAAGACAGCCTAGGCCAAGCAGATGGGTGATTCACTGGCAATATCGATGGTTTTGTCTGAATTACGAATTCCACTGGTTGAGGCTTTGCTTCAGTTCACCCATAGAGTCTCTAACATAACCAGCTTTGCAGTGATGTAGGCCTGTCCAGCTCTACTGTAAATCACTCCATGACAATGAGGGTGAATTCTGAAATTCATTTCCATAAATGTTCCCTGAAGTGGTACCATAAATTTTAACACAAAATTGACCTTAAAGATTTGCTAAAATATTAAATGCATGTGTAAAATATTTATTAATCTTTTCTTCATTATTTCAAAGTCATTCTGTTCAAATGGAATTCATGCACTTGAAAGAAGAATTGATAGCTTTTTTAATCTTTTTCATTTATAAATTTCTAGTTTGTTGTTGCTGTACATTCTATAAACAAAATATTTAACTAATAGAGAAGATCATTAGGAAGTGTGAGAAAGTATCAAGAGGGAAGTCTGCAGGAATAGATACAACAATTGGAGTATTAGAAATACTTTGAGAATGAATGACAATACAGAGAGCAAATTATCAAGCTCCCCTCCCGCCCAAAGCTGAATGGCATGTCCATCTCATTTAATGATGTATGTCTTCTGTTATAAGCTAATTTTCAGGGTTTTCCATGAATCTGCAGAGAATTTTTGAATGGCCAAGAAAAGAGAACAAAACCAGAAAATATGCAGATACACATTAAACAACAAAAGGATCACATCAATAAACATTCATGAAGTGCTTCCCTATGTGCACACCTGCCAACTCTTTGAGAAGTTATAAGAAGAAGGAATCATAGTTTCTTCCCAAAAAGTTAATATGCTGGTTTGAATGAAAATATATGGATGTAGATAACACTATTTTTTCCTTATAACAAATTTTCCTTAAGATGATGCTTTTACAAATATATTATCACAGCATTTTTATTCATTGTGGCAAAGGACATGCGCACATTTTCTTGAAAACAGTGACAGGTTAGCATCATTTGACCCTATCCAGGTTACTATTTTAAGGTTCATATACCTAGATATATAATAGACAATCATAACTTCTTTACAGGGTACATTTGGTAAGGGCAGATGCCAATAATGTAGGATGAAGAAGTGGCTCCAAGATGAGTCTACTCTATTCCACAAGTCTTAGTCAGATATCTCATAAATGGGGGCCACTGTTCACAATGGGTACCTTCATCAGAAATGTGGATCAGGCACTAAAAACAAAAAAATTAAAAACCCTAATCAAATCAAACAAACCAAAGCACATGACTTACAGCCCATGGTTTAGTAGATTCATTTTTATACATGGATGGCAGCATACTGTTATCTGTGATTGTTTTTAACTCATGACTGCTGTACATAGTTGAAAATGTTTCTACACCTCAGTTTCCACCAGCTTTCTAGGTCTGACTGGAAAGCCAAAACTACTCATATGCTCTAATATAGAGCCTGCACCTGCTATCTGTTATTTACTTAGCTGCTGTAGTTGTCCCTTTAGAGGCATGTTGCTGTTTGAATCTAATATTTTGCTCAAATTGAGCCTTCCCATATACTGCTTGTCTAAATTTTATTTGAACTTCCCATAATAAAAACAAAAGTATGCTCTCTAGACCTCTGTCTCGAAACTAGATTTTCCAAATATGTGCTTGACTTATACTTTCCTTTGGTCATTGTTCTTATGAGAACTAACTCAGTTGACTGAGACACTGAACAATAAGGATTGCCAGAAAACTATAAACAGTGATGCCATATAATAATATCCTAAAAGATGGGTAAGAGGAACATTGACATTCCTATTTATGCTGTTACAATTCTAGCTAGAATTGGGAATTGATAGGTTTAAGAATGTGAAATCAACTTCACTCTTCAATCATTTCAGTTGTGAACCCTCTGATACTGAAAAAGGAAGTAGGTCATGGTTAGTCATTCACAGAGAGAGTCCTAACAGGGACATAAATGGAAAATACTGAGGTCCTGTACACAGGCACTGGTAAGGTATGAATTCCCACTGCTGGCACAACAGAATTGTCGAGGTCTGGAACATGGGGTAACAGATATTGGGTTGGGTGACACAGCTTGCTGAGTTGTAGGATTATTGCCTTGTATGCCTATCTCTGTGCTGACAGCTATGGGAGGTAGGTGGTAGGAGAAGCAGCAAACTCACAGTTTTAGGATCCTCCTATTTAACAGAGATATCTCATTCCATATGACAGTGAAGATCACCAAACCTTAGGTATGTCTCCATGAAATACATGGAGCCCGGGGCATACACCTGTACCCTTTACAACATATATTCTTTGCTGTGTTATGAATGAACCAGAATAGAAGCAAATTTGAACTAAATCCAAGTCATTGATCTTGGTCATCTTTGAATATAGATAAGAATCCTTGGTCTACCCTAGCAGAAATAGAAATTATGACAATTAAAAGGAAGCTTACATTATTAAAAATCCTCTTCTGAATTTTCATGAAATTAGAGGTCCTGAGGTTAACCTGGTGGTATGGATTGTATTTCAAAAGGAATTTTTCTTTTAAAGACAGTGTGTATGTGTGTATGTGTGTATGTGTGTGTGTGTGTGTGTGTGTGTGTGTGTGTGTGTGCCTGTGTCTGTGTTGGTAAGTACAGCTCTATATTCTTTTTTTAATTATATTTTTCCCTACATTGTTAGGTGGCATTTTTTTGTTTACGTCAAATTAATATCCTATACCATTATTATTTTGTAATTTTATTTATAAATGTACTATAAAATACTTAGACTATGAAGAACTCATGTTCTTAGGAAAATAAGCATTCAAATATTGAGAAATATATAATAAAATCATAAGATACGGTCTTCTATTCAGAATATGTATTATTAGCGTCTTCTTTGTTATGGGCCATAAAAACCATTAACTATAATAGGTTCTTTCAGTCAGTAAGTATTTATTGAACATCTGCTCTCTTTAAAGCACAACTATAAGAACCACGAGAATATAACAGAGTCAAAAAACAAAGTCCTGACCCTGAGGAACCTGTGCAGAGGATGAAGCAAGAAGATACATACGGAAGGCTGGTGGAGAAATTACAAGGCATTATGGGCACATAGTGCAATGGTTCAGTACTCATTTCTGGGCCGGTTATCTGTTTAAGGATAACTCTAGGTGTGGTCCCTGCCCTCAGGGAGCTAACAGTCTAGAAGGATAAACACAAATAAATGGCCATTTTCAATACCACTTGATGTTAAAATAGAAATATGCAAAAGAAGTAGAGATTATAAACACAATTACTAGAAGTCTGTCCAGATCAGCTCCATAGTGGTTTTATGGAGAATGCCTATTGAAATAGATGAGTTTGTGTCTTAGCCTTGAAGGATGTATAGGATTAGGATAGGTAAAAAGAGCAGTAATGGAGGGGCATATTAGGTAGTGGGAACAAAATGGACATAATCTCTGAGATAGGAATGAATAGTAGGAGCTGTGTAGGGGATGGTGAGGATCAGATAGACCAAAGAAGAGAGGGTTAGGAAGCAGCTGTGAGGTATGAGTTGCAGAGCTTAGAGACAGCCAGTTGATGTCCACTTTGAATATCATCAAACTGCAGAACCTGGACTCAATTTGATCTGCCATAGAGAGACACTGAGTGTGGAATCATTACTGTTGCAGTATGGGGTCTCTGGAAAGGCAGACTCTGAAACAGAATTTAGTGTTTAAGATGTTTATAGAGAGTAGGAATCAATGGGATCAATGTGTACACAGGGAGAAGGAGAAAGGAGAATGAGGCTGAGAGGGAAGTCAGTTGACACCACTAGGAGGTCTACCACTGAAAGGGGCTGGAAGAATGTCTTGGGTTGGGGTCTTCCTACCTCTGCTGTGGTTAGTCATTGGATGGGGGGAGCTCCAGAAATGGGAGTGACCTTGGACCAGGCAGCTCCCTGTAGCCAAGGGCAAGTCCTGATGGGCTGACAGGCTATCCCCTGGGAGCACTCCCAGCAATTGGGAGAAGTCATTCCTTGAAGGAACACCTGGGGAGTCAGAGTTACCAGTAGTTTTCAAAGTATGGTCCTGGAACCATCAGTATCTCAACACTTGGGGACTTGTTAGACATGCAAATTATCTTGCCCCACCTAAGACCTGGTGAATTACAAAGTCTGGGGGTGGGGCCATGCAGGAATCTGTTTACCTAGTCTTCTTGGTGATTATGATATAAGCTGAAGTTTAAGAACAACTGGTAAAATGGGTACTTGAAAGATGAGAATGAGTTTATGATCACTGAGTAAATTAAGGAAGTGCAAAAAGCCTTGTTTGCCAATACTCTACATCTAACTTCTTAATTGTGCTGCTTTGAAACCACATGTAAACACTCTAAAAAGAAATGAAATAGGGGATGTCCTCTTTGTTTATTATCATCTCCAAACACCCAGGATTTGGGTGGTAAACACTGTGTTTCTGATCTTGGTATTAGAAACATAGTATTTATTTAAATGCTAGATCCTTCTTTCATGCCAATTACTATCTCCAGATGAAAAATTCTGTGTGGCATTCCTAAAAGAACCTCCTATACACCAAATATTTGCATGGCAAAAGTTCATATCATAATGTACTTTTGTACTTTTGGCTGTAGGTTGTTCTGTGTCCCTGAAGCAAAACTTTATTACATGGAAGTCTTTGGAGTCTAAAAGAGTAGTGATTCACCTATCACTTGTGGGATTGACTAAAACCAATCAGAAGGCAGGGTGTTCTGGAACTCTGGTTTCTAATGCACACCGAGTCCTGTGGCACACTACTAGCTGTCCCCTCAATGCATTCTCCTAGTCTTGCTGGGCACACAGCAGCTCAGCTAGGGACTACATTTCCCAGACTTCCTTGCAGTGTGAGGTGGACACCTAAGTTTGGGTCAATAGGATGTGCGAAAAGTGAGGAATGCAATTTCTAGTTATTTTCAACTTAAAGACAATCAGCTTTCCCCGGACTTCCTCCCAAACCCACTCCCCGCTGGGGCTGGAATACCAAAGTAGCAGCAATCCAGCTTCGGCCATGCTAATGAGGACTACTTACAGGATGGAAGAAAAACATGTAAGGAACTTGTGTCTCTGAATGATCTAAAGGTTCAGGGCTACCCTGCAGTCTAAGCCAGAATGTTAGGTAAGAGAGAAACAAACCTCTAACATTTTTGTTTCAGCGCTTTACATTAGCTTAAACATTTATAGACAGCTAGGTTACAGGAAAACTCCTGAAATTAAATAAGGAAATAAAATCACCAGTGATGTCCTTCACGATACTGAACTGCCTGGAAAAAATTGACTTTAATATTACCATAGATGCTACATTGAATTATTTCTTAATCTTGAACAAAGTACGAAGAAGTCACACCAGTTTTAAAAGGTAGATGAGTGACTCAAAAGTCCTACTGAATAAATAAACAAAGGTGCTCAAGAAGTGTTTCATCTATTACTGATATAACATAAATTAACATTTAATAGAAACTTAAATTTTTAAGAACAAACTTTACCAGTCTGAAAATGGTAACTATTGTTCCACAGTACAAGTCAGTGCTAGAAGGTAAGCTCCAGGAGGGTAATGAATTATGGCTTATTTATTGTTAAATTAACAGAACCTAGAAAAAATTCCTGGAATAAAATAGGCATGGAGTAAAGCTGTAGAATGAACGAATAATACAATCTCTTTCATGGTCCAACATCCATGCATAATCTGAACAGATATATACTAATACAGAATTGAAAGATTTGCACCTATCTTTAAATACGTTAAATCTTCTTAAAAATAAACCACCATTAAGTCATTTTTTAAAATAACATTAAAAAATTCTATGATCCTATAATTAAAATTTTGCTATTACACTAACTGATTAAATTCAAGATTTATGAGCAATTGTGTCAAGGAAAAAATATAAACTCTCAGGCCTATTAAGAAAAATGTAATAGAATCATAAAATTGTATTATATCACAGCCAAATAAACACAGTAAATCCTCTTCTAACAATGCAGTAACATTGGCCTTACAATCTTGACTTGTCTTATACATGGCTTTTACTTTGCATAATTGTGTTTTAGAGATATTTTGAAACTTTTCTAAAACCTAATGACGTGGTATAATGCTTGGGGTATAATGCTATACCCCAAGCACACAATTTATACAAGGTAGAAAAATCAAAAAGACTTTATATTTGGCATTATCTAGTCTATTTTCAGTGAAGAGTTAACTCCTCTAGTTAGACCAACCCTTGCTAAAGTGGGGGAAGCCATTCATTCAATAAATCAATAAGTGGACCAGTTATCTTTGTTCCATTCTTAGGCCAAAGACTGCACTCTTAATTAGGAATCCTTGTTATTGATCACAGAGGGAACCTGGTGAGTAATAAGATGGATAGCTAAATCCATGAAATTACTAGAAAAATCAGTACAAAACCTATTTATTGCATGTATTTAAAGCAACGAGCTCAAATGTCAGCGGAAGTCCAAGAGAGTTGGTTCATGTTCTGGCTCTGAAGTTCTTTTCTGCATAATTTTGGACTTCACTTTAGACTTCATTGTACCATAATTTTTCAATATGTTCAATGCAGATATTATTTGGCATCCATTTAACTCATGGAAACATTAATAGATTAACATGATAAAATGTCTTGAAATAAAGTAAAGGGCTATTGAAGGAAGATATGCTATGGATCCAAGATAGCATTAAACTGATTATTTGAGAGGAATTATCCATAGTTTCAAAAGTATTCCATATCTTATTCCCTATTATCTTGCACTTTAACAGATAATCTTCTTTCCTATATGTTAAGCATGAAAATTCTTAACAATCTTCAAAGGGAAAAATTCCCACAAAACCCAAAAAATAGTTGGTCTCAAAAAAATGAAACCAACTAAAGGGATACTGCACACTAAAAAGGCAATTAAAATGATAAAATATTTCTGTGCTCAGATCTATGGCTGCCAAATTTCTGGTCAACTTCTCAATTTAGAAATATGATCCAATTTAAATGCTTTCTTTTTTTAAATCCCCCTTTGAAATTTTCTGGCATAGTCAGAAAAGGTGATATGAAAGATGAGAAAAATCTTAATTATGTCAGAAAGTACAAAGGACTCTTAGAAAGTAAAAAGCATTTGAAAAACAGTTAAATATTTCCTTAGGATGAAATAGCCAAATGACCCGACTGTGGTTTGAGGAGGTTTAATATGTTTCAGGATAGGTGTAAATCCTTTAATATTACCTTTGTATATGTCTGTTCTGATTATCCATGGATGTTGGACCATAATGACCAATCTATGCTAAGTAGTCAGTCCCCATCTCTGTATCAATTCTTGGTCACTGTTTAAGAGACTTGTTCTGGCTCTTAGTTTTAAAATCTTACTAGAAGATAGGTTAAAACCTAATATGCTCTAATTTTCTACATTCCTTGTATGTGCTTACTCTGGTTTCTCCTCTATGCGAAGCTTTATTCTTCAAGCCTATTCTTCTAGTCCCTATGGAGTCTACCCCATTTTAAAGCTGATAGAGTTAGCTCCTTTCGGTCAAATACAGTATGTTCATTCTTATTCTCAACCCAGGAGGACATTTCTTTGGCCATTAAAAAACCTAGTTTGAAAGCGTGTCTGAATTTTCTGATGTGTGTTAAAAAATACAAACAAGAAATCTCATTGTGCTTGTATCCATCTCCAACCTGAACAAAACAAGTGACAAATCATCCCTCTTCCTAACCACTTCCCTTCATTTGTACCTTTTCTCTAGTCACCCAAACACAAAGTCTAATTTTAACCAAGTAAATATTTGATAATTTCAGATAAATTACTTAAGACTCCTATGAAAGCAACTGATATTCCCAAAGCATTAATTTTTAAAAAAAATTTAAATAAATATACATGAAGACATATATAATTGTGTACAAACAGGTTGGAAGAAAATGATTACAACTTTTTGTAAAGAAGTCTTTAAATCTATCCTTTTAAATACAACTTCATTAGTGTTATAGTTATTTAAGGTATCCTACCAAGGAAACAGAAAATTTTCAATTCTGTATGCAAATCTTGTCATCCTCACAAAAACTGGCCCCCAGCTAAACCACTGACTCTTGGACTGTCCCTTGAACCAGATACAAGTCAGAAGAAATCAGTATAACTTCTGCCCTAGTTGATGACAGAAATTGGCTTAATATCTGTGTGTTATGATTACAATGGTTTCTAGAGCTACACACAGCCTGAAGGTTTTTAAGAAAAAGTTACAAATGAGTTTGCTAAAATATTCTCAAAGTTTTAAAATTTTACCTTAAAAAAAGATTGCCATGGAAGGAAAGTACATGGGAAAATATTAGTTTTTCACTTTAATAATTACATTTAGTAATTACATTTCAATAATTACATTTCAATACTCAGTGTCTGCTTAAAATACATATTCAAATAAAGATAAAAGCTATCTCAGGACATGGTAAGGACTGTAAAATTCAACTTAAATGCATTCTGTTAAGGATAATTTCATTTTTACTTTGTTCCAATACCCTAGCCCACACCTAGGAATTTGGCTTGGTGGTAGTAGGCAGTATAAAGCAGAGCAGCCACCATGCGCTAACAATCTCAGTACATCTGCTGTCATCCAACATTTCAAATCTTCAGTCTGCAATTATAATAGGAGAAGGGAATCAAGAGTTTATTTATTTTGGGCAGCCCTTTATGAATGAATGCAGTCACTAAAAGGCTAATTGTGTCTTCTGAGCTATTAATTGACTTAGCTCCAGGAGTACTGTATAAAACATATGGCACAAGATCCAAGCAACTGTCCAGGGCTGTGCACAGGGGGCATTTGGCTTCTCTTTGAAAAGAAGAACCGAAGGTAATCCCTTTGCAGCTGCAGTGCAGATGGTTTTCTTTACACCATTTCACTGAATACTAAACAGAAACTGGAAAAAGTTTGGAAACATAATAAACAAACAGCTGAGTGTTAGCTTAAATGCTCTCTGCATCTATCAGAGGGAAGCATTCAGAATCTCTGGATGTTTACCAGATAGTTTAAAGGAAACATAGAGACGTGAAAACTGGATGAAATGATTTTGAAATTGTACCTAAATATGGTTCTATGTGGTTTTCGTCAAAGCAACAATATAATTAAATCTCTCTGAAACTTCAGTTATGGGTGTCATGATTCATAATCCTCGACATCATAAAAAGTTTAGGTTTCCTCGGAAATATGCTGAAATGGATAAAGCTAAAATCACCCTTCCTATAGGAGTTACTTGAAAATCACCGTTAACCTTCATTCTTCTTCCTTAATGTGGCAACCTAAAACCCTGTCATCTTTCCCAAATAAAAATGCACAGTGAAGCTCAATTACCGTTTCAACTTCACATCATTTTTCTACACTGGCAGAAAGAAACCATCAAATAAGAGCCTGGTTGGTGGGCAGGCAAAAAGCAAAGTCATATCAATGAAGAGATTTGGCCTGTTAATATTCAGTAGGTAATAAATAATAATGTATTTAGCTCACTGAAGAAGACTAAGATATTAATACTAAAAACAAATCAGGTAAATACTAAAAACAAATACTCTTAGACATTGGGATTGCAGTAGTAACAAAATACCTGTCATGCCTATCAACATATATACATTATTTTATATATAGCAAGAAAGACCAAAATATTAGCCTTTTTAGTTCTAATTATGAATAAGATTATGAAAAAGATTATGACTAGTATTTATGGATAACTTGCTTTAACTTTTTTTGGTCAGGTGCCAATCCAGATTTTTCCTAAATAAACATATATTGTATTATCTTTATAAAGAAAAGTTACCTAAAAGACTATGTTACATACTGTATTAATAACAAACGGGCCAGACCAAAAGGTAATATTACTTTATGTAAAATACATTATGAACTAGATAAATATAATAATTTCTTTATGTTTTCTCAAATCTCCTAGAAAATAGTGTTAAAATGAAGTTCTTCAAAACCTGAAATAAACAATTACTACATTTCTCTAACAGGGCAACTATCTGTTTCATCAGTTGGATACTTCATGAGTTTTAAACAACAAAGCAATTCATTAGGCAAAATATATTCTGAAGCCCTACTATCCAATGACACCAAACCGAAAATAATCTAAGAATATAAAATAAAAATTACTCCTCTTTGCCACTGCTCACCCTTTCCCCCATTCTTCAGTTCCAAAAGCTTTACATACACTTTGGAAACAGCAGTAGCTTTGCATTATGAAAAACACGAAAGACAAAGCACACCAACGCCAACTCTAAGAGGTTGGTGGCTGGTGTAAAGGCTTCCTTCCTAAATGCCTGCCATCTGGAGCCGGTGTCCTCACTATTCTGCCTTGCCGGCTTCCATCTCGTTCCCAACTCTCAGCTGGAAATGTTTTGCTTATCCCTTGTTTAGTCCTCTTAATTTCTTTCTTCTCACTTGCTTGATTTCATTTAACTTGGTGAAACAGTACAATGGCTGCATTTAATTCATTTATCAATATTCAGCTAAAAAGGACTATAAGAGAATTCACATATGGCTGCTGATACCATTTCTGGCCCATTGAGTAAAAAGACTCTTAACATTTCAAATTCTTCAGTGAGAAAAATTCAGCTATAAGTCACTGAAGAAATAGTTATAATCAGATAGCATGTGTTGCTAAAGGAGCTATTATGTTACCCATTCCAAACATCTTAATATACTGGGGGCATAAGACCCCTTTCTGGTATGTCAGTTATTAAACAGCCTAAGAAAAGAGCTGAATTGTTGACATGAGAATGAACATTTAAGCTGCTTGTCAGTACTCTGGTTATGGTAAGAACCTTAACCCATTTATTCCTGAGGTTGCAATTTTTTGAATCTTTGCCATCAGACCTTAAGCAGTAGGATATAAATAACTCCCACATGCTTAGAGTTCCGATAATGGAACACTAGGCATAAATGGGATTAATGAGCCTCAAATATCCTCAGTGGCAGAGTTTGAAGCTTGGGGATAAACAGACCACAGCCTAATTCAGTTTGAAAGTGATTAATTATAATAAACAATACCTGAATTTGTGAAGTAGTTTGTACTGATATGTTATTTAAGCCTCAAATATGTGTTTTTCTTCAAATTAATACGACTAAATATTTGAAACTTCAATTATGGGTGCCATGACTTGACATCATAAAAAGTTTGTTTCCCTGAAAATGTGCTGAGATGCGTAAAGCTGAAACCACTTCCATTTCTATCAGGTCAGCAACGTAGAACCCTGTGTACCTACCCTGGGGTGACAGGAGAGGCCATGTTGAGGATATGGGGGACAGATGAAGGCTGGGGTGACTGAAAGATTCCCCAGGCTCTGGCTTCTGATACCAGACCCTATGTACTTGGATATTTTTGATTTGCTTGACATGTACTCGGGTAATGAAACCAGTGAAATTTATTAGTTTTTTTTATTGGTTTGACAGTCATTTTTCTTAAGGAAAAAAATAAATATTATTGCTTTTTAGCAATTTTCTCTATTTTTATAACACTGTAAAATATTTTCCTCATACAGTGGAGAAGCACAAGGCTTAATTGTTTAAAAATCACCAATTCTAGAATGACCTTAGTGACTCATAAAGAAGATATCACAGAAAATCCTAAAAATCAAATCTATGAAGGCCTTAATGCCAAGCATTAGCCTGGTGAGAAATGTGATAAAGGTTCATATATTCATAAACAAATATAAGGGATGGCAATTTATTATAAATATCATTCTGGGCTTATTCATCAATGCAGCTGGAACAGGTGAAGGTAAGTGTACAAACAACTTTCCCTTTTCTTTTTTTATTTTTATCCAGACAATTTTTGGCAGAAGTATTGGTTTAGCTTCTATAGCAATTTAATTAAAATTGAAATAGTCTGTGTATTTTTTGTTTAATTTTTAAGCTATGGTAATTTAGAGCTATTATATACAGTAAAGTGTTATGCAAACATTGTAAACAAATGAAGACATCCAAGAGAGTATTATCATGGATATGTGCTGTATTTATTGCCTGGCATCTCGTACCCTTTCTGGAAACAGCATCCTGGTTTTTCTTCATGCAACCACCCTTCCCTAGTTGTTAGTCCATGCAGTTTAAGTAGAATTGACTCCACCTCTGGCTTAAGAGGGGCCCACCTAATAAGAGCATCCTAACCCTCTGGCCACAGTGATTGGCTCAGGGACAGGCATATGACCTAAGCCATTCAATAAGATTCAAGTTAGAACTTTGCTGCTACTTCTACCTCTATTCTTCTCCAGGGATAATCACTGATAGCCTGTTTCATATGTACTCGTCCAACCTTATTTCTCTGACACATATATTTGGTGATGGAATAAACCTATAGATACATATATCCACATATGTATATATACATAAATGTACCTATGTAGTTTCTAAATAGAGTGGTACAATATAGGAAGTGAATCTCTTTTACTCAGATTATTTACATCTTTCCATTTCAGAGCAACAGATCTGCCCTAAATTCTTAATCTCTGTATTCTAACAAATAGAGAAAATAATTTACAATCTAATCAATAGGATGTCCTATACCATAGCAGACTATGAGGGTAGAAAAACCCTAGCTGAAGCAACAGCTCATTTCTGATCACCCTCTGCATCATTATTTGGCACCTCAGGAGTGACACAGGAGTTAGAAGGAGCCAGTGATAAAGGGGGAGAAAGTCCTATGGAAGTGGTGGGCTTAAGAAAAATGGAGACAGAAATGCAGTATAATTCAGAAGAGAGAAACAGTGTAATCTGAAACAAGTCTCGCTGCTATCTTCTAGGAGCTGGCATCAGAAGGCTTTATTTAGCAGGAGGACAAGGCATATGTTGGTTCTAATGAAACCAGGCTCAGGCTAGACTTGGAATTAAGTTACATATCCTGGATCAGGATTGGGAGTTTGGGACTGAAGTCTCAATTGTCTCACAGAAGATGGAGGCTGGGGTAAATGAAGACAGAGAAGAAGGGAAAACTTGTTTCAAAATCATGAACATTAACTCATAATGAGAACTCATAATGAGATCTTATTGTTTGCAAAGTTACTAAGAACAGGACACTCATTTCGTTTTTCATTTATCCTCACCTAAAATTCCATGTATAGATGATACTTCTTTATGTATTTCTCTCTTCTTAAAAGAAAAAAAAAGGCAAATCAAGCAAATGCCAAGTCTGTTTTTATTAAAATATACATACATTCACACAACTGGCATTTTCAAGTGGTACTGCATTTTTTATGGCAACTAGTTTGCTTAATAAAAACTCCTAGAAGACCTGACACAGCATGAAGCTGAATTAGAGTTACGAGGAATCACTTTGCAGTAAAATGTTTTCCCCTATATTTTACCACTAACCTCTTTTTTCAGGATTAAGGACATTGTGAAAAAGTTGTCATAAAATCAAAGGATATAGAATGGAAAGAGGTACATGAAGAGTTTTTCTAACTTTCTAAATCATCTTATTTTTATACTTTATTCAATAACTAATTCTCATTTTAAACTGAAACTCCCTCTCTTATTGAATTCATTTGAGCAAAAATTGAAGTCAAACTGTTTTTCCTTTTTTTATTTGGTCCTTTTAACAGAAAAAAATTACCATTTTGCAACATTACTTCAGGTCTGTTTTGGGTATGAAAATTCTTAATTGTCTGTGGGTTAAGAATTATTTAAAAACATAAAGTTAAAACATTTCTTTCTTTTTTTTTTTTTGAGACAGGGTCTTGCTCTGTCAGCCAGGCTACAGTACAGTGGTGTGATCATAGCACACAGTGGCCCTGATCTCCCAGGCTCAAAACATCCTCCCACTTCAGACTCCTGAGTAGCTGGGACTACAGACGCATGCCACCACACCTGGCCTATTTTTTCTAACACGCCTGGCCTAAAATATTGTTTAATCAAAGTCAGGCTACCAGAGGGAATGGTGGAAGGATGTTAACTGTAGATAAAAATAAGAAAGCTAAGAAGTATAATTATGAAGAGACAGATCAGAAATTCTAAGCAAACACACCAGGATTTTTTTTTTTTACTTTCTATAAATACTGTCCTAGACTAATTTAATATTTATTAACTCTACTAAAGTAGTTCCATCACCCAATTTGTAAAGTGCATTTTTTGCCTGAGTTTAAAATAGAAAGAACACTTTAAAATTACACCAAAAGGAAAGAAATTTTACTGTACTGTTTCCTCAGATAAAATAATTTCATCTCAACTAATTTCCTGGACAGAAACGTATTTTCCATACTTAATTCAGAACACAGGCTATTTTTTTAACGCTTATGAGTATATTAACTAAAGACATCAATTCCCAATGAAACAGAGAACACTCTTGATTTGATTGGCAGGATTGGGCTCTCTCTGCTTGTGAACATCAGCTAGAAATTGCTACATTACCATTTTACTGTATTGTTTTCAGGAGCAGTTCTAAACGCATAGTCAAGCAACATTCCAAATTCCATCCCCAGTTTTCCTCTCTGGAGAATTTTTCTTATGTCACAGGAATGGTGTATAATGTTTTTATAAGCAATTGCCATTTTAAGGTAGCAAAATCATTAACTGGGGCCTACTTGAGGTTATCAGTTTTTCCTATTTTGGAACCTACATAATTTTATTATGACTAAACAATAGCTGAAGAGCATTGTTCTCTATTTACTCCTAAGATGAAAATGTATATGACCTTGAGGAAATATCAAAGTAAAAAAAAAAAAACTATATAGTAAAAAAGCATTATCAGAGTATTAATTATTAATAATAGGCTAAGAATTAAAAGAGGGAGCATTTATATCTAAAAAAATCACAAACCAATAAACTGTTTTGGCTGTTAAGTATATGCTTCATATTTACCAGGACAACCTGATTTCTTTTTCTTTTTTTCTTCTATTTCTTTTATTTTACTTTAAGAGAAATGGACTTACTCTATCGCTCAGAGTAGAATTCTTTTTCAACAAAAACAATTGGTCAAGTACAGATATATATATATATATATGTATATATATAAAATTTAGCTGTATGAAAGTCATTTCTAATAATTGATTGCTCAGAAAGAAACCTCATTACAAATTGGTATTTTAAGTATAAAATAAACTTAAGACAGATGTGATCACAATACTTAACTTGTTAATAGAAATTTGTTATGATATTTAATCTATTTCCTCCTCAATATGCCAGGGACCATGTAGGTTTCAAAAATGAAACACATGGTAGTTTTCTTTTAGAAACAAAATACAATTGATACAATAGCAAGCCTCGTAAAACCACACTGAACTACAACGTCTTAACTGTGAGATGCCGAGAGAGGGCTCTAGGAGTACAATATAATAAATAAGTTCTTCCAGTTTTTGCCCATTCAGTATGATATTGGCTGTGGGTTTGTCATAGATAGCTCCTATTATTTTGAGATATGTCCAATCAATACCTAATTTATTGAGAGTTTTTAGCATGAAGCGCTGTTGAATTTTGTCAAAGGCCTTTTCTGCATCTATTGAGATAATCATGTGGTTTTTGTCTTTGGCTCTGTTTATATGCTGGATTACATTTATTGATTTGCGTATGCTGAACCAGCCTTGCATCCCAGGGATGAAGCCCACTTGATCATGGTGGATAAGCTTTTTGATGTGCTGCTGGATTCGGTTTGCCAGTATTTTATTGAGGATTTTTGCATCAATGTTCATCAAGGATATTGGTCTAAAATTCTCTTTTTTGGTTGTGTCTCTGCCAGGCATTGGTATCAGGATGATGCTGGCCTCATAAAATGAGTTAGGGAGGATTTCCTCTTTTTCTATTGATTGGAATAGTTTCAGAAGGAATGGTACCAGCTCCTCCTTGTACCTCTGGTAGAATTCGGCTGTGAATCCATCTGGTCCTGGACTTTTTTTGGTTGGTAAGCTATTGATTATTGCCACAATTTCAGAGCCTGTTACTGGTCTATTCAGAGATTCAACTTCTTCCTGGTTTAGTCTTGGGAGGGTGTATGTGTCGAGGAATTTATCCATTTCTTCTAGATTTTCTAGTTTATTTGCGTAGAAGTGTTTGTATTATTCTCTGATGGTAGTTCGTATTTCTGTGGGATCGGTGGTGATATCCCCTTTATCATTTTTTATTCCGTCTATTTGATTCTTCTCTCTTTTCTTCTTTATTAGTCTTGCTAGCGGTCTATCAATTTTCTTGATCTTTTCAAAAAACCAGCTCCTGCATTAATTAATTTTTGAAGGGTTTTTTGTGTCTCTATTTCCTTCAGTTCTGCTCTGATCTTAGTTATTTCTTGCCTTCTGCTAGCTTTTGAATGTGTTTGCTCTTGCTTTTCCAGTTCTTTTAACTGTGATGTTAGGGTGTCAATTTTAGATCTTTCCTGCTTTCTCTTGGGGGCATTTAGTGCTATAAATTTTCCTCTACACATTGCTTTGAATGTGTCCCAGAGATACTGGTATGTTGTGTTTTTGTTCTCATTGGTTTCAAAGAACATCTTTATTTCTGCCTTCATTTCATTATGTACCCAGTAGTCATTCAGGAGCAGGTTGTTCAGTTTCCATGTAGTTGAGCGGCTTTGAGTGAGATTCTTAATCCTGAGTTCTAGTTTGATTGCACTGTGGTCTGAGAGACAGTTTGTTATAATTTCTGTTCTTTTACATTTGCTGAGGAGAGCTTTACTTCCAACTATGTGTTCAAATTTGGAATAGGTGTGGTGTGGTGCTGAGAAGAATGTATATTCTGTTGATTTGGGGTGGAGAGTTCTGTAGATGTCTATTAGGTCTGCTTGGTGCAGAGCTGAGTTCAATTCCTGGGTATCCTTGTTAACTTTCTGTCTCGTTGATCTGTCTAATGTTGACAGCGGGGTGTTAAAGTCTCCCATTATTATTGTGTGGGAGTCTAAGTCTCTTTGTAGGTCTCTAAGGACTTGCTTTATGAATCTGGGTGCTCCTGTATTGGGTGCATATACATTTAGGATAGTTAGCTCTTCTTGTTGAATTGATCCCTTTACCATTATGTAATGGCCTTCTTTGTCTCTTTTGATCTTTGTTGGTTTAAAGTCTGTTTTATCAGAGACTAGGATTGCAACCCCTGCCTTTTTTTGTTTTCCATTTGCTTGGTAGATCTTCCTCCATCCTTTTATTTTGAGCCTATGTGTGTCTCTGCACGTGAGATGGGTTTCCTGAATATACGACACTGATGGGTCTTGACTCTTTATCCAATTTGCCAGACTGCGTCTTTTAATTGGAGCATTTAGCCCATTTACATTTAAAGTTAATATTGTTATGTGTGACTTTGGTCCTGTCATTATGATGTTAGCTGGTTATTTTGCTCATTAGTTGATGCAGTTTCTTCCTAGCCTTGATGGTCTTTACATTTTGGATTCAACATAGTGTTAGAAGTTCTGGCCAGGGCAATTAGGCAGGAGAAGGAAATAAAGGGTATTCAATTAGGAAAAGAGGAAGTCTAATTGTCCCTGTTTGCAGATGACATGATTGCATATCCAGAAAACCCCATTGTCTCAGCCCAAAATCTCCTTAAGCTGATAAGCAACTTCAGCAAAGTCTCAGGATACAAAATCAATGTACCAAAATCACGAGCATTCTTATACACCAATAACAGACAAACAGAGAGCCAAATCATGAGTGAACTCCCATTCACAATTGCTTCAAAGAGAATAAAATACCTAGGAATCCAACTTACAAGGGATGTGAAGGACCTCTTCAAGGAGAACTACAAACCACTGCTCAATGAAATAAAAGAGGATACAAACACATGGAAGAACATTCCATGCTCACGGGTAGGAAGAATCAATATTGTGAAAATGGCCATACTGCCCAAGGTAATTTATAGATTCCATGCCATCCCCGTCAAGCTACCAATGACTTTCTTCACAGAATTGGAAAAAACTACTTTAAAGTTCATATGGAACCAAAAAAGAGCCCGCATAGCCAAGTCAATCCTAACCCAAAAGAACAAAGCCGGAAGCATCATGCTACCTGACTTCAAACTATACTACGAGGCTACAGTAACCAAAACAGCATGGTACTGGTACCAAAACAAAGATATAGATCAATGGAACAGAACAGAGACCTCAGAAATAACGCCGCATATCTACAACCATCTGATCTTTGACAAACCTGACAAAAATAAGCAATGGGGAATGGATTTCCTATTTAATAAATGGTGCTGCGAAAACTGGCTAGCTGTATGTAGAAAGCTGAAACTGGATCCCTTCCTTACACCTTATACAAAAATTAATTCAAGATGGGTTAAAGACTTACATGTTAGACCTAAAACCATAAAAACCCTAGAAGAAAACCTAGGCATTACCATTCAGGACATAGGCATGGGCAAGGACTTCATGTCTAAAACACCAAAAGCAATGGCAACAAAAGCCAAAATTGACAAATGGGATCTAATTAAACTAAAGAGTTTCTGCACAGCAAAAGAAACTACCATCAGAGTGAACAGGCAACCTACAAAATGGGAGAAAATTTTCGCAACCTACTCATCTGACAAAGGGCTAATATCCAGAATCTACAATGAACTCAAACAAATTTACAAGAAAAAAACAAACAACCCCATCAACAAGTGGGCGAAGGATATGAACACACAATTCTCAAAAGAAGACATTTATGCAGCCAACAGACACATGAAAAAATGCTCATCATCACTGGCCATCAGAGAAATGCAAATCAAAACCACAATGAGATACCATCTCACATCAGTTAGAATGGCGATCATTAAAAAGTCAGGAAACAACAGGTGCTGGAGAGGATGTGGAGAAATAGGAACACTTTTACACTGTTGGTGGGACTGTAAACTAGTTCAACCATTGTGGAAGTTGGTGTGGCGATTCCTCAGGGATCTAGAACTAGAAATACCATTTGACCCAGCTATCCCATTACTGGGTATATACCCAAAGGGTTATAATCATGCTGCTATAAAGACACATGCACACATATGTTTATTGTGGCACTCACAATAGCAAAGACTTGGAACCAACCCAAATGTCCAACAACGATAGACTGGATTAAGAAAATGTGGCACATATACACCATGGAATACTATGCAGCCATAAAAAATGATGAGTTCATGTCCTTTGTAGGGACATGGATGAAGGTGGAAACCATCATTCTCAGCAAACTATCGCAAGGACAAAAAACCAAACACCGCATATTCTCACTCATAGGTGGGAATTGAACAATGAGAACACATGGACACAGGAAGGGGAACATCACACTCTGGGGACTGTTGTTGGGTGGGGGGCGGGGGGAGGGATAGCATTAGGAGATATACCTAATGTAAATGACGACTTAATATGTGCAGCACACCAACATGGCACATGTATACATATGTAACAAACCTGCACATTGTGCATATGTACCCTAAAACTTAAAGTATAATAATAACAAAATAAAAAAAAGAAAAAAAAATCAGTTCTGACTGGAGAAGTTAGCAAAGGATTTGTGAACTTCCTTTGGAACTTCCTTTGGAACTGTAACTTAACTTGGGTGGAACCTTGCTGGAAGTCATGGTAAGGTAAAGATAGGTTACAGCGGAAGAGAAGCAGCTTAGTGTTTGGGGAGGTTCGGAGGCTGGGAGAGAATGAGGCTGTGATGGAACTGAGAAAGGCCTTCAAGCCCAAGCAGTTTCTATATGATATGAACTTTACCCTACATGAACTGTGATGCATATATTTTGGCTGAAGTGCAGAAATGTCCCCATTTTGAAAACTGTGAAGAACTCCCAGGATGTCTAATTAAAATAGGGTATGGATAATGAAAGTGATCCCATAAGTGTGCTGGTGGAGAGCTGCTTCCACTTACTTTTCTGTGCAAACCCAAACCATCACTATCACAAAGTTCCAAAAACCATGACCTCAGCAACATGTAATTGTTAGGTACTCACTATGAATTTCTTAAACCACACAGTATGAATTCTTTTAGCAAATTAGGCCCCAATGATTTTACTAAGCAAAATGTCCCACTGTAGAACATCATGTGAATTTTAGAGCTAGAGGAGCTCAGAATGGGGAAAATGGATAATAATACGAATTAAAAGGAAGAAGTTGAAATTCCTAGTTAAATAATCATTATAAATTATATCTTTCAAGTAAAACTACAACTATTGATTTCCATGGTGTGTGTAAACAAGACAATACAAACGTGTTTTATAAACTGACTATACCTTTTTTCTTAATTTCTCTATATCTTTTAAACAATATTTACATGCTGTTCATTTTGTTTTATTTAATTTTCCATATTTACCTTGTTTTTCATATCTAGAGTATGACAATCTAGCAACTCTTTATTTCTGGTAACATTCTAAAATGTTTTATTTGGAACCACTTATTATGGCAGATGATAAAAATCTAGGCTCAGTTTTATCACCTCCACCTAACTCCTAAAATAGATGACATAAATTCAATAAGAATCTAAATCTACTTATCTTCAGGGTACAATACAAAATCCATCTACTTATTCAAATTTTTGATTAACAGCATTCATATTTATGAAATGCTCTGGGCTTTGCAGGTGAAAATATGTGAAACTCAAGTATCATTAAATATTCTGTGATGTTATCACAGTGTTTTGTGTGCATATGTGCTAATGTTCAATAACTTTACCCTGAGATCTAATATGCATCATAAACTTACAAAACAAGAAAATCTCTTCTTATGTGTTTAATTCACCTAATAAATCACAAAGAAAATTATAAAATAAGCTATATCAATAAAGTAGCTTATGGAATATCGGTGTTTTGTTTCCCATTGAATACTGGGTGGTCTGCAACTGCAACACAGTAACTAGTAAGTATTATCTGAACATATATGTTTCATATTATGAGTATTATCTGACACACACACACACACCCACCCACCCACTCACCCATAACAGTTCATGCTAAATTTGATCTAACATCTGTAAAGAGGAAACTTCTGACCTTTAGCAAATTTATCAATAAAGGAGAATATCTGCAATGTTATTGTCTATAAGGCATACATAATTTTTCAACTCAAATTATATTTTTGGTTAACCTACTCATGATGGCACAGACTCTACCCTAATAAGGGGTGGTAGGAAGTACACCGAACTAAGAAGTGTTGGGGCCTCAGTGCCATCTTTCTCTAGATATTTATGCGTCCTTGAACACACCTTTTCAACTTTCCTGAGCTCTCTTTTCCTCATCTATAAAACCAATATGATTATCTCCAATCTCCCTCCACTAAAATGTTTCCATTGGTTAATGACAAATGCTTATGATGTTACTGTCTCTGATGATGATTGTAAAAATATCTAATATACACTGAGACCTAAATTATGCATCAGCCACTGACCTGTATGCTTTATATACACTAACTCATTTAACTCTTCCCAAGAGGTAACTCATTTAACTCTTCCCAAGAGGTAACTCATTTAACTCTTATATACACTAACTCATTTAACTCTTCCCAACAACCTGTGAGGTAGATACTCTGATTATTTCTGTCTTATAAAAAAGGTTAAATAACTTGCCCAAAATCAAAGAGATAGTCAACGGCTGATATTAGAATCTAGGCAGTTTGGCTCAGAGGGCTCAGTTCTAACCATTACACAGCACTACAATAAATGATCAGACTTTACAGTGTAACTATAAACAGAGTCTTTATCAATGAGTTTCCTCAGAGTTTCACGTTTGCTGGCATTAATGTAATTTCAATCTTTAATTGCTAAACATTTAATTCTCTGCTTGTATATCAGATATGTTAAAGGGATTTCACAGATATAAAAAAAATGTGATCCTTAAAACAACTCTCTGAAGGATGTTGGGTAGTTTTACAAAATTTGCACTCATGAGAAAATGGAGGCTGAGACCTAGACATTTATGATATGTCATAATTACAAAGTCAAGCTGCTTTAAATCCCTTATAGAAAAAGGAAAGGTAGGCTGGGCACAGTGGCTCACATCCATAATCCCAGCACTTTGGGAGGCCGAGGTAGGCAGATCATGAGGTCAGGAGATCGAGAACATCCTGGCCAATATGGTGAAACACTGTCTCTACCACAAATTACAAAAAGAAAAAAAAAATTACCTGGGCGTGGTGGCGCATGCCTGTAATCCCAGCTACTTGGAAGGCTGAGGCAGGAGAATCGCTTGAACCCAGTAGGTGGAGGTTGCAGTGAACCAAGATCACGTCACTGCACTCCAGCCTGGTGACAGAGCAAGACTCTTGTCTCAAAAAAAAGGTAAAATTCACTAGTCATAAAGCCAGTGAAGAACATAACAACATAGTCAGAAACTTGGGATTTCTAACTTCTAGTCAGTCAACTGAATGTTTAGCACTCTCCAATCTTTTCTCCAACCCAGGTGTGTCTCCTGCCTGAGATCCTGACAAGTAAGATTTAATATACCCAAATGAAATTCATCATTTTGCCCCTAAACCTAAGTTTTCTCCTAAATTCTTTCTTCTGATCAATGACATCAACAATTACTTACCTGAATCAGAAATCTGGAAAACTCTTCCTTTCTTTCCTTCAATCTTACATTGTCAACTCATTCTATAAATTCTACCTTCAAAATATAGCTCAACTCTATCTTCATCCCCATTGTGCTGCTTAATGTCTTGAATCATTTGCAGGACATAAAAGATCCTCTGTGATTGACAACCATTAATTCACCATCTTTCATTTCTTCTGAGACTACAGTCTTACCAAATGACTTGTAGTTCCTCATACTTTAGCATAAGTTCCATTCATGCCTCTGTGAATGAAAATTTCTCTGCCTGGAATTCCTGTTTGCTGTAAACACCTCCTTATCCTAAACACTTGTCCACTAAGAAATTTTTCCTTACCTGTCTCCATCCCCAAGCCAATTATCCATTCTTTCTTGTACATTCCTGAATATAGTACCTTTCATATTATAGTTTAAGGGTAATAAATAAATCTCATTTGAATAGATTTAGTTCCAGGCTCTGTACTTTTAATGTTTTCTCTAATCCTTAAAAAAGACACACACTGAAATTATTATCCCTGAAACTTAGAAAGGTTAGAAGTCTATAATTCAGAAGTGAGGAAGCCCAAGTTTAAAATATGTTTACTCCCCAAATCTTATGCCCTTCCTATTTCAAAATGTTACTTCTTTAATTATTTGCTTACATGTCTTTCTGCTCCATTGGCCACTAAATTCACAGAATGTAAGAAGTATGTCTTATTCTATGTCTTATTCAAGGCTGGGGCCCCAGTACCTGGCACGGGATCTGGCATAGAGAAGGCACTCAAGTGTCTGATGAGTAAATAAATGAGGCCGTGTGTTGTTTGGCTCACTAAATAAAATCCTATTGTTATTAACTGCCATTTAAATGGAAATGCCAGTTTTATGAACATGACTGATGGAGAAATAAGATTTGAACAATGTTTATGAGTTTTTAATGTAATTTTTATTGACTTTTTTGTATCCTAACTCATTAATAAAAGAAATAAAGAATAATACTGGCATGCTTTATCTCCCAACATTATTCAAATTGAATTGACTTTTTTCTTTCAATAAGATGCCAGGAGTAAATTATTTCTGTTCTTCCAGAAAGGTACACCTATTTTCACACAAAAACCTAACTCCTATATTATAAAAATATAGTTGCATATACAGTAGACACAAGTTTGTCTGTATATGTTGATGTGATTACATTACTTGACTCTTGACTCAAAGAGATTATATTACTCAACCCAAAAAGCAGTTGTGGTAATCACTAAGTAATTTTTAAAAATTATATAATAATATATGGAGTATTCTTTATTTAAAGATGGCAAATTCCATCATTTATCTGACAGGAAAAGTTTATCCTAAAGACAAGCTTATCCTAAGAATAGGGACATTCTGCTAAATAAATTTCAGTTTGTGGAACTGGCAATGGTGAAATTAAGGTACTAAGTTCTTTTCCTAACCTTATAAAAGATCAGAGTTCTTCCTACTGTGATGCAGTAAAGACTCAGTGAATATTTACTTATTTGTCCTAGTAGCCCCAACATACTTTGAGAGCAAAATTAAAGGTGAAAAGTGAATGCTATCAAAACTAACAGATGAAAAAAATTCTGAAGATTTTAAAGTTGCTCAGAGATAAGATTTTGATGGAGGACCTTTGGTAAAGAACTACTCTCAAAACATTATGGCTATTCATTAATTAATAACAGTATCAAAGAACATCGGAATTTAAACTGAGAGATCAGTTGAATATACTCAGAGGCAGAAGTCTGATCTATGATATTTCTTTATCATTCAGTAATTGCTTGGAGAACACTCTACTGATGGGATCACACTAACACATGAAGTGGTCATTCACTTGGACAACCAACAGTGTCACTGCATATGTAATAATTACATACATAATGCAATACTTACATTATAAACATTCTCTATAGGCCAGGAGATTTAACGCTGCTCAACTAGTTTACATTATAATTATGGGTATTATCACCTACATTAATTTTTTAAACAAGACAAAAAATGGATACGTAAATAACAAAATATGAAAGGGTATGAAATGAGATCTGAATGTCTCCTTTCACCCTTCTTTAGCCCCTAATCATTTTCTCCCATGTAACTCCAGTTTCTAGGCATTTGTCTCTATTCACAGAAAACTGCTAATTATTTACACAAATAGGATAGACTAAAAATAATTTTCTGCAGCTATTTTAATACTTAACGTATATTAGAACTCTTTGTATAGTTCTAGATAAGTAACTATTTTTAATGTTTGCAAAATATATATGAATTCCCCAGGCTCAAGAGATCCTCCCATGTCAGCCTCCTGACTAGCTGGACCACAGGCACACACCACCACGCCTGGCTTATTATTTTTTAATTTTGGTAAAGATGGGTTCTCCCTATGTTGCCCAGGCTGGGCTCAAACTCCTGGACTCAAGAGATACTCCATCCCCGACCTCTGAAAGTGCTGATATTACAGGGATGAACCACCGCTCCCAGCCTGTATTGCACTTTCAATGGATCTTTACCTATGTGCATGCTTTTGAAACATCATGTCTAGTTTCAAGTGGCTTGTTCAGCTGGCAATTCAATACCACAGTACTTTTCTCAAGACAGCCCTTGTACTTCCAAAATGTAAAAGTGATTTATATATACTTCCCATTTTATCACACCAAATATTAAAAAGGATATTATACTCAAAGATTGACATTTAATAAAAGAGGAAGTCAAATTGTCCCTGTTTGCAGATGACATGATTGTATATCTAGAAAACGCCATCATCTCAGCCCAAAATCTCCTTAAGCTGATAAGCAACTTCAGCAAAGTCTCAGGATACAAAATCAATGTGCAAAAATCACAAGCACTCTTATACACCAGTAACAAACAAATAGCCGAATCATGAGTGAACTCTCATTCACAATTGCTTCAAAGAGAATAAAATACCTAGGAATCCAACTTACAAGGGATGTGAAGGACCTCCTCAAGGAGAACTAAAAACCACTGCTTAGCGAAATAAAAGAGGACTCAAACAAATGGAAGAACATTCCACGCTCATGGATAGGAAGAATCAATATCGTGAAAATGGCCATACTGCCCAAGGTAATTTATAGATTCCATGCCATCCCCATCAAGCTACCAATGACTTTCTTCACAGAATTGGAAAAAACTACTTTAAAGTTCATATGGAACCAAAAAAGAGCCCGCATTGCCAAGTCAATCCTAAGCCAAAACAACAGAGCTGGAGGCATCATGCTACCTGACTTCAAACTATACTACGAGGCTACAGTAACCAAAACAGCATGGTACTGGTACCAAAACAGAGATATAGATCAGTGGAATAGAACAGAGCCCTCAGAAATAATACCACACATCTACAACCATCTGATCTTTGACAAACCTGACAAAAACAAGAAATGGGGAAAGGATTCCCTATTTAATAAATGGTGCTAGGAAAACTGGCTAGTCATATGTAGAAAGCTGAAACTGGATCCCTTCCTTACACCTTATACAAAAATTAATTCAAGATGGATTAAAGACTTAAATGTTAGACCTAAAACCATAAAAACCCTAGAAGAAAATCTAGGCAATACCATTCAGGACATAGGCATGGGCAACGACTTCATGTCTAAAACACCAAAAGCAATGGCAACAAAAGCCAAAATTGACGAATGGGATCTAATTAAACTAAAGAGCTTCTGCACAGCAAAAGAAACCACCATCAGAGTGAACAGGCAACCTACAGAATGGGAGAAAATTTTCGCAATCTGGTCATCTGACAAAGGGCTTATATCCAGAATCTAGAAAGTACTCAAACAAATTTACAAGAAAAAAACAAACAACCCCATCAAAAAGTGGGCGAAGGATATGAACACACACTTCTCAAAAGAAGACATTTATGCGCCAACAGACACATGAAAAAATGCTCATCATCACTGGCCATCAGAGAAATGCAAATCAAAGCCACAATGAGATACCATCTCACACCAGTTAGAATGGTGATCATTAAAAAGTCAGGAAACAACAGCTGCTGGAGAGGATGTGGAGAAACAGGAACACTTTTACACTGTTGGTGGGACTGTAAACTAGTTCAACCATTGTGGAAGTCAGTGTGGCGATTCCTCGGGGATCTAGAACTAGAAATACCATTTGACCCAGCTATCCCATTACCGGGTATATACCCAAAGGTGTATAAATCATGCTGCTATAAAGACACATGCACACATATGTTTGTTGTGGCACTATTCACAATAGCAAAGACTTGGAACCAACCCAAATGTCCATCAATGATAGACTGGATTAAGAAAATGTGGCACATATACACCATGGAATACTATGCAGCCATAAAAAAGGATGAGTTCATGTCCTTTGTAGGGAGATGGATGAAGCTGGAAACCATCATTCTCAGCAAACTATCGCAAGGACAGAAAACCAAACACCGCAGGTTCTCACTCATAGGTGGGAACTGAACAATGAGAACACTTCAACACAGGAAGGGGAACATCACACACTGGGGCCTGTCATGGGGTTGGGGGAGTGGGGAGGGATAGCATTAGGAGATATACCTAATGTAAATGACGACTTAATGTGTGCAGCACACCAACATGGCACATGTATACATATGTAACAAACCTGCACATTGTGCACATGTACCCTAGAACTTAAAGTATATTAAAAAAATAAATAAAAATACATTCCAGAGACTAAAAAAAAAAAGTTAATAATTTTACTCCTTCATCAAAGGCATTCTTAAGTGAAACTGGTATGTATTTTTTCTCATGACAGTATATGATGGGGATGAAAACAATGACTATTAGTTCAACTTGGTGCTACTGCTTTGATTTGTACAAAGACACCAGGAGTTGTCCCACCATTGCTTTTGTACCATCAATGCCAGTATTGACAGAGTAAAAATGACAAATTTCTTAGCATTCTAATAAAAATAGTTTTGACCTCAAATACCCCTTGAGATTGTTTTGGAAATACCCAGGGGTTTATAGACTCCACTTAGAAAACTGCTTCCCTATATCCTCTCCATTTCAAAGCTGAGGAAATTGAGGTTCAGAGATAAGCAACCCACCCAAAGACCGTTATTAAACAGGACAGTCAAAATGCAAACCTAGGCATTCTAACCCCAAGTTCTTGTCCTTGATGTCCAAGCACACTGCTTAGGAGACTTTTCAATTGGTTGCCAGCACTACCACAGAGTTCTTTTTAGTGAGATTTCACAATGGTCCTTGCTTTGCCCTCTGGGATTATAATATACCTTCACTCATCAAGCATTAGGTTGCTTCTATGAGCCAGGGCCTGAGCCCCATGATGAGGATGCCAAAATGAATAAGATATTGTCCTCACTTTCAAGGATTTCACAATCAACTGGGGAGACAAATGTGCAAACAAGACCTATAGCGTTGTGTGACAAATACTGTAACAGTACTTTGTACAAAGAATTTTGGAAGCACAGAAGAGAGGGTGATTAATTCTGCCCAAAGAAGGGAGTAGCTGGAATCAGGGGCTTGACAACAAAAGCACATTTTAATTGGACTTGAAGGATAAATACATCTAATCCCTTTATTCACAGGAAAAGAGTCCTTCACATACTTGAATACAGCTATTGTGTATCCCATGTAAGTTTCCAGTACTTTGAATAAAGACATACTAATATCATCAAGAATATATTATGAAGATGAACATAGAAAACAAATCACATAAGAAACACCTCTGGAAAATATGTACTGATCCTTCTGCAAGGATATATGCAAATTTATTAAATAAATCAGCAGTTAATCATGAGAGAGTTAGACAAGTTCACCTAACAGCCATGCAGTTTCTTCTAAATAAGAACTAGAAACAAGTGTGCAAACTAAAAAGACTGTTCTCAAAGTGCTCCTATCCAGATTTTTTAGTCATCTCTCCTCTAAGCCAGAGGTCAGCAAATTTTTTATGTAAATGACCAGACTAAACATTTTAGGCTTTGTAGGCCAGATGGTCTCAGAAAACTATTCTGCTCTGCCCTTGTAGTGTGAAAACAGCCATATATAATATGTTAATGAATGGGCATGCTGTGTTCCAAAAAAAACTTTATTTACAAAAATAGGCCCAGATACGGCCCACGGGCCATAGTTTGCTGACTCCTGCACTAAGCCATCTTTCTTCTTGTGTTCTCCCTCCTTCCCCTGCACAGTAGTAAGAGCGTTAGGTCTGGAATCATCAGAATTTTAATTCTACCCTTGCTAACAACCAACTGTGTGATCTTAAGCAAACTGCTTGATCATTCTGGCACTCTGTTTCTTATGTCAAATCAAGGATCTTTGGATTATATGATCAATAATGGCCCTCCTTAAATTCCAAAGAATCACTGCAGAGTATGTCTCCTCCCCTGATACTCCTAATTCATTCCAGCATGGAATACACTATATGAGAGACTGGCAAAAAATAAATGTGACCTTAGGTGATACTAAAAGAAATGTATATGTCAAATGAAGATGGGGCAAGCCTAGTCTACTCTACACAAGATATATCACATGTAAAGTTCAATTATGAGTAAAACACTAACAAGACTCTCCACAGGAAAACAACCAGGGATCTAAAAGATTCTGAAGATTTTGGTAAATGAGATATGGTTGAAAAACCTGGGCAAGAGTGGAGAGCAAAAATTTAGTGAGCATAATACTATCTTTCAAAATGCTTGTAACCAAACAAATATTAGAACATAAATAAAATATTCCAGGCCTAAATGATATTTCTGAATCCTCAACTATAATGAGTATAAGTTCTGTGCCTTCTAAGTCTTCGTAGCATCTTGAGTCTGTAAAGTTATTGCTAATAACAATGTTAGAAGTAACATCATTTCCAATACTTCATATATGTATGGCTATTTAAAGTTTATATCCTTGTATATCACATTGTTCAAGCTTCCTGATCCTATGAGATTGGCAAAGATGGTATTATTATTGTCTTTTTACAAATAGGAGAGCAGAAATTCAAAAAGTTTATTCTGTACCTAGAAGATTACTGAATAAACAACATAAAATGGGGAGGTGCTAAAGCTAAACTCCCCAATCAGGTTAGAAAATGTAGATGGAAGACTAAAACAGACATCACCAAATATTTTATAGAACATCATCTCCTTTATAATTCTCAGAGGAAGGAGAGCTTGGGGGAGTGGGATATAACAGCTTAACAGCTTCAAAGCACTTTACATTTGGAAATAGTTGCCTAGCATTTTGCTTTAGCTGTTAGTGCTCAATTTACCTAATTTTTCTGTTAAGTGCTTCAATCACATGTAAATGTGTTATGAATATAGCTCATAAAATGTCTGAGGGGTGGTGTTCTATAATAAAACAACCCCAAATGGGAAGAATTCTAAAAACGAAAAAATATTCCTTTCCATTTCATTGGTTTCAGATAAATGCCTTATTCTTAGAAAAACAAAAAAACAAAAAAAGAGAGAAAAACCCCAAGCATCTGTGAATAATTCAAAGTACTAAATGGCATGAATAGATTCATATTTTAATGTTATACTTTCCTTTTATCCAGACACAACTTTGAACATAATAAATCTAGTTTTAGAACTTGAAATCCTCAAGACTCTGCATTTGGTCTCTTTTTAAAATATGTATAATTAACTTCATCTTTGAAGGCTCCTGGAGGTTGTAGAGGGCAGAAGAAATGTGTTTTTGTTAAAATGAGCCAATCTGTGGGAGGCCTCCCAAGTTTCCTGCATAGAAAATTACAAAGAGATTTGAGAGAGAAGCAATATTGAAGCTAGGTATCCAAAGAGAAAGGATATTATGCATTGATAAATTAATCTCAATCAGCGCTTTTTTTCCTGGGCATTGAGGATACCAATGAGGGAACAGGGCTGGGGCAAGTCACATATGTGCTTAGTGTCATTCCCTTCCCCAACTCTCCAAATTTTCTTAGGTTAAATCAGATTATTTATCACTAACATCCCAGGTTACCGTGCATGAGAAAAGAGGTTAAAAAAGGAATGATTTGTAGTGTGCTTAGAAAGGAAAAAGGGACATTCTAATCTTGTGTAGAGAAGTTGAGGGAATTGATGGGCTGACAGCATATACATGGGCCTTATGCCTTTTTAGCAATAGTGAGGCTCCTTCACTTTCCTGTGGACCGCTTCCTTCTAGAAGCTCAGGTTCTCCAAAGGCTGTGGCTAGGAGGGACAGCATTTAGGACAAACGTGTTGGACTTCACATGGGGGTTTGTTTCTAAAAAAAAACAGTCTATAAGACAAAAATGACCTGAAATCAAAATACCCTTGAAGATCTCTTACAGTTTCCTTAAAGTAAAGTGGACACAGTTTTACATACACAACCCTGTACTGTAACTATTCATAAATATAATGTTCTCAGTAGGACACAGTTTATAATAAAGAAGGCCATCTTGTACTGCAAACAAAAAAAACATCAAAATATTTCAATTTTAAAAATGCACTCAGTGATGTGAGAGGCTAATACCATGAGGTGTGCAAGAAGCCACTTGAGAGTCATAGTATGGAATGGAGACCAAATTGTCCCTACTGTTTATAATGTCAGATACCTCCTCTCCTCTTTTTCTTTTTATTTTCTCTCTCTTCCTCCCTTGCTCTCTTTTCCCCACCAGCTGTTGTTGAAATCAAGTAAACCTGGACACTCAGATACTCCAAGGCATTTTGAGCCTTACCAGTTTTCTATTGCTACCATTACAGTATATGTACAATCACCACAGACGTATAGCAGCTTAGAGCAAACACAGGCTTAGAACAACTCAAGTCTATTACCTCACAGTTCAGTAGGTCAGAAGTCAGAACTGGCTGCTCTGGGTTTCCCAAGGCCGAAATTAAAGTGTCTGCTGGCCTGGCCCTGGGGGAGAGTTCACTTCCAAGCTCATTTGGATTGCTGGACAAATTTAGCTCCACGTAGCTGAAGGAGTGAGGTCTGGCTTCCTTGCTGCCTGTGGACTGGGGTCGTTCTCAGTTTCTAGAGGCCACTTGCATTCCTCGACCCTTAAAGTTGGCAACAGTGGGTTGAATCCTCATGTTTCAAATCTCTCTACCTTCCCTTCTACCTCATCTTTCTTCTGCCTCCATCTTCAACAGCTTCTCTCTAACTTTTCTGTTTTCCTGCTTTGCTTTTAAGGGTTTGTGTGATTACATTAAATATTGCCCCCTCCCCTAGAAACATTCAGGTTCCTTATCTAATTTAAGGTCAGAATTATTAAACTTAATTCTGTCTCCAAAGTCCCTTCACATAAGTATCTGGGTGAGTGTTTGATTACACAATTTGGGAATGGGAATCTTGAGAAAACTTCTTTATTCTTTCTACCATATGGTAATAACAAATTATTGGCCTTTCAAACGTATCTTGTTATAGCCCCTAAAATATGCTGCATATTTAGCCAAAAGACACAAGCAGCCAACTTGGTAAATAAGATCTCATTTGCAAAATGAAAACCGAAATGGAAACTTATCAAAAGAGGCTGTTATGAGAGGTTACAAATATTTCAATAAAGGGTTGCAATAGCAAGTATAAAAATAACCATGCACTAAAAGAAGAATGCTCTGGCCTGACGAAAATACTAGAGGGAAAGAATCTGCAGAATCTTCATTTGTTCTCTAGACATTTGGGGTCACTGATTTATTCAGAGGTACCCAGGTATTCTTTCCAGGTGAAGTCTAAAGTGTTTAGTGCTTTAAAACAAACAGTGCTCTCAGACTTGTTAGAGGCTTCGGTGAAAGTCCCTAATTGAAGCTAAAGGTCCCAGCAGGGTTTTTTTTAAAACTGCTTCCGAACTGATTTGACTTTAAAACCACTCTGTAGGGCTGGGCGCGGTGGCTCACGCCTGTAATCCCCACACTTTGGGAGGTTGAGGTGTGCGGATCACGAGGTCAGGAGATCAAGACTACCCTGGCCAACGTGGTGAAACCTCGTCTCTACTAAAATACAAAAAATTAGCTGGGTGTGGTGGCGTGTGCCTGTAGTCCCAGCTACTCAGGAGGCTGAGGCAGGGGAATCATTTGAACTGGGAGGTGGAGGTTGCAGTGAGCCGAGATTGCACCACTGCACTCCAGCCTGGGGACAGAGCAAGACTCCTCTCAAAACAAACAAAGAAAAAACAAACAAAAAAACCCTACTCTGTCATTCTGATTTTAGCCAGGTTTTGCACTGTACTGTCGTTATCCTGGTATATTCATGGGTTTTGCTAAATAACATCTTAGCAAAGTAAGCCATGCTAAAGTTCAGGACGTCCCAGTATGTGACACATTCCTTCTCTTCTAGCCAGTAGTCATAGACCACTCTCTTCAGCTGACAAGCCTGCCTTCCCTATTTTTCACAATCTAAAAGGGGCCTGCTGGTGGCGTGCTTCCTAGCTTTTCTGTAGCTTTACTTGGCCTGGTGACCATTGGTGAACTCAGAACGTTGTGAAGCCCAAGTCTCGAGCTATGTACCTACCCAGAACTGAATTTAAGTCACATGGATCACCACTTAACCCTGGACAGGCATTTTGCACATAGTGATAATAATAAAAAGTTTCTTTTGTTCACAAGTACCACCAAGAAACTTAGAATTCTTCATAGGAATTCTGCTATCACAGAGATAAAAATTACTGGAGTATGAGAATGCAGAGGGAGAATTCAGGTTTCTCTGATCATATGAATAACATAAACATATAGAAATAGACACAGAAGTCGTGATGAGTTTTTCTAATTCTGAGAATGCATTTAGGTAACCAGGCCAGTAGGAGAAAGGATTAGGGCAGGTTTCCCTGCTCCCTCCAGTACAGCTCCTGACATGTTTTCCTCTGGGAACTCTACTGGTGATCAGTAATGCCTCACTCCCCTCTGCCACATTCTACCTCATACATAAGATGTAATTAATTGTCATATTATGGCCTTGCTTCCTATTTAATGCAAGGGAGAACATTTATTGCATTGCTGGAGATATTCATTCTAGAACAAGAAAAAGTGGAGCTCTTAGAAGAGTTTTAATCATGAGGTCGGGCACGGTGGCTCATGCCTGTAATCCCAGCACTTTGGGAGGCTGAGGCAGGCAGATTATCTGAGGTCAGGAGTTTGACACTAGCCTGGCCAACATGGTGAAATCCTATCTCCACTAAAAATACAAAAAGTAGCAGGGTGTGGTGGTGGGTGCCTGTAATCCCAGCTACTCAAGAAGCTGAGGCAGGAGAATCGCTTGAACCTGGGAGGCAGAGGTCGCAGTGAGCCAAGATTGTGCCATTTCACTCCAGCCTGGGTGACAAGAGTGAAACTTCGTCTCAAAAAAAAAAAAAAAAAGAGAGAGAGAGCTTTAATCACAAAATTAGAGTATTTTTAATTATGTCTTGCCACCTAGGGGCATTCTTAGACCATCTGGGGGGATGGCTGATTTTTAGAGACTTCATAGTACATTCACTGAGGCAAAACAATAAATTTAATCTTTCAGCTTTTTCAGAAGTTCAATATTAGAAGACGATTTAAAGCAATGACTTTTTTAAATAAAATAACTTGCATATTAAACATTACATTTCATGTTACAGAAGGCCTAATATGACAAATTCAGGATAAATTTCCCCTGTATTTCAATGGTAACTCAGCTGTCTAAGTGCATCTCAGCCCTTTGGTTTTATTTAGTCAGTGAAAAAGATTTTGGTTTCTGCTTAGCTTTAGCTCAAACTCCTTTGAATGGGGCAAACACAAGCTGTACCATTCTCTTTGGTTTATGCCCAGTCAATTCTCTCATTTACTTACCAGCCTGATTCATGAAGGCCTCTGAGATGAATATGAAAGTTCTCTTCAGGTAAACAATGAGAACTAGATCAACTAAGTTATTTTCTTTTTTGCTTCAGATGCCAGTAACTTGAGAATTAAGTTTAGTGCTCATCTATATTAATAAATTCATTTGAAGTTGCTTCTAGCGTCTTTCTCCTTATAATTTCATTGGTTGTTCTAAGTTTATTTAGAAGTCTCTAGTTTTTTATTGTAATTTATTTTTAAAGCTTCTTCAAATATTCTTTATGAATAATAAATCTTAAATGTAGTTTTAAAACTGGGACTTCCACAGAAATTCACTGTAGTTACTGCTGGAGCACATTCAGTTTAGACTATCACTTTCCCATACCAGCACAGCAGCCTGTCATGTAAGAAATGGTCACTAGACATAAATCAGGCCTTACTGGTCATATTAACACAAAGTTAAGAGTGTGTGTGTGTGTGTGTTATATGCAACTTTATATATATATATAGTGTATATGTAACATATACACATTAGCTCAACTCAATACTGAAGAAAGTTGCTAAACAGTGTTCTAGCAATTCATCAAGGAGACTGGTACCAGAAGAAATAGGAGACAACCCCTGGAAGGAAGAAAGCTTTGTGCTCCGTCCTTCCAAGTATATAAGTATAAACATATATACCTCACCATTATACCATCTTAGAACAAAGAATTAAATTTTTGAGTTCACAGCTTTTGTAGTTTAGTATTTGCTGTACAATCAAAAACTTAACTCTTGAGTTGCAAACAGTTTGAAGAAGAGAAAACTATAGCATGTGACAGTGCAAAGTATGAAAGTAGACTAAGATTGGGAGCTGACTTTTCTACAAAGAGAATTGTAGGGATTAAGACAAATTTAACTGAAAGAATTGGAAGAAGAGATTACAGTTGGCAGTAGTGATCTTCTCAAACACCCTGGCCTTTGTGGAGTAAAGCACAACTTGGTTCTCATGAAATAGGTGCTTTTTCCCACCTGCCAGGGGCCACAGGCCTGCCATGTAACCAATCACCCTCAGAAGAATGGATGCCAGGTAAACACTGAGTGCCATCAGCCAGGACAGGTGCCAGATGGAAGCATTCACCTGAAAATTTTTTTCCCCCAGAGAAAGATTCATCACCTGTGCCACCTAGCCTTAGAATCTCACCACCAGAGCACCTTAGGCAGGAATAAGTATGTAAAACAGGTAGCTAAATCACCTTTAGTGCTCAGAGCAGGAAAAAATGTTTGCTTCACCTAACAATAGTAAGAACAAAATAAAAACTTTGCTGCAAAAGGATCAAAAGAGATTTTGCCCAGGGGCTTATTTCTGGGAACAATATGAGAGAACATGCTGGGAGAGAGGGTAGTATGACTCTAACTATCATTATATGTTAAAGAATAAAGGTGTTTATTATCTGAGGCCAAAGGTCTGATCCACTTACCTAATATGCGGTATGGCAGTGCTTTTTATAGACTCTGAAATTTTTGTCCTCAGATCTCTCAGATGATCAAAGACTCTTGGAAAGCTGCCAAGAAGGTCTCTGGCTCATCAACCTGCTTTCCCCAAACATCCTGAGAGCCCTAGGACCAAGGACAACTATAAACCAGAGAAAACAACCAGGAGTAGCAAAGCCAGGACAATTAAAGTGTTTGGTTGTAAATTTCAAATCATTTCTCCAAACTAAAATACTTGCCTTTGTTCCCAGAAGGTAGTGTTGTGTTAAACTCAGTAGCATTTTTTTTTTTCTCTTCCTGAATCTCTTTTTCTTTCTCTGTGAATTCACTTGGTAGAAATGAGAGCTATGATCTTTGCATATATGACACTGTATTCAATAAATGTTAAATAACAGAAGATTAGAACTCTTTTAATAATTCTGTTTGTTATTCTCATTGTTTGTTTTCTCTTGTTCTTCTTATTCAACAAATCTTTCTTCACATGCCTCACATTTTTTGAGGGCAGAAAATTTTTGACCCATTTTTCCCAATGGGTCACTGACTTTGCAGAGCATGGCATATGCTGAAATGAACATTGTAATTACATTTACACCCAGGGCAACACCCAATTGTTCACTGTCATTTGTAGCTAGAAGCACCTACAAATGACATATATTAATGAATGACAGATCCTGTGGTGAGTTAATAAGATAACAAATCTCAGTCAGTATTGCATAAATTGGGAGTGGAGGGGAGCTGAGTTCTTTGTAAACATGTGACCTGGTGGAATGAAATCTCTGTAAGAGCAATTCAGAAATGATAAGGTTAGGTTAATACTGGTTCCTGTATTCCCGCTGTTCTATCAACCCACTCAATTCCTACATTCCAGCTGGTTGTGTTCCAGAATTTCTCTGAGAGTAAAACCTGAATTTACAAGTATTGTCATAAATTGGGGGGGTGGTCCTCATGATATGATTTGGCTGTGTCCCCACACAAATCTCATCTGGAATTTCCATGTGTTGAGGAAGATACCCAGTAGGAGGTAATTGAATGATAGAGGTAGGTCTTTCCTGTGCTGTTCTTGTGACAGTAAATAAGTCTCACGAATCTGATGGTTTTAAAAGGGGAGTTTCTCTGTACAAGCTCTCTTCTCTTGCCTGCTGCCATGTGAGACGTGCCTTTCACCTTCCATCATGATTGTGAGGCCTCCCCAGCCACATGGAACTGAAAGCCCAATAAACCTCTTTCTTTTGTAAATTGCCAGTCTTGGGTATGTCTTTATCAGCAGTGTGAAAACAGACTAATACACCTCATAAACACACATGGCAAAATTCTCTCATGCATCATAAGTTATTAAAAAATCCCCTTAGAAACCTCTGTGGCCCTAGGCTTTTGGTTGTTTGCCCTTGTGCTTTAGGTGGCTGATGTGGTATAATGAAACATAAAGCATTAATGAAATTCTCTTATATTTTTGCCAATTGAATTGGAAAACAATTTTAAAGACTGATAAATCCAGAACTAATAAGGATCCCCAGGGTGCAGAGAAATTCTGCTTCACTGCTGATGGCCATGTGAATTACCACAACCTTTCTGAAAAGTAATATGGCAAGGTCCATTACTATTTAAAGGTGAAGATACCTTTTGAATCAGTAATCTCAAGTTCAGGGATTTTTCATAAAAATTAAAGGCAGAATACCTAAGTATTTATGTACAAGGTTGTTTATTGCTGTTAGTAATGGCACAAAACTAAAAACAACCTGCTCATCAATAGAGAAATGATTAAATAAAACATGATACATTCATATTATGGAATATTATACAACTATTAAAAGGAATGGATTACATCTACAGGTATTGACATCAAGGCAATGTCTATAATACACTGTATAAAAAGAAGCAAGTTACAGAATATGTGTATGGTATTCCAGTTTAGGAGAGAAGAAAGGGAGGGAGAAAGAGTAAAGAAGGGAGGAAAGGAGGTGAGGAGGAAAGAGAGAGAAAAGAGGGGAAGGAAACAAAAGGCAGAGAGACAGAGAAAGAGACAGAAAGGGAGAAAGAGCAAGAAAGAGGTAAGGGTGGGGAATATGCAAAAATGTATGTATGTGTCTATCTTCATATTAAAATAAAGAAGGACTACTATGCTGCAGATGATTTTAACACTTGCTACACAAAGACATGAGGCTGAAGGAGGGAAGATGAAGTTATTATTAAATTTTCTTTATTTACTTCCGTAGGGTTCTATTTGGTATAGAGAGAATGAATTACTATTGCTGCCCGCCATCATTTAAAAAAAATAGCTTAATGAAAAAGATAGGTTGATGTCAACTATACAGGGGCCTCAAGCTACTTAAGAGAAAACCGATTTTTAGTTCATGAAAATTTGAGATGAATGGGGGTTGGGAGGAAGGCAGGAAGGGTAATGTTTACTGAAAGTGTATTTCTGAATGACAGTGGAGACAAACAGGTGCTTTCCTTCCTAACCGGGAATCCCAGCATAATTTAGACATGAAAATGCCCAGAAGGCCTGGCAATTGAGCCTTTAATTTCTACCTGTAAATTGCAATTTATATGTTGGGGATGGCTCTATTGAGAAACCAAAGACTATGTAAGAACATATTGTTTTCGGCCCTAGACTAGGGCACTCAATTTGTTTTGGTCAAATGAATTGCGGGAATAACTAAATCTCACTGTTGTTCCAGCAAAGGCCTTGGATTAAGATATGCATTTAACATCATAGGTAGAAATAGTAGTTAGAATTTGTAATAGACTAGTTTTTAGCTTCCTAAATAATCATATTCAGTCAGTAGTTATCTGGGCCTTTGATCCTATATTCCTGAAGAATTTTTTAGCATGCACACCACATAAATACACATTTATCTATAAATAATATACATGTTCTACTATTAAGCAATATTTTGACTTAATGCTTTATGAACATAAATAGAAGTAGACGTTTTATTATATTGTATTTATGCATCTTCAATGGTTTGTCCTTTGCGTTTCTTGTGATGTGTGCACTCTTCTTTGGGGTCTACAGTTTTATAGGTTGCTATGGTTTGAATGTGTTCCCCGAATTTCATGTGTTAGAAACTTAATCCAGTATGGCAGTACTGAAAGATGGGGGCCTTAAAAAGGTAACTGGATAATGAGGGCTCTACTCTCATGAATGGACTAATCTATTCATGGTTAATGGATTAATGGCATATCATAGGAGTGGAACTGGTGGCTTTATAAGATAAAGACCCGAATGAGGACGTGAGCATGCTCAGCCCCCAAGCCATATGATCAGCAAGAAGGCCTTAACCAGATGTGACAACTCAACCTTGGCCTTCTCAGCCTTCATAACTATAATAAATAAATTCCCTTTTAAAAAATTAATTACCCAGTTTCAGGTATTCTGCTATAAGCAACAGAAAACAAACTAATAAACAGGTCCTAAGACTTTATTTACTGAGTCCAGTTATATGTTCTAATATATACATGGAACAGTTAATTTATTTGAGTCAGGAAAAATATATCATAAGGATGATCTCTGACTGCCATTCAGCTGTTGATCTTAATGTAGCCTTAAATGTTTTAAGATCTAGTGATTTTGTTTTCCATGAATATTCAACACTTTAGATCTAGTAGATGTTCTTATTAATATGATAATAACAGCATACTTAATATCACCGCATTCTCCAGAAATCAGGGATATGTTAGTTTAACAACAAATTTCAGTGCTATTGTTTGACCCTTAAATTTCTTCATTTGAACCATCTTAATATATGAAAATACAGACTTAAGAAAAAATTAGACGATGATTCACAGTGAAAATTTTCTATTGTTACATGAAGGACAGACCTTGGAATATCTTTAAAAAACTAATTCCATTCGCTATTAGCAAAATTATGCCAAATATGTATTAGTTATGAATGAACATTAGTAGAAACATCAAATGAACAAATGATATTCATTAGGATTTGTAAACACTCCTTGGATAATAAAAAAAAAGTCTATTAGGATAATTCAGGCTGTGCTAAAAGGCTAATTCATTTTCAACTTAGGTTAATACAAATGCCATTCTTTCTTGACCTAGGTATAGATATATCAGAAATCATTTTTATGACAAAAGAGGTCCTTACAAGAGAATGTTGAGTATGTAGTCCTTAACAACTGCCTCCTCCTACAGCTGTACCTTTACCCCAAGCACTCAGTATATATATATGAATATTCCAGATTATTGATTTGAGACAGTGCAATGAAGTTTATTTAAGCACATAAATGCTTAAACGTGTGCACATATATTTTAATTAATATTAAACACATGAATGGATAATGAGGGCTATGTATGTGTTCCTATATTAAGCAGATATATCTACCAACCTATACCTGTTATGAATAGATAACAGCTATATATGATATCTATTCATATTAATCAATTAAATAATTAATTGATTAATAGCTGCTTATATTAATTAAGCAGATATATTTTAGTAAATTAGAACATTTAAAGACTATCATTGTTTCATTCATATAGTATCAACTAAGCTGATATACTCTGCTTGCACACATCCCTCCCTCCCATGGTTCTATCCACTGTTTCTCCTTCCTTCTCAGTGCTCCTGGATGAGTCTTTGATGGGCTACACTGACAGACTTCTCTAGTGTCTGGCTTTTGTTTGGAATTAGCCAGCAGAGGGCCAATGAGAAGAAAACGGCAGAACATAGAGAATGAGATTCCCTTTCTGTTGGGCTACAGTTTGGCAGAAGTCCAGGTTCCTTGAACGGTCACAGCTGCTGCTAGAAGTTCCCTCCTATAGCTACAACCTCAACTGAAGCTCTTTGTAGGTCCTGGTAGTATCTCCCCACTTTCACCCTCAGACATAGGAGCGGTAATAGCTCCTACTATTGCTAGCCCAGGAGTGCTTCGCCATCCCGGTTTTCTGTTATCCTTTTTCATACCTTTGTAAATAGTTTCCTATCTACAATTCCACCAAATTGAATGTGCCATCGATTTCCTTCTGGAATCCTGACCCATATGCTTATACACAGATGATCTATTAAGGCTCTATAACATATAAAAATAAACAAATTAGAAATTGATTCTGCTTTCAAACAGTTTACAATCTGGAAAAGGAAATACATGTGGTTTAACCGATATCATTGGTTAATGTCTGCTTAGCTAAAATTGAGAAGGTGATAGTACTGTCACATAAATGCAGAGGGTGGGGTGGAAAAAGGTAGAAAATTACATGGAATAACTTGTTCTCTACATGCTGACTTGAAATAACTTATTTACATATGATAGTATGAAAGTGTATTTAGAAACATTTTAACAAGATTTTAGAATATCTACCTTCCTATAATTTGTGTATATGTAACATATTTGAAAGGGCAATTAAAAATTACATGCCCTTGCTCCTAATGATTGTATCACATATATACTCATTTTATGAAAAACTTTTGTCTCTTTTCTATATAATATTTGTTTTTTTAACTTCTATATACAAACTCTCAAGTACAAAAATGTTATTTCATAGAATATTTTAAGCTCTCTATTCTTAATGGAACTATTAATTATACATTTTGGCAATTTGGTAGGGATAAACTCAATTTTGGTAGTAATATAACAAACCATGAGCTGGATTCTAATAGTGAGAAGGCACTAGGGTTTCATAAAAGGATACTAGTTAATGGTGTTTATTTAATTCAAGGGGCCATTCAATAAACTTGAAAAAGCACTTTTCAAGTTTTACATGAATAGTTAAATTTAGATTTTCAAGCCCTACTGGTATATCAGATGAATTAACAAATGTATAACACACGGTTTCCTTTTTTCCTTTTTTATTGTATACATTTAAGGTGCACAACATTATGTTTTGATATATATATACCCATAGTGAAATGATTACTATAGGTAAGCAATTTAACATATCCATCATCTCACATAGTATCCTTTTAAAAATAGAACCTTTACTTCAAAACATTTAATACAATTAAATGTTTTAATATGATGAGATGGATATAAACAACAGATGAGACCAAAAAAGGACATGATTCTTGTCTTTAAAATATTTAATGAAAAATCTATGCACGAAAATTAATGATAGATGACAAAGTAGAATCATTTCTCTATAGATGTTTATTTTTAGATAACTAATAAGGCTAATCTAGAATCATTTAGTTTAATTAGAGTTTAACAAATATTCCCACATGAATATGTTCATGCTTGCTTCACAGCTTCCTCACTTTCTTTTATCATAATAGATATGTCATTCACACTGCATTTCAGATCAAATTTTACATGACTTCAATAGATACATTATAGAATTAACAAATATTGAAATACTATTGCTTGAAGACTTTTTTTTAAAGAACTGGGGCTTAAGAGGAAAATCAATTTTCAGATAAGACCTACTATACCTGGACTTGGCAAACAAAAAGTGCTTACATATTTGCAGAAGTAACTGTAAAGATCAATGACTACATTATCAAATTGTCTAAGAATTGATGTAAAATTCAACTATTTCACCCTGTCCCAATGGCATGAGTTTCAAAATATACAAACATAAATATGTCTAAGTTAAAATAAACACTGGGTCAATAAATCTCAAATTTATAAAGTACACTCAAAGCTTTGAACTGTACAGCCTCAAGTGATACATTAGCAGTACAGACATACATTAAAGCACTTAGCATGAAAATTGTCCACTGTAAAATGGGGCAGAAACACATTAAATATTCTTATCAATCTCAAGCCCAAAAGGATTACAATTTAGAACATATGCAGTTCAGTTATTCAAAATGGACTCAGTAGCTTCTCCAAAAATTTCCTAACTATTTGGGGATTTTTTTTCCTCTCCACTTTTGAATCTGCTGAACAGGGAGAACAGGAAGAAAATATTTCAATAATTTATTTTTGTTTATTTGTCTGAAATAGCAAATCATGAAACACTCACTGAACATAATTAGCTCCTCTGCACTGTGATTCCAAATCTCTCTGGATGCTGGGCCAGCTGACCAGATGGTGTGCTGTAACATAATGCCTTTGAAACAGAGGCTTGAGTTCGGGTCCACAGGCCACAGGACAACAGAGGCAGATTGCACCGTGGAAGTGATATATTCAACTCGGAAGGCCTGGGGCTGGCAAGTGCTACTGTGCTCTTTGCCAAAGGGCAAACCAAATGCCATCTTCCTCAAGCCTCAGGCTCTATTGTTGTACGTGGCAGCTTATTGTGTTTTTAACCTTTGGGGGAGGCAGAAGGAGGGGAGATTGTGAGAGGTCAGGAAGACAAAATAGGTAAGGAAGAAGGGAAAGTTAATCAGTTTCCAAAATACTTATTACCTGCTATGCTGAGAAAGGATATGACGGCATTTGCAAAAGGATAGGCTGTTCCCCTAAATTACCTTGTATACAAAGGAATTTTCTTAGGAATCTTTTTTTGTTCTTAATTAATAAGACTGATTGGTTAGCAATCTGCCTTATGACTAAGCCTGACAGAGCTTAATTGAAAAGAAGCTTAATTGCAGGAAAGCAATGGAAGAAATTCATTAGAGAAGTCTTGAAATCTGAAAATTATGGGCAGAGCAGGCTACCCGAATGGAAATTGGGCAATTTAAGATGTCTTAATTAGATTTAAAACCACAGCTTAGAAAAACTAAATTAGCTATATCGAATCAGATAAAAAAAATCTGAGATAAAATGCATGGTTATTATTGGATTACTCAAGATAGTCTGTATAGCTTTGTGCTGGTAATTCTAAAACTCAATCTTTATGAGGAGTAACAACGACGACAAAAAAGACAAAGAAGACAGTGAACATGAACTTTTAATGGTATTGAATTTATTCCAAGCCTTATAGTAAATGTTTAAGATGTTTTAATAACTGCCCACTGCCAATTATCTTGAAGAAATCCAAAAATGGTAAGCAAATAGAAGCTTAATTTCAACTTTGTTGGCAAAAAAAGATGAAGAAACAAACCAAATACTCCAATTTATTACTGATTTGAGATTTAGACATTTGCATAAAACTGTTGTGGTTTGATGGTGATGACAGTATGGGTATGGAGGGGGCCAGTCAGTCAACAAAGTAGTATACTTACTAGATAAACATGGGGCATTGGAGTTAAAAATAAAGGAAGTAGACAGGAAGAGAAAAATATCCAAAGGTATTTGGATAAAGCTTGTCACTTATTCGGTTATATTATTGGGTAAATATGTCTCAGGCATCATGCTGAAGATTCATCTTAGAACAAAATATACAAGGTCCCTGCTATAATGCAGAATAAAACTCGGTGAACAGGATGGACATTAAGCAGAGATAACACAGATAAATGTAAATTACACATTGTAATAAACACCAGAAAAAATATAAAGCCATCAATGTGACATGATAGCAGGAAAATGTGATATGGATAAGGGCCTTGCTGAGGAAGTCATATCCAAGCTAAGACCTGAAGGCTGAGGAAGGAACTTCTCTTGGCTAACCAGTGCCAAGGGAAGAATATTCTGGACTAAGGAAGTGGTCCGTGTGTCGGCATGGGAGGCAGAGAGGGTGGCCAGGGTGGCTAAGGCAGGGCACATGAGTGAAAGGGCAGGAGAGATCTCTGGGATAGGAGGAAGGGGCTGGGTCCTGCAGACTGTTACAGACTGGGTTTCGTGCTAAGACTTAGGATCTAAGTGAAGCCTGGAGCCTTTGGATGGATTCGAGCAGAAGAGTGACATGACAGGATTTGCAGTTTTAAAAGATCACTGCCATTGCTGAGCCAACAGTGTGGTAAAAGAGAAGCCTCTGGATTCCCAGTGTGCGCTGGCTAGTGTATTCATCTGAGAAACATTTTTCGACATCTATTATTTGCCAGTTCCACTGAGGAGAAGAGAAATGCAAAGATCAATAAGCTCAGAGTTTTCTTTCAAGAAATGTAACAAATTATTAAATAAATATGGTTTATCACAGGTAAATGTGTATTTAGAGGCATGTACAAAATGCTAAAGGAGACTAGAAGGAAACTTCATAAAAGAGATAAACATGGAACTAGATCTTGTAAGGACATAAGAGAGAAAATGTTTCAGACAGCAGCAATTGCAAAATAATGGAGTCATAGAAGAGTTCAGTATGAAATGGAAACCAAAAAAAGTTTAGCAGTTTTGCACCCAGAAAAAAAGAAAACGGAGAAGGGTAAGCTTGTAACAAACGGATGGGGGTCTTTTATATGCTAAGGTATTTGCCCTTCATCCTATGGTTAATCAATAGGGGAGCTTTCAGATGTATTCAAGCCAGATGACACTGTAGTTTAGAAAGATAAATCTAGTCCTACGCAGAAGACAGAGTGGGAGATAAAGCACTTAGTGGCAGGGAAGACAGTTAAGAAACTTCTACAGCAGTCCAGAAGGAGAGATGGTGAAGCTACAACCTAAAAGACAGCATGGAAATGGCAAGGATGGACAGTTTCTCTCCCAACTCCACATTTCCATCTCTGCTTCTCCCACAACCAACTATGGCCAGGAAATTTACTGGTCACAGGGTTCCATTACATGTACACCAAGGACAACATAAAAGTCGGTGGAGTCAAAGTGCAATTAAGAGGATTGAAAGGGGAGGCCCAGAAAAAGAGTCCCAGGCACAAAGTTTCCTACTTCCTCATTTTATCTAGGAAATTGGATGGCTCTTTTATTTCCAAACTCTCATCAGCTGGGAAAGATTTAAAAAGTAGCATGTGTCATAACTCCAATATTTCAATCTAAAATCCAAAAAAGCAGCTGCTTCCTTGCAAGAACATGCTCAGAGCTTTCTCTCTCACCTTTCCTTTCCCCTTTCACCTTCATTCACTGTGTTCCATGTTTATTTGTATACCTGTCTCCCTCAGCATCTAGTACAGTGCTTAGCAGACAGTGCACACTGAATTAATATTAGGTTAATGTTTATTTATAAAGATAGTAATTGATGAATGAAAATATATGTTAATTTATTTTTGTTCCTGAGAGAGCTTTTGAGAAGTATCAGCTCCATTCTCCATATCCCAGATTCTGACAAAGGGAGTAGGATAGAGCCTGCTCGTCTGTGTTTTTAAAAAGCTCCCAGCTGAGTCCTCTCTGCAGCCAGATTAAGAACTCCTGCCCTATAATCTCCTGACTGTTAATGACTTAAGGGCCCGGGGTAAAATAAACTTTTATCTTTATCAAATTGTTATATTTTTATCAGCTATATTTACACTAGTTTCTCTCTGTTCTATGGCATTCATCCATACCTCTTTACTAAACTTATTTCCAACTGATTCTTCTTAGTAGATCATAGGTACTCTTTATTATAATTTTCCTTGAATTCTTTGCAGTGCTTGATCGGACTGTCTAACACTTCATCACAAACTGTCTTCTCCCTTAACTTCACGATTCCACATTGCTATGGTCTAAGTGTTTGTGTTCCCCCAAAATTCATATGATGAAGCTTAAGCACCAATGTGATGAGGTATTTAGGAGGTAATTAGGTCATGAGAGTGGAGCCCTCATGAACGAGACTAGTGCCCTTATAAAAGAGGTGCTAGAGAATTTCCTTGCCCTTTTCCCACCATGTGAGGATAGAAAAAAGGTGCCAACTATAAACCAGGAAACAGGCCCTCAGCAGACACTGAATCTGCCAGCACACTCATCTTGTACTTTCCAGCCTGCACAACTGTGGAGAAGTAAGTTTCTGTTGATTCTAAGTTTCCTAGTTTATGGTATTTTGTTATAGTAGCCCAAATGGACTGAGACACACATTGTTCTGGGTAAGGCCTCTTCTAATGATCACCACAATCAGGTGATTTGTTATCACAGATTCAGCTGTTAATAATCTAGTAGTAATGTTAGAAAATATACAGCCTTTCATTCTGATCATTTAACCCCCAAGAAAACCGAGAACCTGAACAGCGAAGTGCCTTGGCCAAGGTAACATGGGTGGTTACTTCCAAGAACACCAAGTTTCTTTAGCTAAGGCCAGGATCCTGCCTACCTTGCTTCACAGCGTCTCTCCAACCCTGATTTCTTTTTTTTTTTTTTTTTTTTGTTGTTGTTGTTGTTGAGACAGAGTCTCACTTCGTCACCCAGGCTGGAGTGCAGTGGCACAGTCTTGGCTCACTGCAAATTCCGCCTCCCAGGTTCAAGCAATTCTCCTGTCTTAGCCTCCCGAGTAGCTGGGACTACTGGCGCCTGCCACCACGCCTGGCTAATTTTTGTATTTTTAGTAGAGACCGGGTTTTACCTTGTTGGTCAGGCTGGTCTCGAACTCCTGACCTCAGATGATCCATCTGCCTCAGCCTCCCAAAATGCTGAGATTACAGGTGTAAGCCACTGCACCTAGCTCAAACCCTGATTTCTAATTCAACCTTGAATGCTTCCAACTGGCCATGGGAAAATTTTACCTGGATTTCCTGTTTTCACTTGAAAATAAATAAGGACATAGACATTCTTAATATATTAGCTGTTATTCAAATCCTTGTGTTTGGCATTACTCTATTTCTGTCATTGACTCAATTTCTTCAATTACCATCTTAAATAAACAAATCTAATTAAAATCCCTCTGTTACCAAGCCCTGTTGGTTTTTGACATCTACCTTGTCCTCTATCCTACCATGGCTATTATTAGAGTCAAAGGTCTCCTCAAACTACTGTCTAGAACTAAAGTTTCTTCAGTGTTTTCCAGATGTCCTCTTTATTCAACCTTTCATCAATATCACAGTTAAGAAATATTTTGTTATGTCACATTCTCAAATATTACATTTGTGTATCTCTAACAACACAGCACAAAAAATATTGCATGTGAACTATTCAAGCAATGTTTGTTAAATTATGCTGATTTAAAAAGTCAAGCTAGACATATTCTAATAAATTAAAGTTACAGGACTATTTCAATAAGTTTTAGGAGTTCTTAGACCATAATACATTGAAAAGGTTTGCTGAAAAGCTTTTTAAGATGTACAACATGGATAAGGAAAAAAAGTAGTGTAATACATGCAAAGCACCTGATTTTCTGTTTGTACTTTTGTACTACCATAAAACATGTTTTATCTTAAATATATTTCTTTTAGCCTGATTATAATCGATTTAATACACGCTCATTTGAGAAACTCAGATAATACAGAAAATATAAAGTGAAAAGTAAAATAGCATTACTTTGTCTAGCTAATCACTGATCCTAACTTGAGCTGTAGGTTCAACATAACCTCAATCAAAAGCAAGTTGTTTTGTAGATATTAACAAACTGATTCTAAAGTGTACCTGGAGAAGGAAAAAACCTGGAATAGCCACTCAATATTGAAGGAGAAGAAGAACATCAGAGGACTGACATTAGCTGATTTTAAAGCTACAGTAATCAAAACAGCATGTTATTAGTGAAAGAATAGACAAAGAGATTAACAGAACAAACTAGTGAGCCCAGAAACAGGGCCACAGGATATAGTCAACTGATCTTTGACAAAGGAATGAAGGTAAGTCAATGGAGAAAGCACAGACTTTTCAAAAAATAGTGCTGGAACAACAGGACATCCTTTTGCAAAATAATAATAATAAAAAATCTAGACAGACTTTACACCCTTTACAAAAATTAACTCAAAATCAATCATAGACCTAAATGTAAAACACAAAGTTATAAAACCCCTAGAAGATAACATGGAAAAAAATAAATGACGTAGGGTATGGTGATGATCTTTTAGATACAACATCAAAGGCACAACCCATGAAAGAAATAATTGATAAGCTGGGCTTCATTAAAATTTAAAACTTCTGCTCTGTGAAAGATAATGCCAAGAGAATCAGACAATAAGCCACAGACTGTGAGAAAGTATTTGTAAAAGAAATGTCTGATAGAGAACTATTATCTAGAATATACAAAAACTAATTAAAACTCAACAATAAGAATATAAATCACCTTTAAGAATGAGCAAAAAGTCTGAACAGACAACTCACCAAAGAAAAAATATGGTTGGTAAGCAAGCATATGTAAAGACGTCCAACATAATATAGCATTTGGGAATTTCAAATTAAAACAACAATGAGATACCACCACACGCCTATCAGGAGGGCCAAAATCCGAAATGCTGACAACCCCAAATTCTGGTGAGGATGTGGAGCAACAGGAAATCTCACTGATAGCTAATGGGAATGTAAAATGATAGTCACTTTAGAATACAGTGTGGCAGTTTCTTACAAACTAAACATACTCTTAACATAGGATCTAGCAGTCACACTTCTTGATATCTTCCTAAATAAACTGAAAACTTATGTGCACACAAAAATCTGCACACGAATATTTATAGTAGCTTTATTCATAACTTCCAAAACTGGGAAGCAATCAACATGTCTTTCAGCAGGTAAATGGATAAGTAAACTGTGGTATATCCAGACAATGGAATATTATTCACTGCTAAAAAGAAACAAACTATCAAACTATCAAAAGACATGTAGGAAACTTATATGCAAATTACTAAGTGAAAGAAGCCAATCTGAAGAGGCTACATACTATACGATTTCAAATATATGACATTCTGGGGAAGAAAAACAAAAACAAAAAAACTATTATGACAGTAAAAAGATCAGTGGTTGCCAGAAATTAGTTGGGAGGAAAGGATAAAAAGTCAGAGCACAGGGATTTTTAGGGCAGTGAAACTATTCTGTATGATACCACAATGAGGGATATATGTCATATGCATTTGTCAAACCCATAGAATGTACACAACCAAGAACGAACTCTAATGTGAACTATAGACTTTGGGTAATAATGATGTGTCAATGTATGCTCATCATTGTAACAAATGCACTACTCTGGTAGAGGATGTAAACAGTGGGAGAAGCTGGGGTATGTGTTTGTGAGGACAGAGGATATATGAGAACTCTGTACTTTCTGCTCCATTTTGCTGTGACCCTAAAAATGCTCTAAAAATATAGTTTACTAATTTTAAAAAAACTCAGTGTACATATCTATCTGATTTTTTGATAAAGAGTAACTTACAAGAAATGAACAGAAATCATAAAACATAAAATAATCGAGAGATCTGTCTGTACTTTTAAAACAATACATGTCTACGAAATCAAAAGTCAAATTACAATATAGGAAAAACATTTGCCCCAAATATCACTCATAGTCCCTTAATATTATATAAATCAATTTGAAAAATAAATTTCAATTAAAAAAGACAAAGTTCATGAGAGAAAAATTCACAGACGAAATACACAAATCACTAATGAACATACGATAAAATGTTCATTGTCCTTGTAATCAAAGCAAAATGTAAATTAAAATAATGATGTTTATCACGTATCAAATTAAAAATTAGAATAAGTGACAGAAATCAGTGCTAAAAAGGTAAAAGTGAAATAGATGCTACCTTACACTGCCATTGGGATTTTGCAGCAGTAAACATTTTCTGTAAAGCAATTTGACAATATGACAATAGCCTTGAAGATGTTCCTACTTTTAACCCACTAATTCTACCTCTAGAAATCTGCTTTATGGTAGTTATCAGAAAGGTAGAAAAGATTCATTTATTAAGATCATTCTCATAGAATTATTTATAAATTTAAAAAATACAAACAAAATTAGATTATGCCATATAAGTGTTCAGTAACTAAAATATGTTTCAAGTGGTCTTAGAGAATGTTCATAATATAATATTTAGAAAAATATTTTCTTATAGAGAAAAATTCAAGATGCATATAGGGAAAGTATGTAGAAGATAATGAAATTTTAAAATGATATAATTGTCTACCTAGAAATTCAAAGAGAATCAGTGAGAAAACTACTAAAGTCAGAAAATATAATGCATAATCAGAAAATAAATAAGAAAAAAGAGCTATATATCAGCAATTAGGGTAGGAGACTGGTAGGACTTGTTTTCTGCTATCAAAACAGGATCTGGTCCATACAAAATAAAGCAAAAAAACCAAGTAGGAACCAGCGATCCCTAGCTGCCTTCATTGCTCATTGGCATAAGACACTCCTACCAATGCCATGACAGTTTACAGATGCAATGACAATGACCCAGAAGTTACCACCTTTCTCCATGACAATGACCTGGAAGTTACTGCCCCTTTCTTTAAAAGTTTGAAATGATGGGCCTCTCAATTTGCATTGACCTGCCCCTTGATTTACATATAACTGAAAGTGGGTTTACATATGTAAATATAAGTTGCCAAGAGCCCATACATTGACTCTGGCTGCACTGCCTATGAGTTAGTCCTGCAATGCAAGGAACGGTACCATTCAATTAAAGACTGCTGTCTAATACCACTGGCTCGCCCTCATGCCAAGAACCCTCCTGGGCTAAGCCCCAATTTTAGGGCTCACCTGTCCTGTAACACTAACACTATAACAAATTAGGAAATATAGTAAAAAATCAAAATTCTTAGTAAAAAAAAAAAGAAAAAGATACTCAAAAGTCAGGAACTATAAAGAAAAGACTGATATATTTTTATGTGCTGTTGGACAGAAGAGCTGACAAAAGTAATATAAAAGATTAAAACTGGAATATATATTTATAAATGTAGACAGACTTGCTATTCATAATCTAGATAGCAAGTCAGAATATCAATAAGAAAAAGAAAATATGCCTCAATTAAAAAGCCAAAAAAGACATGGAAAAACAATTTGCTAAAGAAAAAAAAGATTAATAACCATGTAAAAATTTGTTCAGCATCACAAAAACCTCAAAGAAACTAGGAAAACAAAAAGACTTATGTTGATTAGATTGGCAGTAATTAGGACGTTGATTAAGTCTAATGTATGAGGTTAAATTCTTTCTGACTACTTGGTAGAGTATGAATGTATATAAATTTTATGGAGGACAATTAGTAATATTTGTCAATGGACAAAATTTTAAATGTACATATTCAAAAATTGTGAGATTTCAATTCTAAAACTTATTTTAGCAATATAAGTTCACAGGTACACAAAGATTTATATAAATAGATCATCTTTACACAAAAACTCAGGATATACAAACACACTAGACACCTCTTGTAAGCCACTTCATATTTATTAAGTCTAATGTAGACGTTGTACCATTCAAGCAGGTGCATGATGCACAGAGGAATTAATGCCCCATAAGCAAACTTTGGCCAATGGGAGACAGGAGACAGCAGATAAATTACTCTCCCTTCCTTCCTTGTCCTGAGACGTTGTTTATGTTGCCTTTGAAGATATGATTCTGAAAGACTGAGCAATCTATCATGCTTGATACTGAGCAGTGGTCAGCTCAGTACCTCATTCTCATTTTTGCTTTCCTGACATCCTTACCTCATTTTCCTTTTCCTAAATGTGAGGCCATTTTCCAAAAGGAGAAGGGAAATGAGGCAAGAAAGCCACTTACCCTCTAGGATTGAACTAACTCACAAAATTATGACACAAAAGCCTTTACCTTACACATTGTTATCTGAAAAATTCTTAGCTAAAAGAAATGCAGAAATTCTAAATGTCCATCAATAGGAATTTATGCAGAAATTAAAAATGATAAGATACATTGATTTGTATTGATATATGTGACAGATGGAATTTTCTAATAGTGGTCTAGCAATATTTCTGGTTTCACATTTTATTTCAGTGTCGTTCTATTTCTCTTCTAAGAGCTGGAGTCTACATCCCTACCCTTGAACATGGGCAGGCCTTTGTGAGTGATCAACCAATGAAATCCAGCAAAATTGACACTGCATGACTGCTGAGGCTGTAATACAAAAGGTGATACAGCTTCCACTTCGCTCTGACTCTTTCACAAAAGATTTGCCTTTGGAATACAGCCATCATTTGGTGAGGAAACTATTATATCAGAAACTGTGAAGGGTCTGAGATTTTATCTTTCTTCCAAGTGAACAATTTAGACTGCCACAGGATGGATGGGTGGATGGAAGGATGGATGGATGGATGGATGGATGGATGGATGGATGGATGGATGTATACACATATATAGCCATAAACATCCATATTAAAATTATGAATATTGCTTGATTCACACACATACATATACATACACACAAGAAACATGAGGCCTCTGAGTCATAGACAAATACAGTTCATTACTCACAGCAAGAACAACACCTTGCATGAGTTTTCTAAGCCCAAGTCCTTGCAGGGCAACATGATGGCCAGAATGGTACCTGCACATGCAACGGGGTGCATTATAAAACAGAAATCCCCAAATTAGAAAATTTTTGATCTTCTATAGGGCTGTTGATGATGTGCCAATCCTCCCTTCAGGAGAAAGAGAAACATTATCTTCATTCTGGAATGCAAGCAAATCTGGGGAGGAGGACAGGTTTTTATCTTTACTACCCTGGACTGTCTCCAGGAAGGGAGATGTCTCTAAGCTTCACTATCCTGGAATGTCTCCTTATAAAAACGTTATTGTAAATGCCTTTGTTCAGAGGGCCTGGATCATGTAGAACCATGAAATATTCATGGAGAATTGTCTTCCAATAGAAACCCCGGCCACATAGAGAGCCCAAGTGGAGGCATTCCAACTGATAGACTAAACTAAGATCTAAGCCCACAGCCAGCATAATTTGTCAGAAACATGAGTGAAAACGTCTTTTCATGGTTCCAGCTCCCAGACTTTGAGCCATCCCAGATGATACAAAAGTGGAGCAGAGCTGCTCTGTCCCTGGTGATCCCTGCCAAAGACTGAAGATACTGCTGTTTTAAACAACTACATCTTGAGTTGGTTATGCAGCAAAAGATTACTAGAACAACATGGGAACATGTCCATAATAAATCACATAAGCAGTTCCTAAACAAAATGTATAACTTGATTACATTTGCATACACACACACACGCATATATCTGAGTACACACACACACACAAACACATTTATACAGGCATAGAAATAAGACAAACACAAACATACACAAATGCACAAAAAATCATGATGTTAGGCCAAAATGGTTTGTTCTGGTGGGACTTGAAATTTGTACTTTATACACATATGTATTCATTGGTATTGTTCTGTAAACAAAGACATGTATTAGTTTTATCAGAAAAAAAAACCTTAGCTTTTGTAAAATAATGTGTATACACCTTAATCTCTAGATTGTGTGTTCATGAGCTTTTATTCTTCCATCAACTTTCTATAGAGAGTAGGCACTGAGCGCGTATGTCGTGATGTGAAGTAATTAGGATAGCAATTAGGATAGCAGTGGAAATGGTTTCAGACAGTACAGGCTGGTTTCCTTTGAACAGAAATGTGATGCCATTTTTCTATAATGTTAGTTACCTTGTGAGATGATAGAACCTTTAGAGATCTTTTAAAGAAAAAAGTGTTTTCCTATACATGAAGTCAGATAATGCCTCTTGTTATTATTTTGAAACTTGATATTGACTATAATTTTTCTATTTTTCTCTCTAGAAGCACCTGGTGAAAACAGATTTAAGAAAATTCTGAAAACACATGATTTTGAATTACAATTGTTAAAGATAAATGGTAAACATAATTTTTATGTAGGTTTCTTCACAAAATCAAAGAGAGTTTCAAGGCAAAATAGTCAATACTAACTAGTTATGCAGGTTACCTGGAAAACCTATAGTTCATTGGACTATGTACTTTAATATGTGATAGCCAAAGAAATGACAGTTTATATAGGACATGATAAACACACAATCTATGAAATGTAACACATAAATGCTGTTCTCAATTTAGACAGAATCATTTTTCTGTTTAAAGTATGGACTAAGAATATTATTAAATCAAAGTGAAAGCAAAAGAGCCTATGTCTTACAGTCACCAATAAATAGTTCCAGATTCTTGAAACTAATTAGTGTTAATTAGGTAGGTACACATATATTTTAAATATAGGCATTCTAATATTCTACTTGTATGTAATACAACCATAAGTTTTAGAAAGAAATAACACTGCCTACTTTTCCACTTAACATATTTATATTTTCCATTTAAATTTTTTTCTGACTTGTTTTATATATCAGTGGAAAACTTACATAAAGAATACATTTAAATATTACATCCACTATGCCTTACTTAATCCCTCTGGAATGAATCCTATGGAATGGTAATAGTGAACAGACACTAAATCATTTTGGAAAATCCACAGGAGAAACATGTATTCTTTTTTTATTAATATAAAATTCTGGTCTTTTAAAGTGTTCCACATTAAGTAAGTTTCACTCTGTCAAAAAAATAAAACTGTGCTTTTTGCTCCTCCATTGTAATAATAATGTAGCTTGGAACATGCACTTAAAACATTACTGAATAACTCCATATTGACCTCAAATCCCATGAAAATAGTCAATCTAGCCAGATGAAATAACATTAACAGATAATTGATATGTGAGTACACTAATATTCCAAGATTAATAACACTTAAAACACATGTAACTAACATACTCTGAAAATAAATACATACAAAGAGGTTTTCATTCAATAATCAGACCTCAAATCAGACATCACCATCTTGAAATAAAATAGTTTGCTTGAGTCTCTAATAACTGCTCGTTTACTCATCTCTGCCTCATACTAGACTATAATATTCTGGAATTCAGTGACTGTCCACATGCAGCCTAGTGCCTAGACTATATCTAATATACAGCAAGTATAAAGAAAATATTTGCTGTTGAATAAAGAGAAATGAAAATAAAGCTTCTAGATCCGTCTTTCCTTCTAGATGTGTCATATTCCCAAACCCATGTTAACAATTAAACTCATGAAAGGACAGTTATAATACACATTTTTAAGGCCAGTTCTATCACAATTTAAGAAAACACACCAAGATAACAGTCCAAAAATGTTCAGTCAGTTAAAAAATATGCACCAAAAAGACAGACCCAGGGCTGTGAAGAATCAAGGGAAAAGAAAATATATGGGGAAAAATTTATCTTAAATGATTGCTAAGCTTTCTGACCAAGAAGAAATTGCTGCTAACAGAAAAAAACAATTAATGGATAATCAAAGTTATACAACCTAAAGTCCTACATGTTAGAGTCCTACATGTTAGACACTTCTATCTTTTCTGTATGACTAAAATGTTCAGGATGAAGAGATCTAATGCCTATGGGGTGATATGACAGTACAGTGTAGTATGATATGTAAGAAGTTCTACGCTGGAAAGGTGTGCATTTTGGCTCCACCTCCACCACTGACAATTGTTTGGACCTGGAGAAGTCATCTCACTTCTCAGGACTTCATTTCGTAAGACTGATATGCAGGATGTATTCAATGATCTTCCAAATTTCTCTGATTCTATGCTAGAAACCATTCTGGGCAGAAGCAGACACAACAAAGAAAGAGAGCTAATTCCTCATTATCCTAGCAGAGAATGTTTAATATCCCTTATACCCTTAGCCATCTGTCAATTTATTCAATGTGAATGACATTTTTATTTTCCCAATCCAAATTTATCCCTTCTCTTTCTTTTAAAACTCTGCCAAAATTCATCTTCTTCAAGATTTCTTGCCAAACATATCTCACCTTTATTTGATCACTATAATCAGTCCCACAATACTTCAATTAGATATGCCACTCCTTAAACTTAAACTTAGACAGGTACTTGCCAATCGATATCTTAATTTATATATGGAGACCTATCTGGGTAAATCTCCTTACAAATTATACTTACTATAGGAACACTAATAATCAATCTACTCAATACTCAAATAATAATGTGATAGACCGAACAATAGAAAACTGTATGCTTATAGTAAAACAAATTCAGCTATAAGTTTTGAAAATATGGAAAGCTTCAATTTGCTTTTTTCACATACTTCTTATAATGTTTGAACTGTTCATCTACTACAGCAATCATTCTTTTGGCTAAATGCACTTTCTTCCAAAACCACCAAATTTATAAAACTTTCAGTAAAAAACAGTAAGAATTATATCAAAATTACTAAAGACACTCATCGTCAAGTCTGGTCTGTTAAAGTAAGGTTGAAAGGGACAGGCAGTTTAAAGCTCTTAGTTTATTCTTTTTTTAAGACAAGGGGTCCATTTTGTGTCAAACTTTAAAAAAAGTCCTCAGCTAAAGGCATATATGGATTACCACACGTTGTAAGTATACTTAGCTAAGGGCAGAATAATGCCACTGCCAAGATAAGTAGGAAAGCAATGTTAATTTCTAGAAGGTAAACCAATCTCCTCGAACATGCTACCTAGAAATTAAGGCAAGACAAAAGCAGCTTCCATATCCTGGTGATGTATAATGAAAGTGACATTATTTTATCTGATACAAATTCATGAAAAAGGAAAATCAGGCTATTTTCCTATAAAAGATAAAAAATTATATAAGCATCTTGAGCAGCTAGCAAGATCTGACATGCTCAAATCAATTTGGCACGTAAGGGAAATTGATTTGGAAAAGGGAGAATATCCACTTTATCTTTCTGTTACAAAACCAATAGTTATATTTAATGAAAATTTACGTCAAGATATGCTTTGAATTGTTACCGATTAACCAACAGAGGCTGAAATCAGTGGCCTTTAATTAATAAGAAATAACAACTCAGTAGTTTAGGCTTCCTAAATGCTGATGAGATGGCTTGGTGTTCATTAAACAGCAGTGGTCTTAAGAGGCAGGGAGTCCTGGGAGCAGCCAGCTGTTTGGATGAATGACTCATCATTAACCTTGATGAAACAAAAACCACTGTCTCTGTCAGACATTCTCTGACATTCATCTGATCGATATTAAATAGCACCATGTAACAGGTCAATGTGTTCAATTGTCTGGGGAACATCTAGCAGCTCACTTATCCTGGCAGGCATATCTGGAGACCTGCAAAGGGTCATCATTAAGGCTTTTGGGATAGCTATTTGTGTGCCATAGATAATACTTTCTCTAAGGATTTTCAAACACAAAACTATGTCTGATTTGTTCTAACTTGATGTTTGAATTCATCAGTAATCCAAGTACTGGAGCAAACTCAAAATTCTTTCTTGGGGAATATCTGGTCTTGATCAGGTGAAACCTATGGGGGGCTGGCCTTTTGTCTAGCCTAGCATACCAGTCTGGCTCTATAATTTGCATAAATAGAATAAAAGTCCTACCAATTGTGTGATCCTGTATAGTTCTCCCCTTAATCAGCATTATAAAACACCTGCCCTGCAGGCTGTCTTCAGATTGTATATTATTAAACTATTCTATCTGATTCCTAAGAAAAATTTGACTAACATAAAAGACATATGAAAAAAGAGAGCCCAAGCCACTGATTTTCAAAATGCTACTGAGACTAGTTGCATTAGAATCATATTAGGTACCTGTTAAAAATATAGATTCCTGGATCTCATCTCAAACTGACTAAATCAGAAATTCCAGGAATAGAGCTCAACAATCTGTATTTTTAACAAGAACTTTATTAGTCTTATGAGTACTCAAATACCACTTTAAGGGATTCAAAATCCAGTCAGTCCTGAGGCACTTGAGGCTCCTCTATATTTGGGTAGCATTTAACCTCTGTGGATATTCATACAACTTCATTATTTGAAGCATCTGCTTGATTAAGATGGGTTTCAATGTTTAAAGTCCTAATTTATTTTGATAACTATCAGAAAACAAGTATGTGATTTCTGCTTGTGTTAAAAAATATTAAAAAGACACTGCTAGTACACCACTCAGCATTAACTCCATCGCCTTGTAAGAGATGATATACATTCGCTTTTCTGATATTAAAACTCTTTTATTCATAATAACTCCACTTTCTACTAGGCTGCCAGGAAGCTCATAACCAAACAGATGCCTAACTACAGCTGAACTCGTCTCACAGTAAGCAAATTTGTTTCTGCCCTTCTCTTTGATTTCTTTCTTCCTTTCAATTACATTTGTATTAATCTTTTTTGGTAGGTTAAACAAGAAAACAAACTTTCAAAGTTCTCTTGGAAAGAAGCAGAGTATGAAAAAAAAATCTCAAATAACAATTACAGTGGTTTTATCAGTTGATTTAAAGTCATCATCCATATCCATTTGGGCTTGGGCTTGTTCTATTTTTCCCCCATACACTTGCAGAAATACAGTAGGTCTAGATTAATAACAAGGTATCCTCCTTGTTCCTAAAAACTGCAGGGAGATGGTCTCTGTTTCCAGACTAAAGTTTTTGCAACACTAATTTAATCAAACTCCTTGGACTAGCAGAGGGGGAGGGGGACAGGGAGAATCAAAACTAACCACGTACCAGTTTGAAATCTACAGTTTACTATCAATCTGGACAGATAACTTAGACTTCAGCCTTGTGGATTAGAAATATCCAGAACCTATAGCATTAGCTGCAGTAGGTCTGCTGGAATCAAGTATCAATTTTAAAGAACTTTATTTTATTTTATTTTATTATTATTATACTTTAAGTTTTAGGGTACATATGCACAATGTGCAGGTTAGTTACATATGTATACATGTGCCATGCTGGTGTGCTGCACCCATTAACTCGTCATTTAGCATTAGGTATATCTCCTAATGCTATCCCTCCCTCCTCCCCCGACCCCACAACAGTCCCCAGAGTGTGATGTTCCCCTTCCTGTGTCCATGTGTTCTCATTCTTCAATTCCCACCTGTGAGTGAGAACATGCGGTGTTTGGTTTTTTGTCCTTGTGATAGTTTACTGAGAATGATGATTTCCAATTTCATCCATGTCCCTACAAAGGACATGAATTCATCATTTTTTGTGGCTCCATAGTATTCAAATCACTTCTTTCTACTTTCTGATCATGTCTTTCTGAAATTACTGGATCAATCATTTTGGTTTGTAGATAACCCCAAACAGATAAGCAACTGGTTGACTTTCTTCTTATTTCTTTTCTTTTTCACTGAAAATGAATAGTTGATTTGTTGTTTTGATTGATATAAAATGTAAACTTGGAATTCTGTAGGCCCAAGCAAACATTTTGTGATAAAAATGAGAGTGCTCATCAAAATTCTGAGGATTCCAATGTTTTTATGAAGCTTTTGACTCAGAGATCTGTATTATTAGATAATTTAGAGATTTTCAGAAGTATTTTTTCAGTCTGACTAAAGTCTGACTTGAGTGCTGTCTGGTATCTTTGGCCATATCAGAAAACCTAAATGAAAAAATGTTAGGAATTCCGATAAAGACAGTTTTTAGAAAATATTTCAGAGCAAAATTTGAGACTAAAAAGTTTAGTACAAATATTGATTTTTTGTTAAATAAAAATCTAGTATGGGCTGTGTGTGGTGGCTCACGACTGTAATCCCAGATTTTTGGGAGGCCGAGGCAGGCAGACTGCTTGAGCTCAGGAGTTCGAGACTAGCCTGGGCAACATGGAGAAATCCCGTCTCTACAAAAAAATACAAAAATAGCCAGGCATGGTGTTGTGTACCTGCAGTCTCAGACACTCAGGAGGCTGAGGTGGGAGGATCACTTGAGCCTGGGTGGCAGAGGTTGTAGTGAGCTGAGATTGTGCCACTGAAACTGGCCTGGGTACCTGGGTGACAGAGTGAGACCCTGTCTCAAAAAAAAAAAAAAATACGTTGTTTAGGAGTATACAGTTGTGCAAATAAAAATTTAAAATCTGTGTCTTTTGTCAGGAGTAAAGTGTAGTTTTTTTAGTTCTAAACCTAGAATAGGAAAATTGTTCATGTTATTACAGACCATCCTTCACAATCATACTCATAAAAAATTATGAATTGTACTTTTAAAACTTGTTCTCATCTACTCTGGACTTAAACTGATGTTATATTTTTAACCTAAAACATTAATATGAGGAATTCATGAACCAACCTGTCACATGTGTCATTGTTTAGTTTTGCTGTTGTTATAATCAAAGCTTCACCTCATTCTGAACTGATTAAGTAGAGATCAACATCAATGGTTAGATGGTCAGAATAAACAAATCAACTGTGGGGCAGCATTATATTCCATTTTGTGGAATATATAAAGCCAAGAAACTGAATTGGAAAAAAGAGGAAAATACAAGATAATTAAAAATTTAATTTTAACTTATAAATAGCAAATTTTTCATTTATCCTAAGATTTAAAAAATATTTCAGTCACGTGAATATGCTATGACTAGAGTAATAAATTTCATAGAAAATATTACCTCCTATTGAGAGATATCTCTGTATGTAGTACATTCTTGGAGCCCTTAAGATTACTTAAAAGGCAATGTCATGTTGATGGTAATACCTTTTATTGACCAATTGAATGTTGACAGATACAATTATAGAACTTAAGTATATCTTAAATTCTATACTTTCAGGAAGCTGAAGAAAAAATGTCTTATTCTCTGCAAGCATGTTTGTCTATAATTTATAGTTAGTACAATAAAGGTATTATCAGAATCTTGGCCTTGAGATTCATATAACTAGATTACTGCTCATCTCATACTCTACAAAATTGGAGAACAATAATGTATACCGCACTGATGCTGCAACTATACTGACAGTTCACAAATTATAGAGTTTAAATTTATAGCTCCCTTTACATCTGTCATCAACAGCTCCCAAATCACAAGGCTTGCAGGTGAATCCACCTACATTTTTTGTGTTAAAGCCATTTTGGAAAAAAGGAAACCTAAGAAAACTAAAACAAAGGTTAACTAAATTTCCTTCTTTTAAAAATAAAGTCAGGGCAATCCTTTCAATTTTGAAAGCAAAGTAGTCACAATTAGATGGATCTAGTCAAATAATAATGGATAAAAATGTATGTAATGAATCCAACTATTCAAAAATACTAATGTCATTATTTACTGATTAAAAAAATTAAAAATTCCTCAAAGGTATTTGTTTTATCTCAAAGCCAAGAGGTAAAAGAATGACTACCACCAGCAGTTTGTGTGTGTGTGTGTGTGTGTGTGTGTGTGAGAGAGAGAGAGAGAGAGAGAGAGAGAGAGACAGAGACAGAGAGACAGAGACAGAGAGACAGATCTACTGTAAGACAGAGAGAAGAAAAATAAGCTAAATTAATTTTTGCTAATTTAATTTCCATTAGAAGGAGAAAATGAAACATTTTTCCATTAATATAATGCTTTTTGGTGACGACAAACTTTTTTTTTTGGAGACAGGGTCTTGCGTCGGCTGCACTCAGGCTAGAGTGCAGTGTTGCAATATTGGCTCACTGCATCCTCAAACTCCCCAGGCTTAGGTAATCCTCCCGAGTAGGAGGGACTACAGGCATGCACAACCATGCCCAGCTAATTTTTATGTTTTTTGTAGAGATGAGATTTCCATATGTTGCCCAGGCTGGTCTTGAACTCCTAGGCTCAAGTGATCCAGCCTCAGCCTCCCAAAGTGCTGGGTTTTATAGGTGTGAGCCACCACATCTGGCCTTTTAAACAATTTTTTAATCCGGAAAGGTTTAATACACCAAAACTTTGTGAAGCCTTTGGAGAGGGGTCTTACCTCCAGATGACAGTTTTCTCACTGTAATTACTAAGAATTTAAATTTTCATTTTTCTGAAAATACTACTGAAAGGTCCCAAAAGCCTGTTAATGACCATAGGCCAGAAAGAAAAAGAACTGAAATATCCATTTCTCATTTATCAACTAATTCTGAAAACTTTAACCAAATTACAAAAATATTTTAAGGATAATTCAGAAGATATGAAACTTGTCAATCTGTTTACCAAATATGTGTCTATTATAATATCCAAATGCCTAAAGCAGATTCAGAAAATATGGGAAAACATATTAATTCCAATCAACACTATTATATTACAAGTATAAATTATGTCCACATGACCTGCATGGTTTATTTATAAAATATATATTTTAAGTGACTAATATGTACAACATTAATTTGTATATTAGAAGTTTTTGACATCTCTAGCATGCCTGTATTTTCTTAAATAAACTGTGTGCATGTATGGATAAGCAACACATATTACACTCATATATAAATACATGTGGATTTTTATACTTTTATAAAATCCCCCAGTGGGGATTCAGAATGTCTTTAGAGAAGACTTTTAAAGTCAATTTTTTTTAATATATTTTATTTATTTTTTTTTAGAAATGGGGCTGTGTTTTATACTTTTATAAAATCCTCCAGTGGGGATCCAGAATGTCTTTAGAGGAGATTTTTAAAGTCATATTGTTTTATACATTTTTTATTTTTTTTTAGAAACAGGGTCATGCTCTGTCACCCAGGCTGGAGTGTAGTGGCACAATCATAGCTCACTGCAGCCTCAAACTCCTGGGCTCAAGCGATCCTCCCACATCAGACCCCGAGCAGCTGTGTCTATAGATATGTGCTCCCAGGCCCGGCTAATTTTTTTTTTTTTAATTTTTTGTAGAGACAGGGTTTCAGTGTGTTGCGCAGGCTGGCCTCAAACTCCTGGCCTCAAGTGATCCTCCTGCCTCAGCCTCCAAAGTATTGGGATTATAGGTGTGAGCCACTGTGCTGAAAGTAAAATTTAATAGAAAAAAAATAAATTTACTTTTGCATTCTCAAAATAACTAAATCTTCCCCACTATTTCAGTGCCTATAAAGATCTCTGAAAAGACCTTCAGGTCTTTTGTGAACATATTACTTTATTTTAGACTTTCAAGGACATTTGTACAGCGAACAGCCTTGGAAGATAAAGATATCTTTCTCTAGAACAAAGAGCAAGTTTGAGTACAGCCTTAGAAAATAAACGTCTCTCCCTAAAAAGCAGAGAGCTGGCCCACTTACCTCCTCATATAAAAAATTCAGATTCCTGAAGTTCAAGACCCACCTCCTATAACGCCTGGCCCTCCACACATTACCCTGTGGAAACTGGGGGATCGGAGAACCAGCACAAATTCTGATACTCTGGCTACTGCTGTTGCTATGAGTAATAAACTGCCCTTTTTCTCTGACCTGAGTCTTAAATCCTCTGTTAGAATCCATGATCCAATGGCTGGCTTACACATTAGTTTGCAAGCAGGGTAACATTTCAGACCCTCCACAGCTCTTGTCAACCTCCAAATCTCAGGGGTTTATAATAACACCAGTTTATTTCTTGTTTCCTTACATTTTACTCACTTTACATGTTGGTCATGGGTCACGGGGGATCAGCTTAGCTCTGCTCCACACATCTCCTTCTTTTGGGGATCCAGGTTAAAAGAGCAGCCCCCACTGGGACATGTTTGTTCTCATGACACAAAGAAAAGAGCAATGGAAAGTCCACAGTATGATTTTTCAACATTTTTGCTTGGTCATGGCATACTGGCAGACTTACATGGAAGGTCCCTAACTTATAAAGGTTTGACTCAGGATTTTTCCACTTTCTGATGGTGAGAAAGCAATATGCATTCAGTAGAAACTGTACTTTGAATTTTCATCTTTCCCCCGGCTAGCAATATGCTATATCAATACTCTCTCAAGATGGTGGCACTCTCTCTCAATAGTGGCAATGAGCCATAGGTCCCAGACAGCCACATGATCATGAAGTTAAAACAAACTGGTACTCAACAGTATACTGTGTGGCCAGATGATTTTTGCCCAACTAATGTAAATGTTCTGAATACTTAAATATTAAGTGCTAAGTTCAATGTTTGGTAGGTTAGGTATTTTGAATGTATTTCAATGTACGATATTTTCAGCTTATGATGGTTTTATTGGGATGTAACTCCATCACAAGTCGAGGAGCATCTGTACTCTACTGACCAAAGCAAGTCACACTGATAAGCCCAATATCAATGGGATGCAGACATATTCTCTTCCCACAGGGAGAATTGAAACAGTATCACCCCAAATAGGAAGAAGTAAGGATGCATAACATACTTACAAAGCAAAGGAGTGTATAATAGAAACAATACATTCTACCCCACGTAACACATATTTAGAAAAAGATAGTTATGTAGGATTTGTTATGTTAGTTAATAATATAGCTAATTGTATTAGTGCAAAATCAAAAATTTGAAAGACCCGTTCCATGTTTCAAAAGTTTCTAATGTCTTGCATTATACTTATGATAAAAAGAAAAATACCAAAGTTCAGTGATTACTTTTTAAAACAAGAGTAGAAATGCATTTGATGAGATGACATATAAATTGAAATAAAGTTAGTACTAGTGATTATTTTTTAAAACAACAGTAGAAATGGGTTCAATGAGATGACATATCAATTGAAATAAAGGTAGTAGTACAGTTGGTATGAATGTGTTCAAATATACACAGGGACACACAAGCATGAAAAGAATATTTTTAAGAGTAATAAAGAGAACTATTGCTGCTACTATTAATAGAAAAATATATTTATAAAGCAAAAATTTGACCAAGCCATCATTTAATAATCACAACTAATGTTCCAAGAATTATTTAAAGAGTATGTTTAGCATCTCTCATGCTCCCTTTTGAAGTTTTCTGTTGTTGTTATCAAAATCACCCTGAAGAAACACAGAGTGCAAAAAGGGTTATTTCTTATTTTTTCTTTTGAATTGTTTTAGATGTAATCATCCTTTGAGCCATCTTTTCATCAAATAATCTCTTTGAACTTCTTACCTGTGTATTGCCATATGCTAGACACGCTGCATGAAATAAACATGCTTTACTTTGAGGCCAATGAACCAATTAAAATTGTCTACTTATGCTATATTCCTAATTTCAAATCAGAAGTCATAATTTCAGGATTCCAAAAACTATGATAACCACTCTCCATTCTAACAAGTCTTTTCTTCCCTGATTTTCTCTTCAGTTTAACAATCCCATGTGCTGTGATCCATTGACTACATCCTTCCTTTTTTAAGTGGCTATGCTCCATTCCATAGATATTTATCTAAATATCTAAATATTTCCCCACTGTCATGCTAGCTACCTGTCTAATATTATTTAGGATGTTCAAATATTTAACTATTCTTACCCACTTTTAACATGTTTTTAATTCAGTATTTAAAATTTGTATATTTAAAGATAAACTTTACCTATTTTCTGTATTATTTGTAAAAGATTATACGTGTCAGGAAGCGCATACATTTGCACACACACACACACTGTAACTATGCTTATTCATTCATTGTTGGGTTTAATAAGTATTAATTGAATGGGTGAAAAGATGGATTCTGACAAACACTAAATTTTAAACATCCTCTAAAAGTAAATAAAATTAAGACGGACTTTTCTGAATATTTTCAAAAAGAAATGTAAATATGTTTCCTGCCTTTCAGCTTTTCCCATCTTGCCTACTCTCCAGTGTTAGCCTTCATTTCGCTCTTACCAACTACATTTCATCAACATTTACTCTGAGTTCTATATCTTAATTATAAAACATTGTTTGAAGCTCTAGCTATGGCTGATATATTTTTACCTTACAAATGCTATTCTCTTGAACTTCCTGCTGGAAGAATCTTAGTAACAGATGGTGGAGCTTCTAGAGATAGATTAAATAAAACAAAACTTTGCATATCAATACAAATCTGACAAGTGACTTAATCACAAAAGACACCCTCCTTCAAAAAACAATCAGGTAGGCAGCACCGATGAACCCCGAGAAAAGAAGTCACTGTAGAGATACCCCTTCTGTATTTTTCCCTATTCATTAATCAAGCAGCATTTAAGACAGCTTTTCATTTTTAGTATTTAACCTGATTTCAGCTCCATTTTTAATGAGGAAAATTATGTAAGAACCCTACCTTTATTCTCCAAACTAATTTTTTTTTTTTGAGGAGAACATGGACATCAGTATACTTAAGTATAGGCTAAAAATTGATACAAAGCAGAACTTCTTCAGAAATTCTCTAGGCATGTCAAAGTACATTCAGGTATTGGGAGCTATAGGAGTAAAAGGATACAGATAAGGCAAAAGTATCTCTGAATAACATTAACTAAAGGATTCTGTCTAGCAAACAGATTTCTATGACCTTTGAGTAATAATTTAAAGACATGATTGACATTTTTTTTCCCATAGCAAAGCCTGATCATAAATCTTATCCTTGAGTATCTATTACATTTGTTGTTTTGGCTCAGGTTTCAGGTTCTTTGCTGTTACTCTACTTTAGGAAATTTCTAATTGGGGTGAAGAGAAGAAAAGATTAAAAGAACTACCAATTTCAGCACGAAGCCTCGGTGACAGAAAGAGAAATGGAGATAGGAATAATCGCATAAAATCTGGTAGTTGGTTGTGGAGATGGGAGTGAGTTTTAAAACAGCACAAAGGCGATGGTTTGAGAACATTCAGATAAGAGGGAAGAGGCAAGCAGAAGGAAGATTTTTAAGCCACAGAGATCAGAGAGGACAGGGTATTCCAGGAACTCAGTACCAACTGGCTTCCCTGTGCCACCTGAGCTCTCTCAGGGTTGCTCTTCCCTCTATTGCTTCACTCTTGGTAGCACATCAGGGCCCATCCTCCCCACTGTGAAACCTCCCTAGTTTAATCTGCTCTTCCTCAGAGTCATAACTCTCCTCCCTAAAATGACAATTTGTTAATCTTAAAAAGTATTCCACGCTTGGAAAAATAACAGTAAAGTTCAAGTTAATTACTCTTTTAAGGATATTTACATTTTACCAAAGGTTTCCGAGAGACACAAAGCCTTGAACCCAAAGGAGTAAATCCCAAATCTTGGGTGTTTGTTATTTAGTGATCTGTTTGTGGAAGATTCCAATGTTTCCTAAATCTAAGCATACACACATAGCTTCAGTTCTGCTTCAGTACTGCCATGGCTGTATTTTACAAAATGTTCAAAGAACACGAAATACATTAAAAGAACCTTAAGCTATAATTACCAATTGCAAACACAGTGGCAGATTTTCACGTACAAAAAATATATATATACCTCAATATACACTATTGGTTAAAGGGAATTTTACACAGATGAAATCTTTTTTATTCACACCATCTTCACTCAATAACTTATCCATATAATTATCACTATGCACTTGTATTAGTCTGCTTGGGGTACCATAATAAAATACCACAGACTGGGTGACTTAAACAACAGAAATTCATTTTCTCACAGTTCTGAATGCTGGAAGTCCAAGATCAGAGTGCCTGCATGGTTAGGTTCTGGTGAGGGCTCTCTTACTGACTTGCTGATGGCTGCCTTCTTGCTATGTTCTCATATGGCACAGAGCTCTGGGGTCTCTGCCTCATCTTATAAGGGCACTAATCTCATCATGAGGGGCTCCACCCTCATGACCTCATTACCCCGCAAAGTTCTCATTTCCAAATATCATTACATTGGGGGTTAGGGCTTCAACATATGGATTTCAGAAGGACATAATTCAGTGCATAGCAGTGAGAAAATGCTGCCCCAAGTCCTTAAGACAATTCTACAATAAAATGTATGAGCAAGAAAGTTTTTAAAATTAAACAACTAAATGTATGAACAATAAAATGTCTTTATGTATGTGGGGACCTGAAAGATGATAAATAACATGACTATTACCAAGAAAAGTCCCACGTATTTTTTTTTTGATAAGTTTCTGTGAATTTAACTACCCTTGAGCATCTCTCTTCTTTGCCCTCATCTCTAGATTTCACCTTGGATCAGGTTGAACAGCAGCACCATTCCCTTAGATATGAAAGCAGCTGCCAATCCAGCTCCTCCAGGCCTTTGTTTGAAAACTCTTTATTTCAGTAGGGGAGCCTCAAGCTCTTACATTTCAAAAATAAGCATGACTACACTCAAATGCCATTCTCTGAAGCTGGTTGATTTCTGAAACGCCTGAATTCATTATCCTCACATGGAGGTTTCTGATGCTGACATTTCTCGGCCTCTCCATGCACTGCTCAGTCATGGTGTTGTCACCCCCAGAGGTCCCCATAGGTCTTTAGGGCTCCAGATAAAAGTAATCAACATAGGGAGCAACAAAACAGCAATTAACTGAAGGCAGCTCACCTTCAGAGAGACGCAAACTCAAGCTTCAAAAAGTTTTTATCTGTAGCTCTTTTTATTCTGAATACCAGGTTCTTGTGAGGTTTGTGTGTGTGTGTGTGTGTGTGTGTGTAACCAAGCTGAAAATTCAGTGATACGGAGAGACAAGCATGACGTATTAGATGAGCAAGACTAACTAAATCAAGCCGAGACAAAGAACACCTGGTGTATATTATTTTGACTAAGGATTTCTTCGTTTTTCTTATTTCCCAAGCCCATTTTTCTGTTTGAAACAAAAGAGGCATGAAATTTATAGATTCAGTAATTACAGGAATAGTAATTATGTTGGATGAAGACAACCCTTTGAGCTAGTTTAGCGATAAGCACCAAAATCAATCACCCCAAGTGTAAAGTGGCACAGTAGGTTATATTTTTATAATTGTGATCATCAAATCCAGGCCCAGAGGCTGGGGGGTTCAAATCATAGCAAATTTATCACATATTTTATTCCAACCTGCTCTAGTCTAATCTAGACATTCATTAAACTTTTGAGTGTCAGGCCCTGGGCTAGGCAAAGGAGACATACACAAAGATTACTAAAACATTTTCTATCTTTAGAAAATCTCTAACAGTGAAAATATGAACTGGCATTGGGCAGGCATTGCTCTGTTTACATAAGAAGTCAGCCAGCAACTGTCTTTAAATGAATAATTGCAATGGGAAGAATACTCCACTAAGCATTGTATCTGGTGCTTTTTACACATACAATTTTCCTTGAATCCACTAGCCTGTCTCCATTATTCTTTCTACAATCTAATCAATTTCTTGTTCTGGAAAACAGCCAGGTTTTAACAGTTCCTGAACTGAATGCAAAAAGAAACCTCTGAAAAAGGAACAAAATTTCTTGAAAAAAATTAAAACAAAAAAAAAAGAGGGAGACTCCAATTATTTTAATATTCTCTTGGAAAAGGAAGCTTTAAGTTTTTCTAACACAAGAATATTTTTCTCTAGAGAATGCTATCACTTTTACCAGGGTGCTCATTTTTACTATATAAATAGTTTCTTCAGCTTTTACTTGGTCATACGCAACAGAAACTGTAATTATTTGTTCCCAGAGTTCAGGAAAATCAACCAGGTAGAATCAATTTCAGGTGGGGCTATTGAAACTTTCTAATAAAATAAAACACATATTTAATTAACACACTCTTTCATTTCTACCATCCAATTTCTAATTAAAAATCTGATTCTGTAAATTCAGATTATTTGAAAATCATCTGAAACTAATTACATTTTTAAAACTCAACCAATAAAAGGGCAGATTATACATAAGTGCAATAGTTGTAAATAAAGTCAATAGAAACGAGAACGTCTAATCTTTAGAATGAAATGTCTTTTTAGTTAGTTCCACTATATCCACCTAATCAACAATTACACACATACGTGCACTTACATACACATACAACCCACTTCCTCAGGCATTCACAACATTATTAAACTGTGTTTAAACAGTATGTGAACACAGACAAAACTATAGGCCCCTATAAGCCAGTGTTTCTTGAGGCATGGCCTGGCCTTGCATTTGAACTGTATTAGTTTCATTTGGGGAATACTTGCTGAAGTACAGCTTCCTGAAACCCACACAAGTTCTACTAAATCAGAATCTCAAGGAAGCCAGAAAATCTCTATTTTTTACAAGCTCCTAAGGTGATTCTAATACACATGAAAATTTGGGAAACAGTGCTATAACATTTTAGTCAGGGACAACAAAGTTTCTATTTAGATACTCAGAATGGGATGAGAAGCTTTGGCTCCATCCTTCTTTCTACTGTCCTAAGATTTCTTTCTTCCCATGGAGATAGTTTTACTACTAGATTTCAGGCCATCCCGTACTAAATTGGACTTTGCCTTTTTAATATCTCTTTGATATCTTGACAAATATCTTGTAGTCCTGCTATTGCCCTGTAGATAAGACAATAATTTCTTTTGGTGTCCCCAGATATTTCTACCATTCTACCCCTCCTCCTAGTTTCAGCCAGCCTGTTCAGCTGACCTATCACAAAAGCTCTGTGCTCTGCCTAAAGGAAACTTTTTATTTGGTCCTGTTTCTCCTTGTTCTGTTTGCTTTGCTTGAATCACCATCTATTTTTAAGGTGATATCCATCTCATCCTCTTTCTGAAAAGTGCATCATGTCAGGAGCCTTCTTCCAATCTCCACTAACCATTTTAAGTGCATTTCATTCTCTTTTTTCCAAAGATGTCAGATGTCCTTCTTGTATACTTTCCACTGACTTCTTATTTCTGAACCAGAAGGCATCGCGAGTGCTAAACTCACTCACAGAACAGAAATTTGTTTATTTATTTAACAAAATGTAGTAGGTGCCTATTATGAGCCAGCCAGGCACTGTGCTACAGCAGTGAACCAAAAGGACAAGGTTCCTGACCTCATGAAGCTCAATTTTCTATTGGAGGAGATAAAAATATAAACATGAATAAAGAAATAAAACAAGATAGTCATAGTAGCTAGAAGCAGGTGTGTGTGAGTGTGTGTGTGTGCACGCGCATGTGTGCGTGTGTTCCATTTTGTTAGATGCACAGAAAAAACTCTTCCCTGAAGTGGGGAAAATAAAGAGCCAACCACACAAAGACCTAAAGGAAGAGAATTCAAGGAAGAGGATCTAGCTAGGACAAAAGGCCTTTCACCTGTTCAAAGAATGGAAAGATCAGAGAGGTGCAAGCACGGAAAGGGAAGAGATGGAGAGGCCATACAATGTGAGGGCCCTAAAGGCCATGGTCAAGGGAATCAGAGAAAACTTAACGCTTTTAATTCTAATAGCAACAGGAAGCCACTGAAGTGTTTCATGTAGGCTAGAGATCGGGTTTGAGGATAACTGTAAGATAACTGCAGCTGCCACAGAGACGCTGACGTTTAGAAGATGAAGAGGGGAAGCATGCAGCCCAGTTAGGAGGCCCCTGATGACCTGAATCAGTGAGGCAGCAGTAGAGATGGAATAAAGCACGTGACTCTAGGACGTTGGTGGAAGAGTAAAAGGCCTTACCAGGCAGTTGAGGGCAATAAAAAGTGAGACCCCAAGGATGCCGCCTAACTTTTTGTCTTGAGTAACTGGGTGGATAGTGCCATCTACTGAAATGGAAGAAATCTGAGGAAAGAAGATGGAAGGAGAAAGGAAGGGAATGAAGAATTTCCTTTTAGACATGTTAAATTCAAGATGTTTCTTGAACATCCAAGTGTGATACCATCTGGAGATACGAATCTGAGCACTGATGCATGAAGACAGCACTTAAAAACACAGGATCAATTTTCTTAGGGAGGGTTTAAGTATGGATGAACATTCAGGATCAAGCTCAGGGGCATGCCAAAATTTAGAAATCTGGCAGAGAAGGATGAAAATGTAAAGGACGCCTAGAAAAAGGACTGGTTATTTGGGTTCAAGGAAGCTAAAAGAAGAACATTCTCAACATATTTTAAAAAGGAAGTGGCCAACCATATCAAATACTGCTGAAAGGCTAAGATGGATATTTGGAAGAGATCACAGGTTTTGGCAACATGAACGTGATGCTGACAAAGAACCAAATAAATGAGTAATCTTTCAGAGCCCAGGTGTTTAGCTGACCTGCAAAAGAAATATTATGGAAGGTAGAAAGGTGAAAAGAAAAAAGAAGGGGATGCAAAGAAAATTCTACCACAGATTCAGAACTTTAATAGTTCTTAATCTAAGATAAACTACAGTGAGACATATATGTTGCAAAAGTATGAAAAACAATATAGTTTTTTTAAGTATGAAATACTATCTGGCACACATACTAAATTTATCTAAACAAAGACCTCAGAATTTAGTAGCACAGGATAACCTATTTATTGCTCCTGATTGAGGAGGCATAGTAGATTTTTAAAAAGACTTATATTTAATTACTTAACAAAGAATAGCCAAGCAAAGTCTACAAATACACTGCTCCTATATACTGCTGCTAGGATCACTTATCTCTCCTCCCTCTCTCATGGCAAAGGCTCCAAACACCAATCTCCTGTTTGTTAAATAGTGCAAATCACCCTTTGTCATTTTAGTTGCACTGAATTTGAATTTGCATAGGTTGCAAGTAGAGAATAGAATCTTGAAGCCACATAAACTAATCACACTTAGTCTTAAAACAGAATATATCGGATATCTAGCCAAACAAAACTGCTCAAGTACCCAATACATATTCTAAACACTTCCACCTCCATGCTTCTGCTACCTGGCTTTCTACTTCTCGAAAGTTACTTTTCCACTTGTCCTTAAGTCGAAATCCTATCTTTTCTTCAAGGTTGAACTGACTAATGCCTTTGAATTCTTTCTTGCTAGATATCACTTCTAAGAACTTCATGATATTGTACCTCTGTCTCTGGCTTTTATACTTTTTACCTTTTATTATATGACATTGTTGTCTATTCTTTTGTCTGCCTAACACCCTGTATTATCTGGGAACAACAACCCCTTTCCCTGTACTGGCATCAACAAGATAAGGTTTCCATGGAGCTGCCATAATTTTTCTATAACGCTGCCCCTAGGCCAGAATTGGTTGGTCTACAGGTAGATACCTGATCCAAACTATGACAACCACAATATTCCAGCCCTTGACAATGATTGACTCTTCCAGGACGGGCACTTAACTCAAGCTAGGCCAATCATAGTCATTTCTCAACTAGATCCTGCCCCACTGGTCATAGCTAATTGGTGCAGGACTGGAACTGGATGCAAGCTGACTCTCTGGATTGAGAACTAGAGGTCAGACCATTCCCTGTCCCATGTCTGAAACTGAAATATGCAGCACTGGAAAACTGCTCATGCTCATGGCCATGGGATCAGCCTTCCCCTTAGCCTCAGAAGGCCTTGGAGTGGAAGCAACAGGTATCTGGTAGGGGTAAATGCCACCTCTTTAGTCTCATGATTGAAACCACCTTCAAAGCACTATTCAATGTTGTCTTTGGAGACAAGTGAAGTGACTTGTGATATTTGGGGGGAGCCCCCACCACAAAAATAATTTCTCTCTCTGCTAGGTGATTTCTTCCATTTTATTATTATTTTCTTTTTATGGTGATGTTGAATTGAGGAGAGATGTTCCTGCTACATTTATTAAAAGTTAAAAGAAAATCCCAGCACCTTGGGAGGCCAAGACATGTGGATCACTTGAGGAAGGCCAGGAGTTCGAGACCAGCCTGGCCAACATAGTGAAACCGTTTCTGTACTAAAAATACAAAAAAAATTAGGCTGGCATGGTGGCGCATGCCTGTAGTTCCTAGTTCCAGCTACTCAGGAGTCTGAGGCACAAAAATCCTTTGAACCAGAGGAACAGGTTTCAGTGAGCCAAGAATGTGCCACACTGCACTCAAGCCTGGGAGACAGAGCAAGACTCTATCTCAAAAAAAAAAAAAAAAAAAAAAAAAAAAAGTTAAAAGAAAGCAGCATTTGTTGGCTGGGCATGGTGGCTCACGCCTTTAATCCCAGCATTTTGGGAGGCTGAGGCGGGCGGATTACCTGAGGTCAGGAGTTCGACACAAGCCTGGCCAACATGGTGAAACCCCGTCTTTACTAAAATTACAAAAAAAAAAAAAAATTAGCCAGGCATGGTGGCACACACCTGTAATCCCAGCTACTCAGGAAGCTGAAGAAGGAGAATCCCTTGAACCCAGGAGGCGGAGGTTGCAGTGAGCCAAGATGGTGCCATTGCACCCCAGCAATGGGCAACAAGAGTGAAACTCTGTCTCAGGAAAAAAAAAAAAAAAAGAAAGCAACATTTGCAAGAGGTGATATTCATCTCTCTGTCTCTCTTTTTCTGTGAAAGGTTACTAGATTTCCTCCTTTTGGGGAGAAGTAGAAAAAATAATTTTGAGAGCAGGAGAGATCTCCCCTCTTAAGGAGGGGCTACTACTTAAGGGGGTAAAAAAATCAGGGGCTGAGAACACAGAATGTATGATGAGTTTTGAAGACAATGTATTTTACTCTAAGCCTACTTCACTTTCAACCAAGTGGAAAGAATATATAGGGTATTTTTTTGTGCATATACAAATGATTTTGTTTTGCATGATTTGTGATGTTTTTGGCTGGCTTTTAAACAGGATTGGAGTAATATAAAAGCACATTAAAGCAGACATATTAGGCAAAGGATCATGGTAATAGTCTCATGGCCATTTGGGGGAATTTCAGGAATTAAAAACAGAGAATGCTGTAAATAACGTTATTAAGAGGGCAGTCTTCCTGAACCTAAAGGATGGGAATAATATATCAATTTTGGGTAGTCTCTATATACACAAGTATATCCTACTTAAATTCTTTCCATAATGGGGCATCCTCTTCATAATCCGTCTTATGATCAAATACCAAATTTACTTTGATGTGACAAAAAAAAGGTATTGTGAATAATGAACTTCAAAAGAAAGAGCAGTGAGATGGTTAGGGGTAATCATAGGGTGGAGAAGAATATAATAAAATTTCACATTAATATAATATTATTATACCAAACATATAATAGTAGGAAGATTTTCTTGCAATAAAACAGTAGTTCAAATAATGTTCTTCCATCTAAAAAAATACTTCTTAAGGTGGTTGCTTTCTTTAAATTAAAATATAGAGAAATATTATGTGACTATAATAACATCAGAACTTACTCTTTAAAATGTACCTAAAGTTCTTTATAAAATATACTACTGTGACTCAACAGTGTAATACTGTCTTAGTCTGCTTGTGCTGCTATAACAGAATGCCACAGATTGGGTAATTTATAATAAAAAATATATTGACTCACAGCTTTAGAGACTGGGAAGTCCAATATTAAGGAACCAGCAGGTTTGATGATTCTGATTTCAAGATGGCACCTTGAATACTGCATCCTCTAGAGGAGAATACTTTTTCCACACAGAGCAGGAGGCAGAAGGGCAAAGAGGAAAAAGGGGACTGAAGTCACCCTTTTATAAGGCATTAATCCCAGCCATGAGGGTGGAATCCTCATGGCCTAATGACCTCTTAAACATCTGACCTGGTAATACTGTTACAATGGCACTTAAATTTCAACATGAATTTTGGAGGGGATTCAAAAAGTCACAAATACTACTTGAAAAAATATAACGGTTTAACCAGTAATGCCCATCTGGGCAAAAAAGCTATTTAAGTACCATGCACTTTGATGAATGACGTTTAAAATAGCCTTCCTCATTTTATACTATTACTTTTCAGTCAGTGCAGGATAACACATTAAATCTAAAAACAATGGCCCAGTGAAACCAAGCTAGTAGATTTAAAGAATCCATTAATTTAATGGTAATTATCATTTCCTATTCAGCACATATATTTTCTTTGTTTGAAAGACTATGCTTTGTTTTTGTGTTTGTGTTTTTTTTGTGACAGAAGAATGCAATACAGTGTTTTAAAAGACTCTGTACCAAATATTTTGTGAAGTAGAATTTCTCCTTGACTAGAGTCTACATAATTCCATAATGACTTGTAGAAATGACATAATTTATAATCTCATTAGGTTTTTGTGAAATGAAACAATTTATATGAACAACCCAAATATAATCATGGCTAATTTGAGAGGAATGTTTCATTTGCCTGCAGCTTCCCAGCAAATACTAGGCAGACAGAGTTTAAAGCTTCAGTGGGGAATAGGCAGAAGCATTTCACAAAAAGGAAGATTTAAGCAGCTTTGAAAATGGTTTGGTCGAAGCTCTTCAACTGTAAATAAAATCACTGGAGGTCTAAGTAAAACTTCAGCCTAATGTAGTTGTCAGTCTAAGTAGGTCCTAGTTAATGACTATTATTTTTATGAAAATCAGGCTTAGTAATCAAAAAAGTTCAATATTCCACAACTTGATGAAGCCTTATAGTTTCCCCTTTCTTTCCACTGAGTACGTCCTAATTTAAATTGACAATATCAATATACTTATTTTAATACAGTAACTTCATTTAAAGGGGAGATGAATGTAACTTGAAAGTAGTGTGAACATTCTATATCATTTCTTCAAAAAAACGGATACATTTCTTTATGAAAATATTTTTAATTAAAACATTTATTTACAACTTCCCACAATGTGTTGATGTATTGAAAATATTTTAATTTTGAAAAATATATATTTGTGTACGTTTTAAATAATAATGACAAAGAAATTTTTAAAACATGCTTTTCTATCAGATGGTTTACCAAAATATTCGCCCTTCTATGTTTCCTTCTTTTAGCCTCTACATTCTGGGAATTGTCTATACCTTTTGAAACATGCGAGAACTTTACCAAAAAAGAGTAGAAAAGGCTGGTGAAATGAGTGGGGGGTTAGTTGACATGGATGCTAAGTGTAACAGAATGGAACTTTGACACTTTGATGGAATATTTGCCTATAAGCTTAAGGAGTCATGAACAAGACTGGATTGCCACTCCCAATGTCAGGGACAAAAATCTAATCATTACCAGGCAGCACAATTCTCATCAGGTAGCCAAGACTGCTGCTCGTGCTTAATTTTAAGGTTTGACCCACCAGAGATAAGCATGAAGTTAGTTCAGTATTCCAGCTGGTGAATTTCTCTGACAGATGTGGTGAGTTAATACGAGGGAGCAGAATCTAACAGACATCAAACCAATTATTGGTTCCTAAGGACTCTTATGAGTCAATCTACTTCATATTTTTATTACTACCACCTTTGCCTAATGCCTAATCATCTCCCATTTGAACCAATAGTATTATCAAATAATTGCATTTTCTACCTATATCCCATTTCCAATCTAATCTTTCATTCATAATTTTCCCAAACCAGTCTTGCCAGGATACCTCTCATAACTTATTACTCTCCTGTTCCAAAATGTAAACGGCTTTTTAGTCCCTTCTAGATAATGTTCAAATTTCTGACTTTCCTATTAACAGCCAGACATAATCAGTCCTAAACTAATCTTTCTAAAGTTATCTATTACTAATTCACTAGGGTCAGAGGTTGGCAAGCTTTTTAAATAAAGAGCAGATAATAAATATTTTAGGATTTGTGGGATATAAGTCTCTCTTGCAAGTACTTAACTCAGCCGTTACAGAGGGAAAGCAGCCATAGTCAATATGAAAGCCAGAGTGTGGCTGTGTTCCAACATAACTTCTTTTATACAGAAATAGGAATGGGCCAGATTTGGTTCAAGGGCCATATTTCACTGAACCCTGTTCTAGATGAACCTTTGCTGTGCAGAAATTGGCCATTAGCTGTGTCATGAAACAGCTGTTAAACTCTGTTCCCAGTTCTGGGCTACAGGGATACAAGGATGAGTTAGCTCCCATAGTTGCCTTGGCAAAGTTCACAGTCTTTTCACACACAGAATCACTGTGCAATTATACTGCAAATGCTGTGTGGGGTAACTGGCTTAGTCAGAAGCAAAACTTCATGTTAGAGTAGGTCTGGGAGTAGTCATTGTCCAGATTAAGGTGGGCAGGCACAAGATAATGAAAGGGAGAAAAAAATGACAGCCTGTGCCAAAATACAAAAATGCAAAACCAAATGGTGAATTTATGGAATGATCAAGGCATAGGCAGGTAAGACGGATCTGGAAAATTTGGCGGGAGACAGGATCAAAAGGGTTTGACTGCCCTGCTAATGACTTTACACTAGCTATTTTGAGCCAGACTGCGCTTAGGCCTCGGCAAGAGGCACTACTTTTTTGGTGCCTGTGTTTTTGAGAAACCTGCACATCACAAGTTTTACAAAAATTAAGTTTATTAAAGAACACATGGGTCCCTATGCCAATCAAGATCTGGCATTCAGCACTAGCAAAGTGTGACATTCTAACTCTGATTATTCACCAGGTATTTACTCATAAAAAACTAACACCATTAAGGACCCAGACATATGTTTTTCCATATATTTTATACTCTAAAAATAAAAAACAAAAAACAAAAAGCACAATGGATTGATTCCAAATGCCATGAAACTTCACCAGTTGATCACAGGCAGGATTTCAGCCATCTAAGCACTTAGCTTAGAAGTGCCTAGAAGAAGGAAATTAAATGACCTGACAAGCTTTCTCAGCTTGGAGGCCACAGATTCTTGTACACTCAGTATCATTTGCCAGTAGCTGAGTGCCCCTGTCCTGTTCTTTCTGCTCTTCATGTTTCAACTTGTGATTCTAGAATTCTAGAGATACTCAGGAAAACACAATATTCACCACAGTTGTGCATGGTGACAGAGGAAACATTTGTGACTACTTAAATTTACATGTATGTAGTTGAGGGTATGAAATGCATGGAGCATGATACTCTTTACATTGACAAGCACGTAGAAATTGAACCCTCAAACCTATGAATAGATTTCCTTTCATAAAAATATGTAATAAAATGTAATTAATTCTTTAAATACTTACAAATTCAGTTCTATTTAAATAATTTTGATGTAATTTTATGTTAATATTTATATTTTGACTTTTGGTTTGAAAAGATACATTTTGATATTTTACAAAAAATCTTTTGGAAAGACTTGAAAAAATTTACTTTTAAATTTTTACACTTATTTTCATCTACATTTTCATTAACATATATTTAAATTATCTATACTAAATACAGTTAAATATTATTTTAATCCTTCATATCATTCACTGTTGTCAATAGAATGCATATCATGTGAAAATCTTGATTATAACAACATAGTGATTGCTGAAATGGAGGCCAGAAAAAAAATGTAAAAATGTATTTTAAAAAACTGAAAAATAACAGCTTGGAATTTTCATTTAGAATATATATGTAATTTAACGCTTATGTATATTTTAATTTTATTACTCTTCCAAACATCACAGACCTTTCAACAGAATACTCAAGTGTGTAATAATAATTAAATTCAGTCATCTTTGCTGGTTTTAGCCATATGGAGGTATATTTATCAAGTTAGGAAAAGTAACATATTTCATTTAACAGTTTGCTAACTTAATTTATAGTTAAATGTTAAATATTTAGACATGTAGTATTTAGACCTCCATGCCTTAGGCCTCACATATATTAGGGGACGATCTAATATTTATAAGTAATGTGAAGTCACTGATGTCAACTTTTAATATTTTCACTTATGCAGTTATGAGAAACAGTCTGTTATAGCAGGCGCGGTGGCTCATAGTATAATCCCAGCACCTTGAGAGGCTGAGGTGGATGGATCAATTGAGGCCAGGAGTTTCAGACCAGCCTGGTCAACATGGTGAAACCCTGTCTCTACTAAAAATGCAAAAATTAGCCTGCTGTGGTGTGCACCTGTAATCCCAGCTACTTGGGAGGCTGAGGTAGGAGAATCACTTGAACCCAGGAGGCGGAGGTTGCAGTGAGCTGAGATTGTGCCACTGTACTCCAGCCTGGGTGGAAGAGCGAGAATCTATCTCAAAAAAAAAAAAGGAAGTATTATTTTATATTTTATACATAAAAAGATAAAGCATAATGTAATGAACATCTGTATGCTCCCACTCTGCTTCAGATATAAGTACTGTAACTTGGTGTCTTTGTATACTCACTCTTCCCCAATAACATTCATTCTCATCTTTTCCAGAGGTAACCAATCCTGAATTTTTTACTGCTATTTTAAATGGCCAATTCTTTAAAAGTATGTTTTCTATTTCTTGATATCTAGTCATGTTTCACCATGTATATAATAGCTATTATACTACTAAGTTTGCATAATTGTCTTAATAGTTCTGCAGATTCCTCTTGGGACTTCTAAGAAGGCAATATCATACTTACAAAAAATAACAGTTTGGAATCTTCATTTCCCATTCCTACATCTTTTATTTCTCTTTCTTGACTTAATCTGCACTGGTAATGACCTTTAGCATAATGTCAAATACAAGTGGTAAGAGAGGGCTTTCTTGCCTTGTTTCTTTATTGAATATACTAGGTACTGTAGGTTGATAATATTGTTGTTAGGAAGCAAAATAATGTGATCAGGATTCTTTTCAGAAAAATCATTAGTGACAGAAATATCTGTTGGAGCAGAATTCTTTAGGAGTCATATTACAAAAATAACTTCTATTTAATGGGAAAGTCATGGGGCCTGTGATGACCTATCAATAGAATACACATTATGGCTCTGATTCTGATGGCTATAGTAAAAAACTGCATTTTTGCTTACTTGATTCACCAAGTTAGACAAATCTTAATATACCAAAAACTCACATGAGTCTTACTATGAATAATGTCTAAAAGTGTAGTTATCATGATTCACTACAGGGTCCATTTATGGCTCCTTTATGCAAAAAAGATCACCCACGTTACTCAAAATCAAACTGATCTTTTTCAAATACAACCAATAAGATACTGACACAGAGCAAAGTCTTTTTAAAGATTACCCAACAAGTTTTCAGAAAATTAAAAATTTCCAAAAAAAGCTGTCTTCCAGCTCAGTCAAAAGAACGTTATTTACGTAGTTTGGTGTTTGCAAAGTTATTTACATAGCTTGCTATTTATTAAAAGAAGTGGAGAGTAAATAATTACCCATCAAATATTTTATAAGTATATATCCATGTAAATGAGGCAATTTAATCTCAAACTTTGAATCTCAATATATTCAATAGTAGACTTTTTTTGTCTTATGGGCGCCTCATATTTTCCATTTTATTTTTCTATGTACACTCAGTTATGTAGGCACCAATTACATCTTACAAGTAAAATAAAGGCTTCAACCTCACTTTAAAAAAAATTCTAAGCACTTATGAAATTGCTAAATTAATAACCCCTGCATATGTTTCACTAAATCTTGGCTCCTGACCTATTATCAGTAAATATATATTTCTAATAAAATGAATGTGTTTAATTCTGTAATTAAACGGCCCAAAGGAACAGTATCTGTGATAGCAATGAAGTCTAATGACAATTCTGCTGACATTCTTCTATCTAAAAATGAAATCATGTGGAAAATGATTTCTACACTAGCAGAATAATTAAGACATAAGACAAAATTTGATTTGGTAGGAATGGAAGCTAAGACTGCCTCTTCTCTTGGGGAGATGGGTGACATTATTTATTTCACCACCATATTATGTTTCCAAGCTCTCTTTTTAAAATCATATATATTTTTTTCATGTCTTAATTACAGCAACAAATCCAACAAACAATGAAGCTAATCTTGAGGGACTTTCTGTTTCATTTTACTGCATGGACATTTCTTGGTGTTGAACACAGCTTCTGAGAATGGGCTCTCTTTTGAGACTTAGTTATCTTTGGTTACACAAATATTTTCATTATAATGGTATCTCCTTTAAGTGGCTTTGATCTTTTTATGAGATGTATGCCTTTGTCTATACCAGTCAAATGAAAATTATATCTAGGTAAAGCATGTGAGGTTGCCAGGTTCCAGCACTGTTTATGGGAACCATGAGAAACATTTGATGAAAAACCACAAGGTAAGGCTTTATGACTTATTAACAAAAACCATAAAACTATTGTTACCAATATTTTTCTATAAAATACAGATTATTTTAGTTCCTATCAAAATTTTCTAAAGAATAAGCATGTACTACAAGCAACAAGAAAATATAACCAATTAAAGTCTAAGCACCATTTTTTCAAAGAAAGTGTGAAGAGAATACTTCATTTGGATCCTGTCAACACTGTCTAATGACCTTTTTTAAAATTTGAAATGGCTGATTTTAAATAAAAGCTATTCTAGCTGCTCTAGAGAAGTTACACAAGGAAAATGCTACAATTCGACAATAAAAAATGCAATGAAAATTCATTCTCGTGTATCACAAGATTATTCTGTATTGTACAGGCAGAATATTTTCAATGCAGCTGAAACCCATTAACCACTCTAGGCATAAATCACTTCATTCACAAAACATACAGCATCTAGAGTGCTTTATGTAATGCAGGATTTTTACCAAATAGTTATTTTCACTGATTTCAGAACACTCTGTTCTACCAAATCCTCCTGGGAGATTTCATGGGTTTTCATACACAAATGCTCTACTTCTCGAAGAGGCTCTCTCATACCCCCATCTAGAGTATTTGCTACAATGTGTTGTGAAGGACTGATTGTCTCCCTCCCTTCCATCCTTCCTTGAGAGTGGGGATTAGACCCTAGTACTGGTAGCATCTATTGACCCTCTTACCTGCCCCTTCTAGGCATCAGGTTATGTTTTAATGCTTAGTGATAGTGGCAAAAGAATTCAGAAGGCTCACAGGTTCAGTGCACTCATTATTATCTATGACCTGAATCTCTGTCCTTAAAATCTCTGACTACTTTAAACATTTCCCAAAACTCAGTCCCAATTCCTCTCTTTGTCAAGTGCCTTCCTTCCTTCCTTCCTTCCTTCCTTCCTTCCTTCCTTCCTTCCTTCCTTCCCTCCTTCCTCTCTCCCTCTCTCTCTCTCTCTCTCCCTCTCTCTCTCTCTTTCTTTCTTGACAGAGTTTCTCTGTTGTTTCCCAGGCTCCGGTGCAATGGTGCAATCTCAGCTCACTGCAACCTCCACCTCCCAGGTTCAAGTGATTCTCCTGCCTCAGCCTCCCGAGTAGCTGAGATTACAGGCATGTGCCACCACACCCAGCTGATTTTTGTGTTTTTAGTAGAGACAGGATTTCACCATGTTGGTCAGGCTGGTCTCGAACTCCTGACCTCAGGTGATCCACCCGCCTCGGCTTCCCAAAGTGCTGGGATTACAGCCATGAGCCACCATGCCCAGCTGTCAAGTGCTCTTAATATAAAAAGTCCCATTCTTTCATCCTTCCTGCAACTCCAAGAATCTACTGTTTTTTTTTGTTTTTTCTTTTTCTTTTGTTTTTTTTTTAACCAAAGAAGCATTATATAGGGGAAAAAATCAAAACAGGTATGACTAGATACTAAATTGCTTAAAATGTCCATTTCCCACATATATTATAGAATCTAGTAATCTCTGCCTGGTTACATGTAACTCTTATTTCTCCTGACGCATCCCACCCATCAGGTTCCACAAGCCAATATCCAGGTGGGCAAATCACAGGTGCTCAAAAATGTGTCTTGAAGGCATAAATGAAAAGCTTCGCATGATTTAAAAACATAAAGTTTACTTTTTCTCCTTTACTTTTCACTGGTTTTTAAAAAGTGAACATTTTTTTGCGCTTTATAAACTTCAAAAAGAATTCTATGGAATTTTAATATTCATGTTTCATACTTTTCTAAAGACATAAACTTTACTTTTCTACTTTACTTTTCACTGGTTTTTAAAACGTGAAAAATTTTTTGTACTTCATAAACTTCAAAAGGAATTCCATGGAATTTTAATAATTCATTTTCCACAGTTGTCTGTTTATCATCACTTTCAGACCACCAGTTCATTTCATTAATAAATAATAGTTCTAATGCTCATTTATTGCTAAAACTATCATCTCCTATTAGGCATATTTCCTTCACAAAACACTCTAGGGGGCTAATGTTTTATCTAATAAGGTATCAATGAAAAAAGTGATTGAATTAGCTCTTTTCCAAATGACTTGGAACTAAAAAGAACTCATATTCAGTATAACTTGAAGTTTCCATTCTTAGAAAGAGGCACTCTATCATAAATAGTTTCTGCCTCTGAATTATTCAGTTATGTTTCATATTCCCTGCATACAAATTGTTCACAAGGTCACACTATGATCACAAACCTAAAAATCAAAATACATTTATACATCTTAGAAAGGTTATGTTTGCCTTGAAATGTATAAGCCAAAAGTTCTTCTTCTAATGTCCTTTGGTCAAAGTAGCTAAAATAAATTATATATTTTAGGTGTTAAATAAATAAATAATTTACTTTAGATTTATTTTTAGATACTAGAATTTCACAATTCACTATGCAGGAAACAGTGAAAGTATCTCAGTTGCTCTCAATTTAAAGCTAGATAAAAATGATAGAAAAACTTCAAAGTGGAAAGTGTACAAGCTAACTGGAGGCCATAGAAAGAATCACATTTGTGTTTTCAGTAAATGGAACATATTATCTAGGAGAACAGTTCAAATATAATTACTAAAATTAATATTTATAATAAATGAAAGAATTGCTGCAGGCATTTTTAATTGAAGAGTCAATTGAAGAGTCTGTCAGTGTGAAGTAGTTAAAAATCACTATTAGAAATGTCACAGTTATATATACATACAAATACAAATACAAAATTTACTTTTTATGTGCTTCCATCTTAAAGCAAGCAGAAAATTTGTCACTATCTGCAATAATCAGTTATTTTGTGTGCTGGTGAAGAACATCATGGCTACAATAGAAAATGTATTTATCTACACAGAAGTAGGTGTTGTAAAGGAAAAGACACTAATTTCTTTCACAGAGAAAGAAATTACTGAGAGAAATGCTTAGAAAATATTCTAAGCAACTATAAAGCAACACATTAGAATCACCATGTCTTTATGATATAATCCAGTAAAATCCAGTAGTAATATGCACTGAACAACACTACCAGACAATTATCACAATTTTAAAATAAACTTATGAAAGATATTTATCACACTAGAAATGCAAACTAAAGTCGTAAATTGGCAAATCCATATCATGGGACGATAGGACATTTTCCATCATTGTGCAATGATCATATACTCAAGAGGGTTAGCATAAAGATATTTCACAGAGACATCACACGCAATGGAAACATTTCATACCCAATCATATCTGTGATGAGAGAGACATAAAATGGCTTTTAGGTAATCTTTTTCACTTGCGAGTTGCTACAAACTTTGTCACAAGAGACACTTCTATACTGTAAGTGACCTAAAACATTTCCAATCTGTTTATTTCACCTTTAGTATACCTTACAAAAATTAGATTATATTTTTGTAATAATTACTATTCAAAAGCAAGAGAAGGCCTTAGTAGTATTTATTATCATCATTGCAACTAGAAAAAAAAGAAGTAGGAGTAGTTTCCTAAAGTCATCTTCCACACAATTATATATGCTTATCCAACTCTAGCTCTATTACTGTACTGTCAGCCAAAGATGAGTCAAAGTGGCTGCTCCATTAGTGACAGCAGGAGTGTGCCCTCATACTATGTGAAAGAAATTATTTTATTAGAGACCACCGACATTAAATTTTAGAAAAAAACTATATGGATAAAATTTTTTCACAAACATATCTAAAGGTATTCAATATTAACTTATACAAGTTGAATATCCCTTATCCAAAATACTTGAAACCAGAAGTATTTCAAATTTTGGATTTTTTTTTTATTTCGGAGTATTTGCACTATACTTACTGGATGAGCATATCTAATCCCAAAATTTGAAATCCAAAATACTCCAATGAACATTTCCTTTGAGCATCATATTGGTGCTCAGCAATCTAAGAATTTTGGAGCATTTCAGATTTCAGACTTTTGGATTGGGATGCTCAACTTATATATACGTTAAAAAGTATAGATATGTCTGCCTTTAGGAAAATGTAATGAGTGAAGATCCAAGCTTTTAAACACACTAGATAATGAGAAGCAGGTGTAGTGCCAGTTAACTCAAAGATTCTTCACTTTATATTATAAGCTATTGCAGGGATTCATAAATACAGACTTTCTGTATACATTCAACATGAAAAAACCCACAAAATACCAGTTTAGTCTCAATTCTATGGAGTACAAGCATGGAATGAGGAACGTCTGCATTTCTACTATACACTCAATGCTTCTAACATTCTACTTATAACGGGTGACAGATTTATGCCACTCCAAAATATGCCACTTTGACGTAAGGATTACTTTAAGCTAAAGGCACTTGACAAACAGCAGATGTAAGAAGGGCATTCTAATCTTTCCCTTTTCTTCCTGAAAGCAGGAGATACAATTTTTCATGTGAAAGATGCCTTGCCTGTACCAGGAGGAAAAAAAAACATTATTCCATGGGAAGTCATGGCAGGGGGCGCAGAGGGGCTTCTGTACAAACACACCTTGTTAAAATGTGTTAAAATAATTATCTTCCTTTAGCCTCACCACATAATTTAGTCACATTTCCACAATTAGGTCTCTTTGTTCAATCTAACATAAAAGTATGTACGTTTTTCCACCTATTGGGTCTTCATTTCTTTATGAGGGCTCCTGCGCCACCTAAAACTTATTTTAAATTTGTTTGCTTTTCTCCTATGACTCTGTCTTATGTCAAATTAATTCTCAGGCCCAGCTGGGACCCTAAGAGGGTAGAGGTAAAGTTTGCTTCCTGTACATTTACCAATATGATTTCTATTACACTTGCATTTTAAACTAATGATTTAGAAAACTGATGCCTATAGGTCTTGTACACATTGTCTGCTAAACATCAACTGAAAATATAAGCTACAAAGTATTCCCGTGGGAGAAAAAAAAAATCTTCCAATTTGGAATAAGGTAGTTGGCCAAAAGCATTTTTTGGTACTTTGTTGAAGTGTCTGAGTTTTTTTTCTAAGAAACACACGTGCACACACATACCTACATACACACTCTGATAGTGTACCTTATCTATGATACTTAAAAGGAAATTTTCAAACATAAACTATTCCAGTATAAATTTCATGATCAGTCTTGGCTGAGTTACCTGAATAACCTATCTGACATAGTTTTGTTCTCACCTTTGAAATCCAATTACATCAACAAGAAGATAAAAGATGACTTACCGGCCCAAAAGAATTACTGTCAAAACTGTGTCCATGATGATCACCTTCAACCCAGATGTGACCACGGGGGACTTTGACATACCGGTTTTTGTGTCCTATGGTTCTGGAAATAAACAGTGTAACCACTGAGATATGAGTAGAAAAGAGATCAAACTGCTGGGCATACAAACTTAGGAATGGTGAAAATATTATATAGATGTTACAGACAGGTTAACCATGAAGCTTCTCCATAATTTCATTTTTAAGGAAGATGTGGTTAGAGCAATTTGAATCTATTCATAGCATTTTTTCTTTTTATATTTCTATAGGTAAGAATTTTGTGCTTAGATGAAATGTATTGGCACTAAATATAATGTGTTGTTATTTAATAGAATTCACAGTATTCTAAATATGTATTTATGAAATCCGGTAAGCCCTAACAAAATATAGATCTATTTGTTTTTTTAACATTTGCTTTTAAGTCAATATTCAACTTTTTCAACTGATTCATGCACAACTACAGTCTTCATTTTTTTCGGTCAAACTTCTCAAACCAATAGACAACACTTTTCATAACCTCTTAATACTCTAAATTTTAGCATAAGTAAGAAATAAAGGAAAGAACATAATCTGAATAACTTCTTGTTAGATACAAACTATCAGTATCAGTTGAAAATTTTTAACCAGCACTAAAGTATTCCTAAAAATGAAATTTTTTTAACAATTGTGAAGACTAAAGATCGATGATACACACGTTGCAAAACATTCTATATTAATGTTGGCAAGGAAATGGACTAAGAAAAGGCTATCTCACGCAGTTTTTGTAGCAATGTATAATGGTATAATGTTTTTCCCTATACTTCCATTTTAGGCCAATTTTTGGTACAGTTTTAAGATACTAAAATGTTTATGCCTCTTGACTTAGTTATTCTACTTGTAGAAATCCATTTGAAAAATAAAATCGGAAATATAGACAAATTTATTCATTACAAGGGGTGTTCAAACAAGGCTTTTTATAGCAAAAAAAAAAAAAATAATTTACCTAAATATTCAACAACACAGAATTGGTTCAATAAATTATGATACAACCAACTAAACGAAAGAGACAGGCTTACAATAAAATATTATCCTAATCCCACAATAAGAAGTTATTTTGGGGCAGAGACTGCTTTTTTTTTTTTCTCTCTTTTATCCCCTAAAAAGCTCAGGAAAACGCCTGGCCTAAAGAAGCTTCTCAGTAAGTGTTGGCTGAATGAAGGAATGAATAAATATCACCTCCAAGGCTGCAGAGTTCAGAAATTGAGCTTGGCATACATACTGTTCTTTGAGGTGGTGTCCCTTTGAGACTATTTTTATTAGTTAGCAATTTGTATGTGTGCAGAATAATGTATTTTAAAAAACTAAACATAAATTGGTGCTACAGAAACTGAAACTATTCATTATCTAGGATGGTTTTTAATTTTCAAGATAATTTCAGTGTTGAATTACTTTACTTTAGATCAGTAAATCATTCATGCAACGAAGCAATATTGTGGCTGTTAGAAAAGCCCACAGTAAGTTAATGACTGCTGTTTATTTTTAATTACTATTGCGAAGAAAGTTTTCAGCTTTTTAAAGAAAAGTGAAAAACAAGTTGAACACATCTTACCATCATATACTCTGTAATATAAGTGTTCTTCAATTAAAATCAGTCAATTAGTTCCTGACATCACTACAGCTTTTATTATTAGATTGCCTCTAAGAACTAATATTCTACATGAAATGTTAATGACAAAGAGAATATCCTTTTACTTAATTGTTGGCAAGGCATACTCTCCAAATCAGTCCAAACGTTTGTTCACCTTATTAAGCTGGGTATTCTGGATAAATGCTCAGAAAGAAAACAATTACCAATTTTGTCTCTTCAAATAACCATTCAAGAATTACAAAGGAAAACCAGCATAAAATCATTTCTGCAGTGACACGGTGAGTTTTAAATCAAGCATATTCCAGAAACCAGAAGAGTGATATGAAACCAAGATTGAGTTTTAATGTCATATAAGCCAAGATACTTGTGATAGAAAGCAACAGCATCATAAAAGACCAGTGACAGTTACACGTTTCCTTGCACTGACCGTCTTATCTGAAAAATTTAAATATAGCCTTTATCCTGTTATTTTCTAGCTGCTTACAGTGCTTTATTTTTCTTTTCTGAGCCTGCTAACACTTGATATACATTTATGGGTTTGTTTGTTTATTTTTTATGTCCCTCCACTAGAATGCAGTCTTTGGAACTTTGCCTTATTTGTTCATAAGAGTATCCCCAGAGCCCAGAACAGACTACACAGAGTGCTCAGTAAACATTTGTTAAATGAATGACCAAATGAATGAATATCTGAAGAATAAAAAATACTGCCATAAAGGCAGAATAATAGAGTGGGAAGTACATAGGTTCTGGAAACAGACTAAACCAGTTTTAATTTTGATACGATTACTCACAAGTAATCTTTTGCAAGTTACTTAGAGTTTCTACCTCTATTTGCCCATCTTTAAAGTGGGACAAGACATACCCTAACTCAGCAGTCCCCAGCCTTTTAGGCAGTAGGGACTGATTTAATGGAAGACAATTTTTTCATGGACCAGGGTGGATGGGGGAAGGTTTTGGCATGATTCAAGCACATTACATTTATTGTGCGCTTTATTTCTATTATTATTACATTGTAATATATAATGAATCAATTATACAACTCACTATAATGTGGAATCAGTGGGAGTCCTGAGCTTGTTTTCCTGTAACTAGATGGTTCCCTCTGGGGGTGATGGGAGATAGTGACAGATCATCAGGTATAAGAGTGTCATAAGGAGCATGCAACCTAGATCCCTCACATGCGCATTTCACAACAGGGTTCATGCTCCTGTGACACTTTAATGACACCACTGATTTGGCACGAGGCGGGGCTCAGGCAGTAATGAGAGCAATGGGCAGTGGCTGTTAATACAGATGAAGCTTCCCTTGCTGCTCACCTCCTGCTGTGCCGCCCAGTTCCTAACAGGCCACAGACCAGTACCAGTCCGTGGCCTGGGGGTTAGGGACTCCTGCCCCAACTGGGCTGAAACGAAGGTTAGTAGTTGGATGAAAATATAATGGAAAGATTGTTATACAACATAGTCTCTGGAGCCAGCCTATCTTGGCTTTTGTATCTTACTTAACATTTTCAAGCTTACATGATCTGCACAAGTTGATGAAACTCTGTGTCAGTTTCCTCAGTTACACAGCTGGGCAAGTAACAATACCTAACTCAAAAAGTTATTCTATAGATAAAAGTGGCATATATTAAACACTTGATAAGTGGATTCTCTTGTAGTTGAGACTGTTTTTAATTTAAGTAAAGCGCTGAGTATAGTTCTGATGTATAGTCAGAACCCAATAAATGGTAGTTATTATTGCTATTGTCTTCCTTTGTCCATTATTTTCTTTCATTTTATAAGTCAGAATGTGTTCAGCCTCTGCTATCTATTAGCATCAGTTTTTTAAAATTACCTGAACTACGCTTCAGTAATTTCCTCTCCCTACGGTTGCACTGTGACTATAGACTATTTTTAATGGTACAATCAATCTTTTTTTTCTTTTGCTCCTACGTCCTTCTGGGACACTCTAAAACTTACATGTAAAAACACTATCTGTGTTCTGCATATTCAAATATGCAGAGAGTAGTAAGTGAAAGTATACTCTATTTGTGTTTTTACCTACTAGTCTCTTGTATATTTGAATATTGCTATGCTAATACAGAGTGGTTTCCTAGATACCAGACAGATTTGAAAGAACTCTTCGAGCTATAGAAGAACCCTGGTAAAATTCACGCTATATCCTAGTGCATATTCTGTTTCTTGGGTTTCAATCTAACTTTTTAAAGAATAATCCAAAGTAGCTTTAAAAAATATGATGTTAAAATATTGGGCTGGTCCCTTTTAGGACTGCCAAAGAAATATAATACTCCTAATAGAATTTCTCTAGAGAAAGAATTTTAAATAGCTTTGTGCTCCTGAATTCACATAAAAGAAAGACAAGATAATCTTTTAGGTGATTTAACAGTTAAGTGAGGTGTCAGCCTACAAGGTTGTATGTATCTATGACTTGCAAATAATTTTGGTTTTGACAGTCAAAAATGAGCTCTGTATGGTACTCTAACTACCTGTCTAAAAGAAAAGGCATTTTTAGTACTACCTTTACCAAGACAAGTTACCTAGGTCTTATAAATGGAATAAAGAATCATTACCTCCAGTTTGATTTGACCTTGAAAACAATGTTTTTAAGTCTCTGAATCTTTTGAGTGTCATCGGGTGAATACAAAAGTATTGTCTAGGTAATTCTTGTTTCCACAAGAAAGGAAGAATTTCTTCTTAAAAGTATTTCCCAAATACATATACACACACACACTCTTAAGTAGGTCATTTATATTAATAATTCATGATTGATTTAAGGTATTCTTATTTCTTTATTTTTCAAATTATTCTCTTAGCTTTTCTCATTTTCCAAAATAGTGGCTGCCCTGAGGATGTTTACTGCTCCCTGGATACTAGATCCATGGTTTTCATTGTCTTGAAGGACCAGAAGTCAGGGGCTCTGGACCCAGAAATATCAGCAGTTAGAACTAGGTCTCTTTATCATTGTTAACAGATAGAACCAGAAAAAAAAAAAAAAAATCCACCATCAGGAAAGAAAACTAAAAGGAACACTTGCCTATGCAGTGTTGGCCTCTGAAAGAGAAAAAAACTCTCTCTTGAGAATCCACCTTCCGCTCTCAAGTGAAACTAAGGTTCGAATTCACACTACTTGGGTAGTCTGACAAAGTTAAGAATCAACTTTAATTGGCCCCAGGCATCTGGCAGAGAATAATCCCTCAAATGTGGTTTTCAGGTTTTCTATAGATAAATCCCAGCTGACAAGAACCCACAATCCAAAATTACAAATCTCATTTGGAAATACCCACCTTAGTGAGTCAGGACAAACAATAAGTAGCAAAATTAGACTCCCACAAACTTCAAATACTGGATTTATGAATATACATGCTATATTTAAATATTTTAAAAAGTATAAAGGGAATTAAATACATGAGTAAGGAAGAATATAATATTTTAAAGATAGACACTTGAAAAAGAACCAAATAGAAATTCTAAAAATTAAAATATATAACTAAATAAGTGGGTTAAAAAGCAAATTACCATGAGTTAAAGAAAGAAGTAATGAACTGGAGTAGAATTCAATACAGAGAGCTAAAGAAATGGAAAATATTAGAGACATTAGAAAGATATGGGAAGCATTGTAAGAAAATGTAACATCTGTGTAATCAAAGTTCCAAAGAAAGAGAATAAAAAGAAACAAGGAATAGATAATATTTGAAGAGATAGTGGTAGAGGATTTTCCAGAATTGATGAATGAATAAATGTGCTGGGCCTCAGAAATTGATATCCCAAAATACGGCACTTTGATGTGCTAAACTGAAGAAGCCTCGAGGTCTCTCTGACCTCCTTCCACCTCCTGTTTCTCAACCCATTGTCTCTCCTAAATAAAGCTCATGATGAAGCTGTTCCCTGACGTTCCCTTATCTCCCTGAAGTCCAGACTGGCTCAGAAGAAAATGGTTACCTCTGGTCCGTTCCCTGAGTTTTCATTAACTGAACTCATATCGCAGGAAAAAAGTCTGAAGTCTCAACATACCTGAACAGACTGGTCACAAACCATCGTCTGCTTTGTGGGTCCAACTTGTCTCAGGCCATTGTATGTTCAACCCCATTGAATTCCCATAAAAACCATCTATTACCACCCTAAAATTATCCACACTTCCCCATCTCCCTTCCCCCTAAAAAGAAGGGTATAAAATGGTCTGTACTCCGCTGCATGGTGTACTTGCTCTGTGACCCAACCCTCCACGGCACTTTGTATGCCTTCGCTCCTATTAATCTGCCTTTTGTCAGTCACTTTTCAGTCAATTTTCAGAGGGCTAAAGGGAAGTTTTCCTTTGACCACTACAAATGCAGGTTCTGGAATCAGTGCAAATAACAAGCAAAAATCAAACTATCATACGTTGTAATGAAATTGTAGAACACTGAAGTCTCACTACTCCCAACCTCAAATTCTGAAAAGCTTCCAGAGAAAAAACATGGACTACCTTAAAAAAATAATAATAAAATTAAATTGACAATAGAGTTCCCTTATTGGGGTATAATTTACATGAAATAGAATTCGGCAATCTTAACTATACAACTCAATGAATTTAAAAATCAACAGTCACATAATCACTATTTACATCAAGATATGAAACACTTGAGTTACCCAAAAACGTTTCTTCATGTCTCTCTGTGAGAAATCTACCCCACCCTCATCCTTGGCTTCAGGCAATCACTGTTATGCTGCTTTCTGTCACTACAGTTTTGCCTTTTCTAGAATTTTACATACAGGCATACGTTCAATATATTGTCGGTTCAATTGCAGACCACCTCAATCAATAAATAAAGCAATATTGCAACAAAGAAAGTCACACAACTTTTTTGGTTTCCTAGTGCTTACAAAAATTATGTTTACATTATACTGTAGTTTATTAAGTGTGCAATAACATTATATCTAAAAATACATACCTTAATTTAAAAATATTTTATTGCTAAAAAATGCTGACAGACACACAAAACCAACATATTCTTTTGGGAAAATGGTGCCAATTGACTTCCTGGATGCAAGGTTGCCACAAACCTTACATTTATAAAAAATTTAATATCTACAAAGTACAATTAAGGGAAGCACAATAAAACAAGGTATGACTGTAAATGGGAACACACAATACGTATTCTTTTATTTCTGGCTTCTTACTTTAGTCTAACGCTTTTGAGATCAGTTCACATTGTTCAAACCAAAGTAGTTTGTTACTTTTTTAAAAAAATAGTATACTACTATATGAATGTACCAGAATTTGTCAAACAATAGTTCATGAACACTTTAGATGTTTCTAATTTTTGACTTTTTACACAAATAATTTCATATTTTATTTAAGATTCAGGGGGTACATGTGCAGGTTTTTTACATGGGTATATTACATGATGCTGAGGTTTGAGATGTGAATGAATCCATTATCCAGATAGTGAGCACAGTACCCCAAATTCTTGAATATGAACACTAAAGCAGCTATGAACATTTCAGTATAAGTATGACACATTTTCATTTCTCTTCTATAAATGAAATGGTTGGCTCACATGGTACGTGAATGTTTAAACTGTAAAACTGTGGCCAAATACCCTATTTTTAAAAGGAAAAAATGATTTTTTTTCTTTTTCTTTTCCCCCACCTCCTACTCGGTTCTTAATGAAGGCAAATGTAGCCTTTACCTTCTCTCCACCAGGCATGGCAAACTTATCTATGAGTTTACTTAGAAGTCCCAGAGACCCTACCTTGAAGCAAACCAGGTGCCTCCAGAACTCTCTTCCACCAGGAGGTAGCCCCAATTTACAACCTGACTCTACCCACCTTGGTGCCAACCAGACCACCTGACAGGTAAGACATCCGAAGACCCCGTACCTCCTCACCCCCTCCCCTACATGTCATTCATGCCAAACCCCCTTTAAAAGCCCCTGCCTTCTTGTCCTGAAGACTGAAGTGGTACCCTCAAGGCAGGAGCCTATAATACCTCCCCTCAGCTACCTCAGGAGTAAAGTTACTTTCTATCAGATCTCACTATTGTTAATTAGATACTGCAAGGGGTGAGGGATGGGACCTGTGTTTGGTTACAGAACTGTTTTCCAAAGCAGTGGGACTACCAATGTTTAAGAGTTTCTGTTGTTCCACATCTCACCAGCACTTGATATTATCATTCTTTCCATTTTAGCCATTTTAGGGGCATATAATGGTTTTAATTTGCATTTTCCTAATGACTAATGATTTGAGCATCTTTTCATGTTATCTGTCATTTGCACATCTTCTTTGGTGAATTATCTATTCAACTTTTAAAAATTAAATTTAGTGATTTGTCTTATTGCTGAGTTGTAAGAATTCTTTATATAATCTGGATATAAATTTTGTATTAGATATGTTTTGTAAATATTTTCTCCTAATCTCTGTGCTTTTAAATTTTTAACAGTTTTTTTCTACAAAGAATATACATTTTTAATTCTGATGAAGTCTATTTAAAACATTTTTCTTTTAAAATACATGTTTTTCATAAGAAATTATTGCTTAACCCAAAAATCACAAAGATTTTTCTCCTGTGTTTTCTTCGTCTGGTTTTATACTTTTAGGCTATTTATAATAATTTTTATGCAGTCTGAGGTATGGTTCAAATTTCAATTTTTTACATATGGTTATCCAATTTTTCCAGTACCATTTTTTGAAAAAACTATTCTTTCTCCCTTGACTTACCATTGGCAACTTTGTTAAAATTAATTTACCCTATGTATTAGTCCATTTTCATGCTGCTGATAAAGACACACCCAAGACTGGGCAATTTACAAAAGGAAGAAGTTTATTGGACTTAAAGTTCCACGTGGCTCGGGAGGCCTCACAAACATGGAGGAAGGTGAAAGGCACATCTCACATGGTGGCAGACAAGAGAAGAGAGCTTTTGCAGGGTAACTCCCACTTTTTAAAACCATCAGATCTCATGAGACTCATTCACTGTCACGAGAACAGTGCAGGAAAGATCTGCCCCCATAATTCAATCACTTTCCACTGGGTTCCTCCCATGACATGTGGGAATTGTGGGAGTTGCAATTCAAGATGAGATTTGGGTGGGAACACAGCCAAACCATATCACCCTATATGGATGAGTCTTTTTCTAGACTCTATTTTGTTCCATTGATGTTTATAGCAATATCATACTGCCATGATAATTGTGGCTTTATAGGTCTTGAAATCAGGTGCAATGAGTCCCCCAATTTTGTTATACTCCTTTCCAAACCCCTTTGGCTATTCTAAGTCCTCTGCATTTCCAAACAGATTTTAGAATCCCCTGTCCATGTCTGTGCAAAGGAGCCTGCTGGGAGTTTGATTGGGATTGCACTGAATCTATAGAGCAATTTAGGTAGAAATGACATCTTAACAACATTGAGTGTTCTGATTAATGAACATAGCATATCTTTCCAATTTTAAAGGTCTTTGAAGATGTTTCTGTTCTGTTGTGGGACTGATAGCATAACTGTCTTGCACATATTTTCTTAAATTAATATCTAAGTATTTACTGTTTTAATGTTATTTTAAAAGATATTTTAAAATTGTAACTCCCAGTTTTTCATTGTACTACATAGGAAGGCAGTTGATTTTTCTCTATTGGTCTTCTATCCTGCAGCCTTGCTAAACTCTCTTATTCTAGTTTTATTTTGTAGAGTTGTCAGAATTTTATGCAAACACAATCATGTTTTGCTGGGACTACAGGTGTGTGCCACCATGCCCCGCTAATTAAAAAAAATGTTTTAGAGATGGTGTCTTGCTATGTTGCCCAGGCTACTCTTGAACTCCTAGCCTCTAATCATCCTCCCACCTCAGCCTCCTGATTAGATGAGATTTGTGTGCAAAAGTAATTGAGGTTTTTGACATTTTAAAAAGTAATGACAAAAACCACAATTACTTTTGCGCCAACCTAGTAAAATAGTAAAAATACTATTGTAATTATAGCATAATTACAGACATTATATAAGTTGACTCAATATAGAAAAGATAACTCCACACTGTAAAGAAAATATATTTAAATTTAGTTTTTGCTAAAATGATGATAGATTGCATAAAATGTTAAAGGTGTAGATACCATAATTAGTTTACCTATTGTTAAATTGGGCTTTATCATGGATACAAATAGTGAATCATATCATTATTCTATGGATGACTTCTGGCAAGCCAATTTAAATACAATAGTGAACTTGTTAAGTATAATTTTATTTTTCAAAAAAAATATTTATCCATTTTCAATTGGATTGTTTGTCTTTTTTAAAAATCATTTCATTATATATGCAACATCTGTACAACATTTACCCCCCATAGATACTGTTAATCTGTTGACTTCTGTATTTGTGGCACATTTTGCCTTTCAAAAATTTTTAATTTCAAAATACTGAGGTATTTTCGTATGTTATTTTACATATAATTGGTATTATTGCATTTGTTTAGAAAATCTTCTCTGAAAATAATTTACTGGGTGTTTGCATCATCTTCATTTAGTTTGTAGGTCTTTTGCATATGCTAGTATGATAGTTATATAGGGAAAAATACATTTCAGTGCATTCTGCTTTTTTTTTTTAGAGACAAGGTCTCGCTTCGTTGCTCAGGCTAGAGTGCAGTGGCATGACCATAGCTCACTGCAGCTGTAGTCTCAAATTCCTGGGCATGCATAATTTTCCCACCTCAGCCTCCCAAGTTGCGAGGACTGCAGGCATGTGCCACCATGCCTCAATTTTATTTTTTATTTTTTTGTATTGACAGGGTCTTACTATGTTACCAAGGCTGGCATCCAACTCCTGGCCTCAAGTGATCCTCTTGCCAATTTTAAATAAAGAATCTGGAAGCTACATGTATAAAGTAGGATTGGGGAAAGCCTTTTAAAGTAAGATTAAAAAGCAAAAGGTATGCTGTAAAATAACATACGAAAATACCTCAGTATTTTGAAATTAAAAATTTTTGAAAGGCAAAATGTGCCACAAATACAGAAGTCAACAGATTAACAGTATCTATGGGGGGTAAATGTTGTACAGATGTTGCATATATAATGAAATGATTTTTAAAAAAGACAAACAATCCAATTGAAAATGGATAAAAGATACAAATAGGCAAGTGACAGATGAGACAGGAAAAACTGCTTAAATTCACTAGTAGTCAGGAAAATACAAATTAGAGTAAACATGACTCTATAGCCAACAGCTGAAACATATTGCTGGCATAGGTATAGGAAACATGTACACTCACGTTGCTGGTAGAAATAGGAAGAGTTATAATCTTTTTGGAAGCAATCTGGCAGCATCCATAACATTTTAAAAATTCATTTGCCTTAAGATCTAGCAATTCTGCTCCTGGGATAGTGCCATAACATAACTATGTAAGGACACAGGTACAATAATGTTTTTCATAACACTGTTCAGAGTGGCAAAAAATCTGGATGCAAAGATAATACTTAAAACAGGATGGTTTAATAAATGATGGTATGTCCATACCATGGAATGCTATATAACCCATAAAAAGAACAAATTAGAGCCATCAATTAACTTCAGAGATTTTTTCAAAAATTATCGAATAGAAAAGCAGAAAAGCACATGATATGATTTATCCTTTGTAAAAAGGAAAGGTTTAAAAGCCACTATATGCAAATGTGAATGTGAATATGGGAATCATTACCCTAGTATAAAGAAAATTATATTGAAGATACACAAGGGGTTGTTGACATGGGTGAAGGATGAAAGAACTCAATAAGAATAAAAGAAAGTAAAAAAGGGAAGAGCATAGACAAAAAAAAAGGGAGAAACAATCATACAACACTTCCAAAGAAAGCATTATGATGTTACCATATTTATGCTTTTGTGTAAATTATATGTGGATTCATATAAAAAGTAATTACAATAGACATAAAATATTTTATATATACATATATAAATACAATATATAAAGATTTAAAGACCAATAATTGTGTCATAGCAGTGAAATTAGCAGAAATTAAAAAAGAAGAAAACAAACACTAACTTATAAAAGCTAGGAGTATTAATTAAGGGCAATATGTCCAGGAATCCTCCCATTTGTTTTTTCCCTCTGAGACTGAATGCATCAGTAAATAAATGTTAGAGGGCAAGAACAGAGGATGAATCAAGTTCATGGAAATATCCTTCATTTTGCCGTTGCTAAGGGCCCTCAACTGGCTGCTCACTACGCTAAGCTAAGGATTTCTCAAATGCTGGTTCTAACAGGATGCCTGTTAAAATAATCACTTTTGTTTAAGTAATATACTAAAATGTCTTCATACTTAGAAGTCTAAAAAGTTTGCTATTTATTGCATAGATTGGGGAGGCAAAAGAAAACACAAAAACAAAAACACAAACACAAAAGCCAGAACAAATAAAACACATTATCTACTTCCCTGGAGATTGCTCCCCATCTGTGAGTAAAATTACAAGTGAAAGATTTAAGAGTTGGGGCACATACTGATGGGCTGAGTCTACACTGGCTCTTCCTGTCATATAATTCATAAAGAATCAGAAGGTACTCTCCAGCTAGAAAATCAGCTCTTTTTCCTGAGTTTGTTTTTTTTTTTTTTTAAATAAAGAACTTAGCAACCAATCTACACAGTCATTACAATAAAGTTTGTTATCCTCTTCTAGGTGGGAAGCTCAGGAAACCTGCCTTTGTGCTCCTATTTCAGAGTTAATAATATTTTTAACTTTTTAGGCCTTCGGGGCCACAAAGACAACTCTTTAATCAAGACATATGAACTGACTGATGTGCTTTCTTTTCTTTTGATCTTTATAGAGCTTGTAATTTTATTTTTTAATAATTTCTCTGTTAACTCAACTCATTATTTATTGCCTGCAATGATTATGAAACTATTTGATCTTCAAAGTACAGAACGATACAGTATCTTTTGAATGACCTTTGCATTTGGCTTTTTAACCCTTCTTTTTATGTTTTAATTATCTACTAATAACATTTCTATATACAAATGCATTACAAGAACCCACTAGAATGTGGTTAAATTTGAATTGGAATCCTTCGTTTTACGTGACCAATGGTGCAAAATAATAGAGCTACCTTATCAAAGTCAGCAAAGATTAGTTTGCTATTATCATGTATTTTTCTAACTGAATATTCCTTTATATAAATTATTCCAACAGTTTCACAAGAACAATAGTACTACAGAAAGAGAATACAATGACTTCTTAAAAGAATTGCCATACTACATTCCATATTTGGCAGCTATAGATTATTCTTCATTAAATATAAATAAGAATAAAATAAGTTTTATAGAATATCAAATAAGGAATTCTTGCTAATTCAAGCCCAAATTGCTTCAGCCTACATGAACCTATATTACAAACCCATATTACAATACCCAGACTACCAGCATTCATATGAATGTAGGGCAGTGAATTGTTTAGAGTCAGATCTATTTTTCTTTCTCAATATAGGACATTTTTGTTTTACTAGTACATGGCGGGTGGCAGGGTGCTAACCTATGAATTCTCTGGGCTACAAAGCATGAAAGGAGTTATGGATCAGAGCACCTGTATGTTTGCTATTAAACATAAAGCTCACATAAAATGTTCTAGGCTATTTTGTGCCTTGTAGAACTTTGAATATTTTTGTTTATCTTTGTATGTTTTTGAATGTTTGCTATCAATCACCTAAGCCACAATAATTGGAGAACAAAGTTCTCAACTTCCAAGAAATATGCTCAATTATAAGCCTGACTTTTTCTTTATGAAAGAGAAAAATCAGGGAATGTTCCATTCAGATAGGAAGAGCAGGAAATCATTTTTGATAATGTTTTCAAACTTTAAATGTAACCCCAAATAATAATAAACAGCATAAAATTGACTTCTATCTCCACTGGGTTCATATGGTATATGTCTGACCCATAAGAAATTGGATTCAAGAGGATAAAGTGAATCGTTGAAAGATGCAATTTCTCATATTGTTGTGAAGATCTCAACTGAAGAGTCAATCCTCCGTAAATACATCCCCTTGACACCCTGCCATGTAGGCCAGCTGTTGTCCTCTAAATGTAAATTGTTAAATGATCTAAATCACTTCATGAAACTTTAAAGCCAGACAGAAAACCATAGCAAAAAAGGCAAAAAAAATCCAGGATTCAATTTACTTATATCTGAAGAACAACAATCTCGCTCCTTTCCTCCTTAGCGTCCATGCTGGTCCAAGCCACCAACTTCTCCTTCCTGGACTCTTGCAGTCACCTCCTCACTAGTTTTCATGTCTCTCTTCTCCTCCATCTTTAGTCATTCTCCACACAACAGATCCAACCATGTCATCCTTCTGCCCTACTGAACATTTTCCAGTGGATTCCCATCACAGTTAAAATAAAATACGAACTGCTTACTTTGGCTTACAAGCCCTGTATCTGAGATTCCCAACCTTAACATTATGGACATTTTGAGCCAAACAATAGTTAGGAGGTGCTTCTGTCCATTTTACGATGTTGAGTAGTATCGCTGGCTTCCAGAAACTAGAGCTGGTAGCATCCATTTTGCTATTGTGACAACTAAAAATGTCTCCAAACGTTGCCAAATGTCCAGAGGGTGGGTCGGGGTGGTGGGAGGCGGTATGTGTGGATTGTTCCTTCTGGGAATTACTGTCTTATACCATCTGGCCATGGCTACACTTTTGGCCTCATCGCCTCTTGCTCACTCCACTGAAACCACACTGGCCTTTTCAATGTTCCTCCAGACATACCAAGGGCCCTTCTAAATGTGGCTGTTGCTTCACTTGCTGTTCTCTGCTTGGAATGCTCTTTCTTCAGACTTATTTTCTAACCTAATTTATGTTCTATATTCCTATTTAAATATCTTCTCTCTATTTAAAATAGCTCCTCCTGTCACACTCTACTCTTCAGCATACTTTTCTTCATAGTATTTCACTACTCCTGGGTTTATAATCTATCCACTGTTTACCTGATATTTTGTCTGTCTTCCTCACTTAACTGCAAATTCCACGAAGGTAGAGATTTTAGCACTGTCTTCCTGATTCCTAAAACTGTGCCTGTATGTATTTTCAATACATATTCAATAAATATATACTGACTAAATGGATATTCATTGAATGAGTATGGATTCTGGTAGTAGTCCTCTAGAATACCATAAACAATTAAGGGTTGCTATTTCCCTCATTTCGGTAACAGTTTCATATACTATCTTAAATTGAAAAGGATTTCAGATATCTTCAGGTAACACAGTCATTTTATAGATAAAAAATTTGAGGCTTGGAGAGGTTAGTTTGTCAACAGTGCTACACTTACTTTGTGAAAATTAAGTCTAAAAACCAAACCGATGACTAACACATTTCAGGACTTCTTTTTATATTCTCCCTTGTGGACATTTTACCCATACTGATGGAAGCTTCATTTACAATTACATTTTTAGAAAAAGTGGAATTCAATCTGGATACAGATATTGCATATAAGTAATATTATTTAAGAAGGCTATTTGTTGCTATCCTGATTAAGTGAAGACTATTTTGTCTTGCATATTTAGTAGGAAATTCAATCAGTAACATAACAGATTATTTTTTTAAAAATGATGGCTTAGATTCTGATTACAAACTAAAATATCTCAAAGAAATTTTAGATATATCTGAAGTAGATATAAAGTACAGATATTTGGCAGAATTAGATACATGGCAGAAGTACTATCTGAATGGATTCATTTTACAGACTTTATAGACTGATTTGCATCAAAGCTATAAGACTATATGAAAGATAAACATTATTGAAAGACACAGTATTTGGATTTGCCACAAGTTATGGTAATTTTAACATGATTAGTAAGGTAGAATTCTATCAAGTCAACTCAGTCTACATTTATAAAAAAAGATATCTAAAATGTACATGATTTTGGAGGGTTAAGGGGGATTAAAATTTTAAGTATGACAAAGCTTCTGACCTCAAAAACCTTATGTTTAAGAGATAAGTATAGAAAAAACACCAAAAAAATGTGATAAATGGTAGATTCAAAATATAATAATGATATTAACAGCCTACTATTAATTATAGAAAAAATAATAAGTGACAGTAAATTAGGTTTTGTGAAACAAACAAAAAACAGTAATTAAACCCAGATACCTAAAAGCCTGTACACTTAACTAATGGTCCATACTCCTTTAAAAAAAAAAGATTAATTCTGATTGGGCTGATCCTGATCTGGAAAATTAGAAAAATAAAATATAAATATGTCATGAATGATAAAATATATATATATATATATATATAGTATCAAGGGTTCATGTTGGAAAAACCCTGAGTTCTTTGGTTTGTCTGAAATGTGGTTTAATGGAAACCACCAAACGTAGGTTGTAGGTTGGGGATGGACCGTAGAGAGACTTTAATATCAATCTAAAGAGTACAGACTCGGCCGGGCGCGGTGGCTCACGCCTGTAATCCCAGCACTTTGGGAGGCCGAGGCGGGCGGATCACGAGGTCAGGAGATCGAGACCATCCCGGCTAAAACGGTGAAACCCCGTCTCTACTAAAAATACAAAAAAAAAAAAAATTAGCCGGGCGTAGTGGCGGGCGCCTGTAGTCCCAGCTACTTGGGAGGCTGAGGCAGGAGAATGGCGTGAACCCGGGAGGCGGAGCATGCAGTGAGCCGAGATTGCGCCACTGCACTCCAGCCTGGGCGACAGAGCGAGACTCCGTCTCAAAAAAAAAAAAAAAAAAAAAAAAAGAGTACAGACTCTATTTTGTAGGCAATGGGGAACATCTGAAGGGTGTTAATAAAAAAAGTGACAAGATTATACTTAATTATCCTTCTGAAACTAGCAGCCTGAGGGCCAAATGGACTCAGCTGAACAGCCAGCGACTGATGAAAGCCATTCTTCAATAAATTCAATACAATTAGGTTCCCCCAGAGTGGCACCCTTGCTTGCCACACACACCAGGCTAACACTGATTACGGGGCAATATTTGAGTATACGTGGTATGTGGCTGTGTATTTCTTTTGGGTAAATTTTATTGTGGTAAAAGCACTTACCATGAGATATACTCTCTCAACAGATTTTTAAGTGTAGGATACATTATTGTTGAGTATAGGTACAATGTTATATGTCAGATTTCTGAATTTCTAGATCTTATTCATCTTGCTTATCTGAAACTTTATGCCTGCAGATTAGTAACTCTTCATTTTCCCCTCTGTAAACTCCTGGCAACCACCATTCTACCCTTTGATTCCATTGATTTGACTATTTTAGATACCTCATGTAAGTGAAATCATGTAATATTGGTTCGTCTTTGTGTGACTAGCTTATTTCACTTAGCATAATGTCCTCAAGTTCATCCACGTTGTTGCATATTGCAGGATTTCCTTCTTTTTAAGAATAGTATTCCATTGTATGTCTACACAACATTTTCTTTATCCATTCACCTGCTGATTGACATCTGGGTTGTTTCTATATGCTGTCTGATGTGAAAAGTGCTAAAATGAGCATAGGAGTGCATATATTTCTTTAAGATGCTGATGCTGGATCATATAGTAGCTCTGTTTTCACTTTTTTTTTTTGTAGGAACCTCCATACTGTTTTCTATAGTGGCTGTACTATTTTCGATTCCCACCGACAGTGTTCAAGGGTTCCAATTTCTCCACGCCTTCACCAATATTCATTGCCTTTGTTTTTATAATAGTCATCCTCACAAGTGTGAGGTGGTATCTCGTTGTGGTTTTGATTTGCATTTCTCTGATTTGTGACATTAAGCATTTTTTTTTTCATGTAAGCGGTTTGCCATGTGTATGTCTACTTTGGAGAAACATCTACTCAAGTCCTTAGCCCATTTTCTGATCAAATTTTTTGGTTTGTTTTACTATAGAGTTGTAGGAGTTCCTTACATATTTTAGAGACTAACCCCGCATTTGTGGTTTGCATATAGATTAAGCCCAGATATATAGTTTGTAAATATTTTCCCCCATTCCACAGGTTGTCTTTTCATTCTGTTGATTGTTTCCTTTGCTCTGTAGAAGATTTTTAGTTGACATAGTGCCACTCGTTTATTTTTGTTTTCATTGACTTTACTTTTAGTGTCATATCCATGAAATCACTGCCAAGACCAATGTCATGAAGTTTTTCCCCTATGTTTTCTTCTAGGAACTTTACTGTTTTGGGTTTTACATTGAATTCTTTAATCCACTCTGAGTTGACTTTTGTGTATGGTACAAGATAAGGGCCCATTCATTATTTTGCATGTGGATATCCAGTTTTCCCAACACCATTTGTTGAAGAGAATACCTTTCCCCATTGTGTATTCTTGGCATCCTTTTCAAAGATCAGTTATATGCATGGATTTATTCCCAGGGTTTGTGTTCTGATTTGTTCTATTCCTAGCTATACGCTTGTTTTTATTCCACTACCTTAAACAAAACAGATTACTATAGCTTGCTTCTTACTGAGACCTAATTACATTCAACTCATCCCCTTGTTTTATGGGCTTGCCATAGAAGGATCACTAGGAAAGCAAAGCATGTAAGTACTTCAGCTTTACAGCTCTAGTGCATCTTAGGCTAAATTGCGATTTGTCAGTGAAGGTGAGTCCAAGAGAGGCCTGTTTTACTTCTTAAGCACCGGAACCACATAATTAATATAATCTCTATATCTTCTGATTGGATATCTATCTCATTTGAACAAAAGCAATCCTGTTTCACCCTTATCAAAAATCATCCCACTTAGATAATAAATGCTTACAATTATATTCTTTTCATGGTTACAAAATACCACTTTGATCAGATAAAATATGCTTACTATGGAAACCTCTACAATCACCTAAACTCTACTTACCACCTGCTGTTTCACTTAGTTATGTGTTCACATTTAGGGACCTGCCTTGCAGTAGTGTATCTATTACTGATGGGACTTCTCTCCTACAAATGATCAACCTGACCATAATATGTAAAAAATAACAAGTTTTTGGGTCAAATCATTTCCAAGTCAAAATTTTGCAAGATTCCCTTGTCATATGACTTCCATCCTCAGCACTACAATATTATCATTAATGTTTAAATCATTGTCAAGTCTGTGATTGCCTTAGAGATTTATTAAGAATAACATGCTAGGATTAGGAAAGTTTAACTTTTTACCATCCTTAAAATTAGATTTTTGAAAACTGTCTTATCCCCATTAAAGAAAAAAATAAAAAGGATGAATACACTCATTCTTTCCCTTCAATTTTTTGTTACATTTTTTTTTTCCTGAGTAGTTGTTTCAAATATATATAAGAGGATCTAGCTGGTCTTGGGAGGTCTGCAAAAATTTTAGAGCAGGTAATATCCAAAACTAAAGGATAAATAGAACTTATCAGGTAAAGAAGTTTAGGAAAAGGCATTTTGGGCAGAAGGAAAGCATGTTCAATGGCAAAAGATGAGAGATCATAAAGTACATCGTAGGTTAATATTAGAAGAACCCTGAATTCTGTACTTTGGCTGGACTGTAAGTGTGATGTCACATATGGTACCATACCTCAACAATTAGAAATCCTCTCATTCAAAACAATACAAACTGATAGTTGTCAGCTTGATTTTTTTAAAGTTGGCAAAGGCATGGAATTTATCATACTCTCACTTCTTAATCATAACACTGAATTATAAAACATGAAATACACAATTTATTTACCAATCTTTTGAAATAAGAAGTCATTCTCTTTGTGTATGAATCCATAAGTTGAAGTTCTGAAAAATCTTTCTGTCATACACCACACCCATACTGCACTATTTACCACTGCCAGTTTCAGTTTCTTTACGTTGGAATGAAAAAGATATTTGTGACCAAATCTGAGTACAGAACGATTCTAGATTTTTACAAATTTTTCCCCAGCCTTTCACAGTTATCTCACCACATTTGACAGCCATTTAAAAAAAGAAAACTCATTAAAAGTTAGTCTTTCAAAACATTTGGCTGTTTTTTTCTTACTCATGTTTCATATATTTAATTACACTAGATTGCTACAATAATAGGTACAACTAGCATGTTTGGGAATAATCACCACTGATTTTTTAATGCAAACATTTTAGCTGGTGGAAACAAAAGTACATAGTATGACTACAGAGTAACCTTTTAGTTGTGAACATTCTAGGTCACAGACCTCAGACAAATGTTGTACAGAGGAATAAACAGAGTGCTTGAATTAGTCAAGCTGGTCTAGGTGAAGAATCCATTTAAGACAGCATTTGTTTAGTTCCGTGTGACAGAATAAAATGCAAGATAGGCAAATGTAACCCTAGTGAATACGAGGTTGGAAAAGAGAACCAAATGTGCACTGTGTGCCAGGCTACAAAATTAGGGAGCTTACTTGGAAAATCAGTATGAACAGCGCTTCGGAACACAGACTCTGGATGGAGGTAAATTGCCTAGGTTTGAATGCCACCTCTCTGCTTAGCCATATGATGGTGGGCAAGTTATTTAACCACTACTTAATGATTTAATTAATTTATAATAGTGAAAAAAAAACCATACCAAAATAACCAGACTTATCTGGTTATTTTTAGGGATACATGAGTTAATATTGTAAAGTGCTTAGGACAGTGCTTGGTCAAAATAAACACTCAATTAATGTCAGCTTTATGATTATACTAATATGATGACTGATAGTGAAGCCAGATATCGCCCTGACCCCTTTGCGAGCCTTGCAACAGGGGTGCCTTGCTTACTCAGCCCACAGCTCTCAACCACTTGCAGGACAGGGAGCACAGGTGAGCAGGTACAGGAGCTGGGGTGAGTACTTTTGGGTGCCAGCAGGAGCAAAACTCCATGAGGGCCCTGCAGCAGCATTAGGCAAGGGCAGTGGGGGGGATGGGGGTTGGGGGTGCCCACGACCCCTGAAGCCCCAGAAGGAGTGTTACGTATAGTAACACTTTAGTTTTGCCATTTGTGGATGGCTTAAGTGTTAACAGCTCAGTGGAGGGTCAGTGTGACAGCCTTTTGCGCCCACACTTACGGCACCCAAGTTTTTGCCCAACATCCAGGAAGAATGAGGTCAGACGAATAAACTGAATTTGGTAAATTTAGGAGCTCTCAGTGTAAAGGGGAGCTGAAAGGAGGATACAACAGGAAGGTAATCTTTTCCTGAAGTCCAGCTGTCCCCGACCAGACTCCTCTCTGAAGCTATGCCATCAAGCTGTCCCTCTGAAGTCAAGTTGCTTCTCTTCAATGGTCAAACTGTAGTCTCCAACATCCAACTGCTTCTCCTCCTCTCTACTGGCTGAGTCCAGGGTTTTTATGGGCACATGATGGGGGATGGGGCGGGCCATGGGTGGTTTTGGAAAAGGCAACATTCAAGTGGGAAAACAGGATGTAAGTTCTCACTTTGGGCTGTGGTATCAGGCTTTGGGGCCCTCACTAGGGACCCACCCTCTTCTGCCCAGAATTTACCTGCCTCCTGTCCCTATCAATAGTTTCTAGATTTACTGTTCCAAGGCATAATCATGAGTTCATATATAAAAAATACTTGGACCAGTACTTGCTATATAGTAAAAATTTTATATTCATTTTTTGCTGTTATCATAAGCAATTTAAATGTTTTAAATGAAGGAGTACTCAGATTTGCATTTCAGAAGCAACCATGCCAACAGTGAGTGGGGCAATTGGTGGGGGGGAAATGCTTCAGAAGTTATTGGTGCTGAGCTAGGATATTCCCAGGGTGAACAGGTAGAAGTAAAGTAGGAGCCAAGCCTTACTCATGCGACACAACGGTCAGTACTTGCTGCTTGGCTGGATATGTCTCATGAGCAAGAGGGAGGAGTTAAAGACATTCATCATGGATACATTTTTCTCTGCAGTTGCACTCAAATATTATGTAGTTTTTGGTTTATGGGTAAACTCAGAAAAGAAGTAAGAAATTCAGAGCAGGTATTTCTAAGAAATTCACAAAATCAGCTACAAAGGGAGGAAAAGCCTTATCTTTATAAACAGTATCTCTGCATCCAGCAACCTCAGTGTCCAGAAAAAAACTGACCCCTTTTTTATTAAGCCATCAAACTTCTCTCTCTCCTTCAAATTATTTATAGTTTAATATCACTAAACCACGCAGGTACACTTTGAAGATCTAGGTATGAGAAGCCTGTGGAATAACTCTTTGAACATCTTTCCTTTAACATGAACTTGCCGGATAACTGATTTAGCATTCACTCTACTGAGAAAACTCTGTATAACAAAGTTGCCTAGTAAAATCATTAGGCTCCCTGTATTGAAATGAAAAAGGCTTTGGGGATGTTTCAGACTTTTCTGTGTATACTCTTGCTTGGAAGTGGGTATATAATGATACTAAAAGTGTATTTAAAGTTCCCAAACCATGCAGCGTGAGAAAGTTACCATATCTTTAAAGAACTGTCTCTACTGTACAAAAGACAAAAGACAAACATCAATTTTTGACTAAACAGATAACTATATTTATGCTTTCAACTATTTATGCTTAGAAGCCCTTTCAGATGTGTTTGGTTTCTTTTGTGTTTTAGAAGGTTTAGATAACAGGGATAACAATGTAACAGAATAAATCTGTATCTATGAAGTAAATAACTGGATTCACAAATGAAATTTAAATTCCCAGTTCACTGAATTTAATAGTTATTTATTGAGTGCCTTGTAGGTGCCATGCACTGGGATGCAAAAATGTGCAAAAACCAATACACTCTCAAGGAACTTTAAATTTAGTAGGAAAGATAGACATTAATCAAGTAATCATTTAAAAATGTAATATCATACCCGTGGTAAAGACCATGAGAGAAAGGTACAGGAAGCCAAAAATACTTACAATAGGGGAATATGACCTAGTCTGAGATAGTGGAGAGAGCTACACAGGCAAGGAAAGCAAAGTTTCAGGCAGATTGAGAGCGTATGCCAAGATCCCGTGTTCAGAAGAAACCTAGTGCATCTGAGAAACTGAAAGGCCAGAGTGGCAGAAAGGCAAAGGCAGTAGGAACACAGTATGAAATGAGGCAGGAGTGGTGAGCTGGGACCAAACTGTGCTGTACTTTGCTGGAAGAACAAAGGATCTTAGTCCAGTGGTATTATTTAATCAATTGGTTAGGTGCCTAAATAAATAGTTTAGTCAAGATAGTTCAAACAATTGCTTATTCTGCGACAAGAGACATGAGTTCATTTTACACAGAAATTCAGTGACTGATGGCCCTAAAATAAATACCTTATAAGCCAGACAATGTAGCATGGCAGGGTGTAATGAAGTTACATGACTTTCACCTAAAGGTACTTGAGAAAACTTCTAATGCAGTGAAAGCACGAGAACGGTGCTGTGAGATTATTCTATTTCTCCTGCCCAGGAAACATCAGGCTAGGCTATATTAAGGTCAAATTTTGAAGAAGGAAACATTCATGTCTGCAGTCTTTTTTTGTGAACTTACTTCCCTCTCTCAGAGGCTACTCTCTGGGGTTAACAAAAACTCTCTCCACTTTCAGGCCCTCTTGAGTTGAGCACCTCCCTATCCAACAACAACCGTCTCCCTCCATTCATCTAGCCGTTTCATCCATCTCTATCCTCTACCTACAGTGGGCTCATAAACTCTACCTACCTTTCCCACCATTCATTAAAGTATATCTGTACTCTCCAAGAGAAGGGAAGGGATTCTTACTTCTGTGAGTTAGAAAAGCATCAGTGTTAAACAGAGGAGAGAGAGAGAGAGAGAAAGAGAGAGAGAGATAGACAGAGAGAGAGAGAGAGAGAGAGAGACCATTAAAACAGTAAATGTGCCAAGGAAGGAGATAGAATACTACTATGGACTAAAGTTGACTAATGGAACTTTTAAGTACAGAAACTTCAGTTAAGCCTAAGGTTAGGCTTAGGGAGGGAGGCTAGACATGATAGGCCATTTCAGAGTAAGCAAACCAGGCATGAAAACACAGTATACAGGAACGATGCATGCTAGGCTTGGGATGAAGCGTGAAATACTAAGGGAAATTTTAAAGCAGCATAAATGCAACAGAGAGCATTCACAGTTAGAGCAGTGATAAAAGTAAAATTAAGAGAGCAAGATCTTAAAGAGCCCTAAAAACTAAGGTGAGAAGTTTCATTTTTCCTCTCTTGATAGCTGAGATGAACTAGAAATCTGCATTCAGCAAAGTAACCTGATGAGAGCTGCATTTTAATCAAATTAATAAAATGAATCTTGTAGTGTTTATGTACTCATTCAATGAATATTGATTCAATTCCTACCATGTGGTCAAATGCAGTGCCAGATGCTAGGATTGTAGACAAAACCAGGAAGGGAAATTTTCATTAATAGAAGCGTTGAATTTTGATGTAGGATGGCAACAGTGTGAAAAGAAAGGAAGAATCAGAGAGACTTTGACTTTGTTATCATATTATTACATGTTAGTCACTGAGTCAAAAGAAGGGCATCAAAGCTGACTCCACAGTTTGAAGTCTGCAGGATGAAAAATTGGGTTGTATTTGGGGGGAAGGTGATGACACTTATCTATGAAATATTGAGTTTGAAGTTGTAAGTGATTTCGTCAAGTGGAAAGGTACCATGGACAGATGAAGTTCATATGTGAGACCTGATAATTCTCTCTTCTTACTCATTATTTTTAGTTGACAACTCATAATTCTAAAACCCTGGTATTTGCGACACATAATATTATGCCCAGCCATCGGGGAAGATATTGTTGATCTAGGAGAAGCCTGTATATAAATATTCTCCCTGTATGTTAATGTTATTGTGATTGAACAGAGAATGTAGCAAATGGGAAGGCTGCAGGATGTGGGAAAAACCAAGATATTTAGAAAAGAACATTATAATTTACTCTTCAATATATGTGAAGCATATTTACAAATATATATAATCACATATATGTATGTATATAAATGTGTATTTTTGAATGCTTTTCTACTTTTTAAACAAATGATAAAGATGAACAACCAGACATTAAAATTAGAATACGTACACAGTTAAAAAAAGGAAATTACACGACTGAAAATGGTGTGCACTCTCATAGCCATTTACCTAAGCTATCTTGTATAGTAAGAAGTTTACATCTGAAAGACAAAAGTTACAAAAATGCATGCATTCAAATTCAGCTTTAAAAGTGAAATTAAAAATATATTACAAAATGTAAATCAAAAGGCATTAATTTATGCTAAAATTGCCTTTCCCTCCAAGGGTTTCTAAATACTCAGCAAACTTTATTTTAGCAGTCATGCTCTAATTTCAATTATGTGGAAATTATTCTATCTTCATGAACATGAAAACAGAAGAATAAATAATAAATGGCTTGTCTTTGTTTAAATAGTACATTGAAACAGTACAAATAAAAAGATTCATACCCACACATGTAAATGCTAAGAACTCCTAATAATCCAAGTTGGCTAAAAAGAGGCTGAAACAGGAGTTTTGAAAAATTATCTGGGGGTCAGGTATCAAACTCATGGCATTGAACAGAATTGCAAATGTTTTTCCTTTCCCATTTTGACAGCAATATACCTATTCTCTGCTTCTGGCAACACAAACAACATATTTTCTCTAGCTTTACCCATATTTATCAAGGAAGAAAGAGACAACTATTACTGCTATCTACTTTAACCTGTCTAATCTTTCAATTCCTATTCAAGATTTCCTGGAAAATTCATGTATGTATTTCAAGCATTTGACGGGACAGTAAATATGTATCAAAATAATTTCCTCTACGGAAATTGCAGTAAATGCATTCAGAATTTTCTCCTTTTAAAAGGTAGAAGGAGTTCCTAGAGGAAGAAACTTCCTATAGTACATGCAATGTTTAAAAAAATATTGATCAGGCAACTACATTTCAAAGGTGTCTGTCTTGCCTTAAGTGAGAGGCTTCTTTCCAGTATCCAGTTATAATGTCAAAGGAGAAACAAATAAACAAACAAACCTAAGACAAAAAAAACAAAAACAAAAACCTCTCAAACACATTGTAAATGAAAGAAGGCGAGTTATCTATCTCCCCATTGCCCTTTTTTTAGTAGGCAATTTGGCTGTACCTATCAGAATCTTACAGCCAGTAAATTTAGAATTCTATTCAGCAAAAATAATTGCAAAACACATAAGAGCATGTGTATGAGAATGATCCTTAGAGCATACAGCCAAAAATGTAAACACAATGTAAGTGTTCAGGTAAGTAACTTAAAAATTATAATACATTCAAGCTGTGGGATGCTGGGCAGAGATAATAAATAATTAGTTAAATTGTGGTGATAATGTTTGTGATGGATCTCAGACTGGAAATAACACATTAAAGAAAATCCAAGCTCTAGATTAAAAAACACAAACACACACACAAACAAGCATACAGGTACATGTATGTTTCTGTGAGCATTAAAAATTATAGAAGGAGACACATTTAAAGTTTTTTTTTTTTACTTCATGGGGGTAGGATAATGGGGCAATTTTACAAAGAAAAGCCCTGATCTTTATAAAATTCAGTATTTGGGTTTTTATTTACAATGCCCATGTAAAAACAAGAAAGCAAACACAAAGTTTGACTAAATGCCAGTGGCTTCGTGAAAAGTAGTTGCTACTTGCTCCTAAGTTGATAATCAAGGTCTACATCTAGCCTGAAAGTAAAGTAGCAACCTCTCTTACTGCTCAGGAACTGATGCCTGAGATACCCTCACAACCCACACTATGAGAACTTGTGATTTTGCATCTCCTCAGCAACTACAACTTCCAGTATGCAGAATGGCAGAAAGGACACACATGGCTAGAGAGGGAATGGATAGTGGCAAACGACATTGTGGAAGGTGGAGATCATCTCATGATAAAGACAGATGAGTGAAGAGTAGTCAAGAAGAACCCTGGGAACAATAAACTTTGGAGGTTGTAGTTTCCATGCTTTGTTGTCAAATAAAATATAAAGTCTGACTTAGGATTACTAGGATATGTTTAGTCTTTCTTATAATTAGTTAAGAGGAAAATAGGAGCAGTTTTCCCCCTTCTACCCAGGAAGGTACCAGTAGACTAATAACCACTGGGTACTGGACAATAGGTAAGAGGCTATGTACATGCCCAGCTAAAAATATGACAATGAGATTTGATGCGCATCAAGGGACCAAAAGCAAACTAATACTTTGTTGGTTAGCAAATGCCAAGGAGCTAAATGTGAACTTTCTCAAGAATTCACAAAATAATTGACATCCATGAAGACATTCTGCTATATAAGAGCAGAAAGGGGTTACCATCTAAAACATAGAAGGAACTCATACAACTCAATAGCAAAAAAAGAAAAAAGAAAAAAAGAAAAAATCTGATTAATAAATGAACAAAGGACCTGCATAGACATTTTTCCAAAGAAGATACACAGACGAGCAACAGGTATATGAGGAAACTTCAAAAAGTTCATGGAAAATATGAATTAAAAGATAAAAATTTAAAAATGTGCAAACTTATTTCTCAACATAAGCTCCATCAAGGTTAAGGCAACTTGCTAAGTAATGATACCAGCCATTACTTGGTCTCTGAAGATCTGAGGGTCCTGGGAATTTAACCATGTCCATGCAGCTTCTTTTACACTGTTAACTGAAGAAAAATGGGTGTCCTTTAAAATTGTTTAACGTTAGGAAACAAAAAGAAGTCAGAGGGTGCAAAATGAGGACTGTAAATTAGATGCTTAATGACTTCCCATTGAAACTCACAATTGCCCTTGTTTGAGGAAAGAGCAGAAGCACTGTTGGGTTGGAGGAGGGATCTCAGGTAAAGTTTTCTCAGGTGTTTTTTTGCTAATAATTTGGCAAACTTTCTCAACACAATTTCATAATAAACAGATATTATCATTGTTTTGGCCCTCCAGAAAGTCAACCAGCAAAATGTCTTGAGCACTCAAAAAAACTGTTGCCATGATCTTTGCTCTTGACCAGCCTGCTTTTGCTCTTCCTGGACCACGTCCGCATCTTGGTAGCCATTGCTTTGACTGTGCTTTGTCTTCAGTCACACTGGTAAAGTGATGTTTCATCTTCTGTTATAATTCTTTGAAGAAATGCTTCAGGATCCTGATCTCACTCGTTTAAAATTTCCATTGAAAGCTCTGCTGTTGTCTGCAGTTGATCTGGGAGCAACGGTTTTGGCATCCATCAAATGGAAAGTTTGCTCAACTTTAATTTTCAGTCAGAATTGAGTGAGCTCAACCAATTGCATGTGACATCTATGAAGCTGACTACCATTTCTACTATTAATCATCAGTCCTCTTCAATTAGGGCATGAACAAAATTAATTTTTCTTCAAAAAGTGATGTGGATGGTCTGCTGCTGTGGGTTTCACTTTCAACATTGTCTTGTCCTGTCTTAAAATGAGTTACCCATTTGTAAATTGCTGATTTCTTTGGGACATCGTCCCCATAAACTTTTCAAAAAGCACCAATGATTTCATCATTCTTCTACCCAAGCTTTACCATAAATGTGATGTTTGTTCCTGCTTCAATTTTAGCAAAATTCATGTTGCTCTTTTCAAAGTGATGTCTTATTCTTCTCAATGCCTCAAACTAAGTTCTTTCAGACACATTACAGCAAGTTTAGTATGAGTTTAATTTGGTACAATAGTTTTTGAAATATGTGCATTTTTTTTATAATACATATATTCCATGAACTTTTTGAAGACCTCCTATATGAAAACACAATCAAAATCACTAATCATCAAGAAAATACAAATGAAAACCACAACATAGCACCTCATACCTATTAGGACGACTTATCAAAGACAAAAGATAACAAGTGTTGGTGATGGTGAGGAGAAAAGGGAACCCTTGTACACTTGGTGGGAATGTAAATTAGTACTGGTATTATGGAGAACAGAATGGCGGTTTCTGAAAAAAATTAACAACAGAACTATCAAACAATCCAGCAATCCTATTCCTGGGTATATATCCAAAGGAAATGAAAACAGTATCTTAAGAGGTATCTGCTCCCCCGTGTTCGCTGCAGCATTATTCATAATAGCCAAGGTACTGAAACAACTTAAGTGTCCATCTATAGATTATCAGATAAACAAAATGTGATGCACTCATGTGCACGCGCGTGCGTGCACGCACACACACACAAATATTATTCAGCCATAAAAAAGGAGGAAATCCTATTTGTGAGAACATGAATGAACCTGAAGGACATTATGCTACATGAAATAAGCCTGACACAGAAAGACAAATACTGTGTAATATCACTTATGTGTGGAATCTAAAATAGTCAAATTCATAGAAGAAGAGAGTAGAATGGTGGTTTCCAGGGCTGGGAGGGTGGGGGAAATGGGGAGATGTTGGTCAAAGGGTACAAAGTTGCAGTTATAAGATAAATACGTTCTGAAGATCTTATGCACAGCATGGCAACTACAGTTAATAATACTTGTATTGCTTACTTGAAACTTATCCAGATAATAGATTTTAAGTGTACTCACTGAGGACCATCTCCCCACATACAGTAGCTATAGATAGTGACATATGTGTTAATTAATTTGACTGTGGCAATCAATATACAACATGTATGTATATCAAATCATCACACTGTACACTTTGAATGTACATAACTTTTACTCCAATTGTTTTAAAATTAAAAAATAAAACATTATACTGCAAAAAAGAGAAAGAGAGAAAAGAAAACTGTTGATAGGCTTTAGAAAAGCTATAAGGATGAAAAAGTTAACAACACATTGTAGACTATTTGTGAAAATCATGCCATCTCCTGAGACATCCTATCAGATAATCTGACTAGTAAATTAAAGACTAATAAGGCATTTCTTAGCCAGTGTAAGGTTAAGTGTTTAACACAGCCAATACTTTTCTAACTCTGCAAACTGAAAACATGTTTATTAAAAGGCTCACGTCACATTGAATGGCCACATCTACATCCTTGATATGGTTATGTAGAGTTTTTGGGCTAATCAATTACAAAAAATAAAAAGAATTAAAAGAATTAAAAATCATTGCTTCGTTGTATGATTTAGTCATGCGAAAGTAACAGGACACTGCAGTCACTGTGATGATATTGGTAGTTGAAATGCAGCTTTTGACAACATAAAGTGTTTCTGTCTGAATGCTTGTAACGCAATCATGAATTTTCTCTCTTGGAAATGGTGATTCTTTGAAGCAGAGTCATATGGATTTCAAAGAAAAAATTTAACATTTTGTCTACTTTTTCTGTTCCAAAAGATATAGAGAAAATGCATCTGGTGTTTCTATGTCTTCCAACTCTTTTGTGCTACTACAGAATAGATAAGCCATTCTACTATTATATAAAAGTGGTGGGACATCGCTGGGATAGAAAATTTACAACAGAGAGTAAAAGTGAATCCTTGAAGATGTGAAAAGCCAATTCAAGTTCTGTTATAAAATGGGACCAAAACCATTAATATATTCCTTATTTTTTTACCTTTCCTACACTACTTCCTTCCTCCATCCCCACACAGATGCAAATATAGAACCAAAGTCTGGCAGGAATGCCAAATAATTGTAAGAGCAAAAATAATGTATGTTTTCTTTGCTTGTGGCAGTTTTATTATCATCAACTTGCTAATTTTATATTTCATAGTTTACTGGTAAACTTTTACTATGTGTAAGGCTGATCTAAAACAAAATGTCAATCAATGCTTCTATATTTGAAATATTATAGTTGGTGATACATTAATGGTTCTCAAAACATATTTTCTCATTAATAGATCAGTCATCACAAAATGAATCACAAAAAAGATGTTTGCAGTTGGTATAGTGGTCCCCCCAAAAGATAAATCCACATTCTAATCCCCAGAACCTATGAAGGTGATGTTCTTTGGAAAAAGGGCCTCTATAGGTGTAACTTAATTAAGGATTTCAAGATGAGATAATCCTGGATTATCTGGGTGCATCCTACATTCAATGATTAGTATCCATGTGACAAAAAACACACGTGGGAGAAACAAGTAGGGAAGAGAAGTCACATAAAGATGGAGGCAGAGAATGAGTGATACATCCTCAAGCTCAAGAATGCTGATGGTCACAAGAAGCTGGAGGAGGCAAGGAAGGGAATCTCTGGAGGGAGCACAGCCCTTTCAATACCAGACTTGTGGCCTCTAGAACTGTGAGAGAATAAATAACTGGTGTTTTAAGCCAACAAGTTTGTGGTAATTTGTTACGACAGCCTCAGAAAACCAATACTACATTTTTTTCTTTTCATGCCTTTCCTGTCATTCAAAGGTTAAAAATGATAACAATAATCACACCCACTGAACACTATCTGCATGTCAAAATAGTGATACGTTTCTTACAGTCTTCTTATTCAACCTTTTTAAGGACTCTGTGAAGATGACATTATTATTAACTCATATTTGTTGATGAAGAAACAGAACTAGGATTCAATGCCAAGTAGATCTGACTCCAGTCCATGCTCCTCCAGCAAAAATAGGAAAGAATGAAGAATATAAAGTAAATAAATCCTTCTTTGCTTGCATGTACATTCTAAAAGTCCCTGGAACGAAGGCAAAGAATAGGGAGACGGGAAACAAGGTGGACGGGTCTCTTCTGCTGCACTACATTTTTAAAAATCTCTGAACCATGTTAATGTATTATCTACTCAAAAATAAATTACAAAAGAAAAACATCAGTTGCCTGGCAAAAAGAAGCTGATAAATTCCCAATTGGATAATAAGAAATTAATGAAAATATTATAAATTTATGGGCAGAATGAACAATTTTGAGAATACTGCTAAAATTATATCATACATAGAAAAATATGTCAAGAAATTATTAGGTACTACTAGAGTGCTGCTCAAATAAAAGTCAGTCCCTTCTTATAATATTTCCTAAGTCTCCCACCTTCTACTTCACTTTCAATCATCCACTTTACCACCAACAACAGGCCAGGAGTAAATGAAATTAATGAAATATCCCAATGTTCAATGTACAAGTCTCTCCCTCAGGAATTTCTTTCCTTTCCTATTTGCTGTAGTTATTCAAAATTTGATATTATAGCCTAAGATAGTGTAAACCATTAGATGTCTCAAAACACAGATTATGAAATTATTACCAAGGGAGCTATAAATTCTTATTTGTTGATGATATTTAAGAAAATGAGGAACTTTTTTTGTTTTAAGTAATTTGCATTTAGACTTAGTTAGGAGAAGGAAGTAATTATGACCTCTGATGACATTCCTGAACTTACAGCTCTAAAACTTTAGCGTCTTTCACCATAATCCCCTTATTTAAGATGTGTGAGCTATAAAAATACCAAAATAAATAGGAATTTCTTTTCTTTTTTTCTTTTTTTTTTTTTTTTTGTTGAAATGGAGTTTCACTCTTGTTGCCCAGGGTGGAGTGCAATGGCGCGATCTCGGCTCACTGCAACCTCTGCCTCCAGGGTTCAAGTGATTCTCCTGCCTCAGCCTCCCGAGAAGCTGGGATTACAGGCGTGTACCACCACAGTTGGCTAATTTTTGTATTTTTAGTAGAGACAGGGTTTCACCATGTTGGCCAGGCTGGTCTTGAACTCCTGACCTCATGATCTGCCCACCTCGCCCTCTCAAAGTGCTGAGATTAAAGGCGTGAGCCACTGCACCTGGCCCCAGAAATAGGATTTCATTGTTATATTACTCTTCCTTACATCGCTCTTCTTGTCATTAAAAATAATTTCTCTAATAATTTTAAAAAGATTAAGAAAATAAGTCTTTATCAAAATAGTGACTCAGTTTTTCATTTTTATCAATTAGCATTTTATCAAATCTTCACAACTACTCTACATGCCAATAGAAATTGATGGTTCATCTTTGCCAGAGACATACACAAACCCCAAAAGATAATTGAGTAGATTAGAGTGAACACCAATAAAATCTAGGTCAAACTTAATAACCTTCAAACAGCAGCAGCCACAGTGCATACTAAATGTACCAACCATGAACTAGACATTTTGATGAAGTCAAAACCAATTCAGGGCCGCCTGAGGATGATCCATTTCCATATACTGACTTTTGCATGACTTTCCCTTTTCAGTATATTTACTTTCAAATGTAACTTTTATTTCACTACTTTAAGTGTTCAAAATGACAAGCTGAATCCTGGTAATTAATTTCTGATTGACTTTTCCTAATATGACTCACCAAATTAAGCCATAAGAGACAGAAACTGGCAGAGGTAGAAACTTGTGGTTAAGGTATAACAAACTAACTGAAACCTGCAAATAACCAGGATTTCAATATTAGAAATCACAAATGAAACTTAGAAAGAGCAGAATCAGCAAATTATACTGAGTCTATGCCAACCAAGACCTTTCTCATAGAGACTCTACTTGTTTTCAGGATCATTTACATTTAATTCTATGGAGCAATGCGGGTATGCTTTCAAGCACCCTAAAGTTGACAAGTGCTTCTGCAAAATATTTTCTTCCTTGTTTGTTCCTTGTTTGCATACCGGAGAGGAGATTGAACCAGAAATTCTCTTTTAAAAAGGGTTTTGAAATGTGCGCATTTTCTTCAATCAAATTCACTTATTTCTTGAAAAAAAAATATTCTAAGAGTACCATTGTGAGCTAAGGCATTAGGGAAGATAAACATAAACTGTGATGATTGCATTAACCAAGTGTCAACTTGATTGGATTGAAGGATGCAAAATAGTGTTCCTGGGTGTGTCTGTGAGGGTGTTGCCGAAGGAGATTAACAATTGAGTCGGTGGACTGGGAGAGGCAGACCCATCCTCAAACTGGCTGGGTACTACGTAAATTGCTGCCAGCTTGGCTAGAATAAAGCAAGCAGAAGTTGTGAAGACTTGGCTTGCTGAGTCTTCTGGCCTTCATCTTCTGTGCTGGATGCTTCCTGCCTTCAAACATCAGACTCCAAGTTCTTCAGCTCTTGGACTCTTGGACTTACATCAGTGATTTGCCAGGGGCTCTTGGGCCTTTGGCTATAGACTGAAGGCTGCACTGTTGGCTTCCCTACTTTTGAGGTTTTCGGACTCAGACTGGCTTCCTTGCTCCTCAGCTTGCAGACAGCCTATCGTGGCCTGTTGTGTCCATCACACCTTGTGATCACGTGAGTCAATACTCCTTAATAAACTCCCCATTTATATATACATGTATCCTATTAGTTCTGTCCCTCTAGGGAACCCTAATACAGTAGGTTTCTCCTTTCCAGAGGTATGCACCCTAGGTAGGGACACAGAAAGATGTGGTAAGTGACAGTGAAATGTGATGTACCAGGTGCCTATGGAGAACAGGGTTACTGATTTATTCTGGGGAATTAGGGAACATTTCACAGATGTCTTTGAGATAGAAGGCCACTGAAGAGCTAATGCTTTAAAGTTTTTGAAAGTGATTTGGCTTTTTGCTTTTTTCAGAAGGAGCTTCCCTTAGTATGCTCTATATTTTTGACATTATTGTGAGGCTTCTGTTAATTTGAAAGTCCTAATGCTGAGAATTGATCTTATGTGTTTCTACATTTTTGAAATAGTATTTTATATTTATGTGCTTTACCAAGCTTCTATGTATCATTATCTTTGTACATTTTAAGAAAGCAATGATCACTATGGGGTATGTCCCAATAATAATTATGGTTTTATTCATACTACTTCTTTGCCCCAGTAACTGGCAGGAATTTTTTAAAACATTTTGAGATAATTTTAGATTTACAGAGGAGTTACAAAAATAGTTGAGTTCGCATACACCTTTCACCCAGCTTTCCCTAATGTTAACATCTTATATAACCATAGCACAATTGTCAAAACTAAGAAATTAACATTGGCTTAACACTACAGACTTTATTTAGATTTCATCAGTTTTTCCTGTGAAGTCCTTTTTCTTTTCTGAGATCATGACCTTTTTAAAAAAATAATTTACTGAATGACTAGTTATTTAAGAGAGAAAAAAGAATAAGAATTAGAACTGCCAGCTTCTTAAATGAGAGATTCATGTTGAATAATATTTATTTTTGTTTATGTTTTGAAGCATTTAAGTGAGATAAGCTTTGTTCAATGTTGTTTTATATGCTACTCATTGTATAACATTGGCTGAACTCTGACAAATAGTAGCTACACAAAAATACATTTTTTCACGATTCAATTCTCCACACTTCACTGTTTTAAAACTGAAGGTGGTTCCTTACCTTGGGGATGGAAGGGTCAGTTCCATCTGAGGAGGTTTCTCAAGACAGTGGCATCTATAAATTCCCTTCTCTAGTGGGAGAGTGGTAGCTGCAGGCACTTATATGGAGATGTTCATCTGCTAGAAACAAAAGCTCTTCCACCATCTAACATCAAAGCAAGAGGTGATTTGTCATAGGGATCATTGGACATACCTCATTATTCCTCTGCATTATTTCTTATCTAATTAGCCAATAGAGACAAGATGCTTTATTCAAATTACCCTCCCTTTGAGGGATATCACTGTAAAGTGCACATAAGAATTCTAGTAAACCAGGCCAAGGAGAGAAATGCCTGAGATAACACTCCCCTGCTTGTTTCTTCTGTTCTCCTATTCAGACTGGAAGCATTGGCTGGGATCACATTATGTTTTCATCTATTCAGTAATGTGAAAGCTTGGATCTTGGAATAACAAATGTGCTTAACTACCCATGGCATACCACAAAGAACATTATTTTGACATATATATGAAAACTGGAAATATAAATTGCTCTGGCACAAGGAGGACACTTTATCTCTCCTAGAAGTTAACAGTAGACTACTCCAAGATAACTTTTCAGAGCACTGCATTTTAATAATTCTCCAGAGTCCTTGGCATTAGTCAGAAATTATCTTTTCTTGCAGTGGCATGTCTAATGTCAGTGTACTGCAAAGAGCTTGCACCACTGCTGGAACTTGTATGCTTATTATAGATTTGGTTCATTAGCTAGAAAAAAACATTAACAGCCACAGTATTTCCTTCCATTAAGAATAAGCTTCAGCTAGTGTGTTTCACAACTCTCATATGACAGAGTGCCAAGATGCTACAAAAACAAAAATTCCACTTTGCTTTGAAAATAGAAGCATTTAAAGAACTGTAGAAATAGCTGTTACCTATTTAAGAGGTCACTGGAAAGACTAGTGGTCTGGAGAAAATGTATATGGCAATGTTTGTAAACTGTAAAGAATTATGCATACATCAGGCTTAAGTGCAATTCTACTTCTTTATGTCTTCCACAAATCCTTGCATATAAAAATACTAAGATGTTTGTCAATTGTCTATTATGTTCTGTCCAAAGGATCCTGATAGATAATAAATGACAAAATCATTAGTTATATCTCAATAAACCTAATTGAAACATACATGTAAAATACAAAACTCCCCATCTATTCTTGATATACTTTGATATAGTATTTTAGCAGGGTTTTTGTTTGGAACTATCTAAATCCACTTGACATAATCATTTCCTCATGAACGGATTTTAAAAATTAAGTGACTCAAACTCCATGATAAATGCTTAAAGCCTTAAAATATTGTTTTTCTTCTCTTCACTTAATCTACTGGTTGGGTTAGGCTCAAGGAACCACAGAGATTAGAAAGATTCTGATCCAATATCACTGTCCTCTTTTATACACATGAAGCTGAACTTAGAATCATGAAAAATTCTGCAGCCACCGATTGTAAGAATATGAGGCTGATGTTGCTTCAAATGTATATCATGAGCAAACTGTTTCTCGCTAAAGTCTGGATGTAATGTTTTTCTCATCAGATTGATTGTCAAGACCTTCATTTGATGTGTAACAAGATAAAACCTGGGAAGTGGTGGACTCTGATTGATTTTCTGATTTGCCCCGCTGCATGGCACAGTCAACAATTAGATTGGTTGTTTCAAAGCCTTTTATTTCACCATTACGAATTTCTACCTGTAAAGAAACAAGCCTATGGCAGTTGCTGTGGTGATCGTGCCTATGGCTAGGCCCCAGGCATAAGCAAACACATACTGTCCTGACATACCAGTAACTACAAGTTTCAAATTTTAGTCCTTTGACTACAAAACAGAAAAAGAACATGTAAACAGTGAGTCATTTGCCATTCATGAATCAGCTTTCAGTGATGAAGAAACAATGAATACAACTATTATTATTAATGTCCTTCTTAAGAAAAGTAACTCTTATACTATCAAGGGAACTTCTATGGCTTGACCATAAACACAGGAAAAAGAGAAACTCCGGTAAAAAGCATTGTTTTGAGAATAAATTAAAATAAAGCATTTGATAGGGACACTTACCCAGCAAACCAATCTTCTATATAAAGACAATGTATATATGCATTTGGTGTCATTAATAGCATCAAAAACAAACAAACAGAAAGTCTTAAAAGAAAAATAGAGAGTGAACTCATAGAAGCATAAAAGGTGAACTCTTAAATATATTGGATTCTCCCTGAAAGGAGGCTTTATTATATGTCTACACACATTTTACTTTTAAGGGAGGTTCTAACCTTTTATTAGTAGAATATTTCAAAAGAATTCACTAAGCCTTTTATATTTAAGCATTACTTTTTCATAAAATAAAATCTATCAAATATACTTTATACACAAATATTTTGGTCACAGCTCATTATTACTTAATTAAAATAAATTGCCAACACACTTATAATTTGATCTAAATTATGACTCAAAAGATCTCACTTTTAAATTAGAGTATCACTCCTATAAATATGACATTATTCTTTGTTTAGGCATTCCTTCAAGGTAGACTAAAACTGATTTCTCAGAACTTACCTTTTTGAAAGTTATATCCCAATGCCCTACAGGTTATCTCACATTATAGCCTGATTGCTAGTGATTGACAAGAGAAGCCCAGGAATAGCCCCCCACTGATGCACAGGGGAATAAAAAGCCTTCCTCCTTCCTTGGCCCTTAAGGCAGCATTCAGCTCACCTTGTAGCTCAGTCTCAAGTTTACCTGAGTCTAATGTATGACAAAGGAATGATTCCCATGATTATTGAAAAGTCTGACTTCTACCTAAAATGCTCTTTTCCTCACTTTGTGATTTCACATAGAGCACTGATTCATTTGAACAGGCAACCTTTATCAGCATGAAGCCAGGTTTGGGCCTATAAGAACATAGACAGCACTGTTTCTCCCCAGTGTGTCTTTAATTTCCTTTATTACAGCAAAATTGAGAAGAGGCTTCTGGTGAAAACGTTTGTAGTTCTGCAGGCAGATAAAAGGGTGTGGATAGGGATCGGGATTTATTTTTGTTTCTCTTCTAAGAAGTCCTCTGGAGGTTCCATTTCAGCGCTACCTTTGCCAACGGAGTCCTGCAATGACATACCAGACTCATTAAAGGGGCCCCATCCTTCTGGCCAGTCACAAGGTCCTCTTGCTGCAGGTACCAGGTTTATCCTACGTTTCTCTCACTATGGGGAACTGGGCAGGCCGGTTTTAATATTAGATATTCTAATAATGTAAATAAAGGGCAGATAATAACGTCCTCACTAGGAAACAGGATTCTCAAGTTAGAGAAAAAATAAGTAGATAATTGGATGTCTAATTTTTTTCTTCAAATAGCTTCTTTTTAATACTTAAACACCAGTGCTGAGACTCAACAATTTAAATGGCCTCATTTCTTCTTTCAGTGCTTTGGAAGGTACAGGAACAGCATTTCCCACCTTTTATCCCATCTACGTGTTCTAGTTATTGCTCCAAAGTAGAATTGGTATACACAGCTGATTAAACAATTTGAAAAAATGTTCTGGTTCATGCCTCTGCCACTACACTGCCTTAGAGCCTTATATTTCAAGAAAATGGTATATTCAAAAAAGGTTATTTTCTGTTAAGAGAAAGATAACAAAAGGAGCTATTAAAAACTTTCAACTACATCTAACCATTCATAGTTATGCATGATAAGGGAATAAAAAGGAGTATGATGAAGAAAGATGTTCTTTTGAAACTTGTATTGCTGGGGTGAAAAATGGAATCGTGGCATAAGATGTGTGGGGGAAAAGATTATAGCAAAGATATTAGCGCTAAAACAGAGAGACCAAGGAAGATTAGCTTTTATTTTTCTATATGGATATAGAAATATGGATATAGCTTTTATATTTCTATACGGATATACTGTTGAGTGAACAGAAAATAAACAGTTGAACATATATTTGGATATGTGGTCTTAAAAAGTTAACTCTAACTTCACGAGTATGGCCTTACAAACAGACATCAAAGTCCTTCTAGGCATAAAGCATGTCGGAGGAGGCATCTTTAAAAATGAAAACAAACACTTCAAAGAACCTATCCCCCGGATACTCTCATAGCTGTACCAGGACACACACTTGTTTTTATAACTTAAAAATAAATTTTTTTTAATTATACTTTTTAGATCAATGCTGCATTCAATTTGCATGTAGATCTACTGACATTCTGTCTGAGATGAAAAGATACGAGACTACTTGACAGGCATTCAGAATTTCTTTATAATCTCCTGCTTCATTAGGTAGGAAAAAACACATCAATAATCAAGTATAGATACTTAAATGAAAGAACATTAAAAAGTTGGTGAATTTGGCTATTAAGTAGTCCATGTAATTATCTTTTATTCATTCATTTCACAGTCTGTGTCCTATATTGCTTAATTACAAAGAAAAGAGTAGACTGCTCATGTGTACACTAACTGCTAAATGTGTAAGCAAACGAATGAATGATCCTGTTCTCAATCCACGAGAAAAGAAAATATTAATGAAGAGAATACAAAGAAGGCAAAAATAGGAGGATATAATCAACAAAATTATTTACTACCCTCTTAGTAAAACATGGTTATGAACACATAGTATAAGACCTAATTTAGATAACTCCCATACTTGATCTTACTCACTATATTCATACTCCAAGTTTTTTAAAAATATATTACATCAGATTTAAACATCTGCAAAAAATATACTAATGATGAAAAGTCAATTAATGCAAGGATGGGAGCCCTAGAGTAGCCTCTGTATATTTTCTAAGAGGCTATGATACTAAAACATTAAAACAACAATTTTTTTGGTGATTTTCAGTATTCATATTCTACAGTAAAAAGATTTAAATTGTTTAAGTATATAATTGTACTGATATATTACCTCTATTCAGGTGAGAAAATTCCTTTATCCCTATTTATAAAGGTGTTCTTTTTAAATAGGAAGGATTCACATTTAATTTTATCAGATGTTCCTTCTGCATCTGTTGAAGTGACCATATAACAAGTTGTAAAACAACCATTTTGAAGCTGATACTTTTCATCTTCTATTTAACCAAGAGAAATGGTTTCTATATATTTATGTCTGAAGTGTTTTCATCTAAGAAGTAAATACCAAACTAGGTTTAAAAGCCTACAGATCTGCCCTTATATGGCCATGCAATTTACTTTTATTCATTATTCTTGTCAAGAAATATAATCCTCATCTCTTTCATGCCTAAGTCTTTTTAAATTTTTTATTACAATATACAATATTCATGGAACATCAATTAAAGGATGTATATGTATTCCGTTAATTTTTCTCATCTTTAAGTTTTTGCTTATATTCTTTTTAGTCCATTTGAAACCTGTATACTTGGAATAAAGGCTTTTGCAACTTGTAGAATGATTTTTTTCCTGAAACATGCTTTGGTGCTAGCACCTAGAAATGCTATAATAAACATCTCTATGAATTTTATCATTACAATTTTTTTGTACAGATATTGGTGAGGCCATCATCTTTTATATCACACACAGTGTCCTTTTATGAGACCCATGAAAAAAGTTTTATTTACTTGTTATCCCCAAGAAAAGCTGTTCAGGGGACACTGTAAATCTTTTAAGTGACTGTGCAGTTTTAAAACATGTCTGCAAGTTCTTTGACCCTCTTTCAATATAATTCCTTGCCCTTGAATTTGGTCTCACTTTAGTGACTCACTTCTAATGCACAGAAACTGATACAAGTGATGCTGCAGAATGTTTGGAGGTTGGGATATAAAAAACAACACAGATTCTATTTATTTCTGCCTGTTGATTTCCTTTCTCCTCCTCCTACCCCCACTTCACCTCTATTCTCCCGCCCATCTTTTTCTTCCTTCCCCCTCTCTCTGTCTCTTTGTCTCTCTCTCCCTCCTGTCCAACATGCTTTGGAGACCTTACCCAACATATATAAGGAGTTCAACTTCAACTACCTGAGCCGTATAGACATAGAGAGAGATGCTCTAGGAATATCAGATTATTTGTTACTCTTGTGCGAAAGGCATAATAATGGCTCCCCAAAGCTGTCCATGACCTGATTCCTAGAGCCGGTGAATATGTTACATTACATGGCAAAGGGAAATTAGGGTTGGAGATGGAATTAAGTTCACTAATTAGCTGCCCTCAGGATTATCCAGGTGGTTCCAAGGAAATCACACAAATCCTTAAAAAAGGAAGAGGGAGGAAAAAGAGAGCAGTAGAGAGATATGACTGTAGAAGAATGGTCAAGGAGATGGAATGTCACTGGTTTTATATATGGAGGAAAGGGGCCATATATAAAGCCAAGGAGCCAAGGAAGGTGGGAAGCTTCTAGATTCTGGAAAACGCAAGGAAACAGGTTCTCTCCTAGAACTTCCAGAAAAGAATGCAGCTTTGCTAACACTGAGGCCTGATAATGTCTATGCTGGACTTCTGACCTTCAGAAGAGTAAGATAATAAATTTGTATTAAGTCATTAAAGTTGTGATAAATTGTTGCAGCAGCAATAGAAAACTATATACCCTTGTTTTAAGTCTCTAATGTAAGAAGGCTTTCTTACACATTATTTTATAAATGAAACAGTGACCTTGCTTAATTTCAGTTTTGGCCAGTAGGAAGCTCACTTTGCAGTATCTCTTATCTCCACTCTGTTCCTTTTTTCTTGATATGTTTCCTCTCCTGTGTTGGGGTTATTTTTGTATACTATCTCAAATCTATTTTAGAGCAGGGCCAGAAATAAATAAATAAGATTAGCTAAAACAATATATATGCCATGAACTACCAGAACGAATGAAGTAGAAGAAAAAAAGAGTTTCTTCTCTTGCCTCTATTAAAAACACAACAAACCCCTAAAACAGATAAATCACTATGGAGGGCATCAACTGAAGATAAAAGCAAAAATACATTTAATTAATTTGATATTTTCTAAAAATATGGAAATATTAGCTCTTCTGTTTTTCAATTTAAGAACAATAAAGAAAAATTTATTATCCAAAATATAATTAAAAATATATGTGTGTAGGTACATATGTGTATATGTACCTGCACACACACACACACACACACACACACACACACACACACACACACACACAGTTTCAGCTTCCTATTATATCTGGTTAAGTAAGAGGATAAAGGAAATGAAAACCAGAGGTTAGGAGAGAAAAACAAAAAAAAAAAAAAGGAAAACGATGATTTTTAAAAGTTCAGTGTACACACACATACACAGAATAACAGAACCTCACAGAGACACCCAGGAGATAGAGAATCAAACAGTAATACACATAAAATGCATCCAGAAACAGACAAACATAGAAAGAAAACAAAGATACTTTCATAACAACACTCCCAGCACATGCCTTTTGGAGACATTCTCACTTGAGATTTCTGTTATTACACTAGATTTTAACATTCTAAACACACTAATAGGAATATAATCTATCCCTCACCAACTGCTCTATAAACTTGCTGAATCCTTCCTTTTTCAGGTCTTCTAAGCTTCAGAAACCAAATCCCCTGAAGGCAGCTCAGCCCCTCCAGGTTCCTGAGCAGAGGTAGCCACTACAGAATCTATGTATTAAGCAAAGCCACAAAATGTAGTGACCTAGCCACAGATTCCTGGTGCTGATCTCCACCTGGCCACAGTTTTCCGCTCCCTTTCAATATTATAATTTGTATATTGGACACCCTGTTGAAATCACTAGCCCATCTCTGTGTTTTACTTTATTACTTTGGTGGTAAAAGAAGTAGCAGAAAATTTTCCTTATGTAAGGGGAGAAGCAAATCACTCTGTTTGTCAACTGAAAGTCAGAAAAAAAAGGAATAAAGATGAGACTTAAGTGTACATGATGCCGCCCCATCAAATTTGCAAGCTATTTGTTTACTGGGAATAAATGTAGTAGGACAAAATCTTGGGAATTCTTAAGTTCTGTATCTCATAATTAGTTTCTTGTATCTGTAGAATGGTTGGCATTTAATGCTCATGAGAAGTTGCTTTCATCATAATCAACAAACATAGTACACAGAATTAAGTAACACTAAGATATTTCCCTCCGTTTGAGAAAGTAAGGTCTCCTATGATCTTTGGCATCAATAGAAACTCATTATCCTTGGGATAGTTCCACCCACTGTCACATAAATGTTGCATGTGAATTCCATTTTATATCAGTAGAATGCTTTATAGTTCATAAAGCACTTGTGCATTAATCATATAGAAAGAAGTTGCTTTCTGTTCAGGCTGTTTCTATACAAGTACTGAGCATTATTTGCAGATAATGTGCTTCACTGAAACTGCACTGAATTGTTCACGTAACAGCTGTAAATCAAGATTGACTTTTTGAACCTAACTTTGCATAATTCAACAAGGTACTCAACATCTTCTGCCTAAGCAGGCTCATGACTTACAAGAATCTGCAAAGCTAAATAACTATCCATGACTGTCTCAAAATGATTAAATAACAAAAAGGTTTTGCATTAACAAATCAGGAATGAGTCACTTACTAATTCTTCTCTGATCAAGAAGTGACAGAGAAGGTGCCATTTACAAAGAGAAATGTCATGAAATGATTGAGTTGTGAATTTCATCGAGTTCCCAATAATAAGCAAATGACCACAAAAGGAGGTGGTAGATGGGGGAAGATAACTGCTATTAAATACTCGTTTGTCAAGAGACAAATTTATCAGAGTTTGGGAGGTAGATTTAGTCTTAGCTCAGGAGAAGTAATCAGTTCTGAGGCTAATGAGTATACTGTGCTTAATCATTTCATCATATATAAGACTGAGCAGCGTAAATCAGAAACCTTGTTAAGTCAGTACATAGTTACATGGTGCTTTAACATGGCACAACAATGAAACTTCATTATTCTGCTGAAGCCTTTACTTCCTTTTCATATGTCCTTTGGTACAATTATTTGGAAAGACAGTGATCCGCTCCTCCACCAAGTTATTCCACCAAGGTTATCCTCTTAGTTTTGTCCTGTGGTTTTGGACAATAGTAAACCTTTCATTAACATGTTTTTTTTTTTCCCTAACTTGAGCTTCTCCAAGGAGCAGACAGCCTTGTACCTGTAAACTCTCATTGTTTACACCACTCATAAAAGCAAATGATAGTGATATAGGAAGGAGGAAAAGGAGGAGAGCAAATGTTTACCAGGTTCTTACCACACATCAGGTAATTTTTCACACATTTATTATAATAGCTATATAGGTAGGTTATATTATTTCTACTTTACTAAGGAGGACAGATAGTGAGGTTTGGAATAGTTAAGAACTTGCCCTGGGTCACAGAAAGTGGCCCAGTAATGGCATAAACTATAACATAAAACCCAAACTACTTAATTATCACATTAATAATTTGCATTGCTAGTGAAGTTTGAAGTCATAGAAGATGGTAGAATTGCCATCACATCACTGTAACCATACTGGAGTTATCATACCAAGCTAGATGAGAAACTTAGCCCTGTGGTTTCCACAAAGTTTAACTACCTAACTTTATTATTTAGTTATTACATGGGAATGTGTTTTATAGCTTCAATTATACCCTAAGTTCATGAAAAGCAACAGCTATGTTTATACACATTTAAAATTTATCCTTTAGTACCCAGCAAAGTGCTATCCACATTATCAATATACAATGGTTGAATCACTAATAAATTATGTGATCTTAAAATACCCCATTCGGGCCAGAAAATGTACCTAAAATCTAGTGAGTGTAAAATTGTAATTTTTCTGCAGGCTGAGGACAGGAGTGAGAGTTATAATGGCCCTGACAATGACTGAAGTGGGGGATGAGAGGTGGTAACTATGGATGGTGGAAAGGAGAACATATGAGGGATTGGAGATGCCTAAGAGATACACTTTACCTCATTCTATATGTTTTGCAGGAAAGTTCCAAATATTTCTATGAGAACAAAGGAGAGAATCAGAGATTTCCCTGGCCTGAAACATATCAGGCTCTCCTGTAAACAAATGGATGTCATTAAACCCTGAGATGGGAAGGGATGCTATTGGCAGCAGCAAAAGGAACTCTTCTTCATTGAGTATAGTGTTCAGGTAATTTATCCCTCACAGTCAATGACCCTTTTTCCTGCCTAACTTGTTCTCCTCTCTACCTTATATTCCTCATCTCCACAAACATTTTTTCACCATGTATTTTTCAGTTGTTCAGATTGAAATCCAAAGAGCCACCTCTGATTCCTCTGTTTACTTCAGCCCGTATGTCTAATCCTCAGCTAATCTTGACGTGTTCTTCAGAGCATATCCAGACTCCATCTACTGTAGTTTCTTTCCATTTCCATTCTATCTCCCTGGCCCGAGTCACCATCATTGCTTCCCTGGGTTACTACAGAACCCCCACACTGGTGCCAATGATCACTTAAACATATTAATCAAATCATGTCACCTGCCTGTTTTAAACCCTCTCGTGGCTTCCTATCTTACTTAAAGTAAAATATAAGCTCTGCCATGGTCTAGAATTTACATAGTCTGATCCTAGTGCATTCTCTAGCCTCATCTCCCACTACACTCCACTTCATATCCACCAGAGGACCCCTTTTTCCCTTACTCAGACAGACCAATCTCATTAGCACCTTAAGGTCCTGCTTTTCTCGCTACCTTAAATACAGACCCTATGTTCTCACAGGACTACATCTTTCTTCTACTCCTTTCTTCTAGCCTGGGTCGACTTCCCTGACTACCTGAACCCTCATGCACACCTACCCCACTGAAACCAGTCAATGGCTAGCCCCACACCCCCTTCTATTTTCTTCAGAGTACTTGCCATTACCATTTATTTATTTATGTGTGTGGTCTGCCTTTATGTCCTATTTCTGGCCTCCACATCCCTACACTACTGTTGCATACAGACTCACGAGAGTGGGGATTCTTATCGATGTCCACGTTGCCTAGAACAACACCAGTTACATAATAAGAGCTGAATAACTATTTCTAGATCGAATGAATCCCAACAGAAGTCTTAGATGTTTAAGCCCTTTCTGAAATCGCTGCTTCAGAATCTACTTTCCTAGTGTGTATTTATTGAGAATGCAGTTTTTTTTTTCTTTTTTTGAGATGGAGTCTCACTCTGTCGCCCAGGCTGGAGTGCAGTGGCAAGATCTCAGCTCACTGCAAGCTCCGCCTTTTGGGTTCGTGCCATTCTCCTGCCTCAGCCTCCTGAGTAGCTGGGACTACAGGCGCCCACTACCATGCCAGGTGATTTTTTTGTATTTTTAAGTAGAGACGGGGTTTCACCATGTTAGCCAGGATGGTCTCGATCTCCTGACCTCGTGATCTACCCACCTCGGCCTCCCAAAGTGCTGGGATTATAGGCGTGAGCCAATGGTCCCAGCTCAAGAATGCAGTTTTTACATTCTCCAGTGACATTTGAGAAAATATTTGATATTTTTGCCTTTGCAAAAAAAGGGGAAAATATGTCACCTACATTTTCCTTGTACACACTGTTTTAATACTGAGGTACTCCCTATGGGAATCTAACCTCAGAATTATAACATGGGGATGAGAGAGATAATTGAAAGAATAGGGTAAAAAATTCCATGTTGCCTTTCTGGAGAATGCAATAGAATTTGCGAGCATGATATATGACCATACATGCCTGCAATAGGAGGGTGAACCTGCAAAAATGTTATTTCAGAATATTACATCGCAAAGAGCTCTAACTCTCTTTAGTTTTGCCACAGGGTTTTGAAGATTGCTATTACTGTGCTTACTTGAAACATAATCACAAATAAGAAGCATGTGGAAACGACAGCTATATTAACTTTATCATGTACAGTTAAGTATTCAACACACTTGAAAGCACTGCTCCTTCATTTTCATAGTGTGCTACACAGAGAAACAGACCTAAAGGAAGAGCCTGGTGGAGACATAGCTGGACTGAGGTGAACAAGGTAATAACCAGATGCCCAAATACTGGAGGGGGGTAATGAGGCAGTGATTAAACACTGGGTTCTCTGGCTCCTTGAATACCACCTTGAACAGAGATACATGATCTAGAACTACCCCAGGCAGATATAACTGGAGGGAAGGTTCAGTTAAGTTTGTGAGGTTTGTTTTTCCACTTTCTTTAAAGAAACCATCTCTGCTCCTCACCTATTTCTTTCTCCCTGCTCTCAGGCACTTCACTCTGAATATCCTACTCACACAACAGAGAAGGCATTAAATTAAGCCCTCTTATGATATTAAACAAGAGAAATTATATGATGCTTTTATAAAAGGTATGTGCTTTTTTAACACAGGGCTCAAGAAAATTTTCTTTAAACTCTTTGGTGTTGCTTTATGCGTTTCATCATTGATGCTCAGCCTATTCCAGGCTGTATAGGCTGTTGGTTTAGGAGATGTTTCCAATTTCCTCTCAAATCTTAATCCATGGATAATGCCTGTGGGCTCTAACTTTTTAGAAAACTGGCTCTGATCCCAGAGACTCTTTTTATATAAGGAGAAAGTACAGATTTTCCCTTTTCAGATTTATTTTCCTATTAATGATGAAAACAAACACAGAAAAAGAAAGACAATAAAAAATGGAAAACACTGATCTTAGTTACTTTTTGTCTTTTGCTAGCTTTTGAATTTGTCTGGTCTTGCTTCTCTAGTTCTTTTAATTGTGATGTTAGGGTGTCGATTTTAGATCTTTCCTGCTTTCTCCTGTGGGCATTTAGTGCTATAAATTTCCCTCTAAACACCGCATTAGCTGTGTCCAGAGATTCTGGTACGTTGTTTCTTTGTTCTTATTGGTTTCAAAGAACTTATTTATTTCTGCCGTAATTTCATTATTTACCCAGTAGTCATTCAGGAGCAGGTTGTTCAGTTTCCATGTAGTTGGGTGGTTTTGAGGGGGTTTCTTAATCCTGAGTCCTAATTTGATTGTACTGTGGTCTGAGAGACTGCTTGTTATGATTTCTATTCTTTTGCATTTGCTGAGGAGTGTTTTACTTCCAATCATGTTGTCAATTTTAGAATAAGTGTGATGTGGTGCTGAGAAGAATGTACATTTTGTTGATTTGGGGTGGAGAGTTCTGTAGATGTCTATAAGGTCCACTTGGTCCAGAGCTGAGTTCAAGTCCTGAATATCATTGTTAATTTTCTGTCTCATTGATCTAATATTGACAGTGGGAGATGTTTCCAATTTTCTCTCAAATCTTACTCCATGGATAATGTCTGTGGGCTCTAACTTTTTAGAAGGCTGGATCTGATCCCAGAGACTCTTTGTATATAAGAAGAAAGTATAGGTTTTCCCTCTTCAGATTTATTTTCATAATTAATGATGAAGACTTTAACACTAAAGTCTTCTACTATTATTGTGTGGGAGTCTAAGTCTCCTTGTAGGTCTCTAAGAACTTGCTTTATGAATCTGGGTGTTCCTGTATTGCATGCATATAAATTTAGGATAGTTAGCTCTTCTTATTGCATTGATCCCTTTACCATTATGTAATGACCTTCTTTGTCTTTTTTGATATTTGTTGGCTTAAAGTCTGTTTTATCAGAGACCAGGATTGCAACCACTGCTTTTTTTGCTTTCCATTTGCTTGGTAAATATTCCTCCATACCTTTATTTTGAGCCTATGTGTGTCTTTGCATGTAAGATGGGTCTCCTAAATATAGCACACTGATAAGTCTTGACTCTTTATCCAATTTGCCAGTCTGTGTCTTTTAACGGGGGCATTTAGCCCATCTACATTTAAGGTTAATATTTTTATGTGTGAATTTGATCCTGTCATTATGATAATAGCTGGTTATTTTGCCCATTAGTTGATGCAGTTCCTTCATAGTGTTGATGGTCTTTACGATTTGTTATGTTTTTTCAGTGGCTGGTACTGGTTGTTCCTTTACATGTTTAGTGCTTCCTTCAGGAGCTCTTGTAGGGCAGGCCTGGTGGTGACAAAATCTCTCATCATTTGCTTGTCTGTAAAGGATTTTAATTCTCTTTTGCTTATGAAGCTTAGTTTGGGTGAATATGAAATTTTGGGTTGAAAATTCTTTTCTTTAAGAATGTTGAATATTGTCCACCACTCTCTTCTGGCTTGTAGGGTTTCTGCAGAGAGATCCACTATTAGTCTGATGGGCTTCCCTTTGTGAGTAACCCGACCTTTCTCTCTGGCTGCCCTTTACATTTTCTCCTTTTGTTCAATTTTGGTGAATCTGACAATTACGTGTCTTGGAGTTGCTCTTCTCGAGGAGTATCTTTGTGGTGTTCTCTGTATTTCCTGAATTTGAATGTTGATCTGTCTTGCTAGGTTGGGGAAGTTTTCCTGGATAATATCCTGAAGAGTGTTTTCCATCTTGGTTCCATTCTCCCCACCACTTTCAGGTACACCAAAAAATTGCTATGCACATCAAGCTACTACTGTTGACTTTCTTCACAGAATTAGAAAAAAATGACTTTAAATTTCATATGGAACCAAAAAGGGCACATACAGCTAAGACAATCCTAAGCAAAAAGAACAAAGCTGGAAGCATCATGCTACCTGAGTTCAAACTATACTACAAGGCTACAGTAACCAAAACAGCATGGTACTGGTACCAAAACAGATATATAGACCAATGGAACAGAACCGAGGCCTCAGAAATAATGCCACACATCTACAACCATCTGATCTTTGACAAACCTGACAAAAGCAAGCAATGGGGAAAGGATTCCCTATTTAATAAATGGTGATGGGCAAACTGGCTAGCCATATGCAGAAAACTGAAACTGGACCCCTTCCTTACAACTTATACAAAAATTAACTCAAGATGGATTAAAGACTTAAACGTAAGACCTAAAACCATAAAAACCCTAGAAGAAAACCTAGGCAACACTATTCAGGACATAGGCATGAGCAAAGACTTCATGACTAAAACACCAAAAGCAATGGCAACAGAAGCCAAAATTGACAAATGGGATCTAATTAAACTAAAGAGCTTCTGCACAGCAAAAGAAACTATCATCAGAGTGAACAGGCAACCTACAGAATGGGAGAAAACTTTTGCAGTCTATCCATCTGACAAAGGGCTAATATCAAGAATCTACAAGAAATGTAAACAAATTAACAAGAAAAAAACAAACAACCCCACCAAAAGGTGGGCAAAGGATATGAATAGACACTTGCCAAAAGAATACATTTATGTGGCCAACAAACACATGGAAAAAAGCTCATCATCACTGGTCATTAGAGAAATGCAAATCAAAACTGCAATGAGATACCATCTCACACCAGTTAGAATGGCAATCATTAAAAAGTCAGGAAACAACAGATGCTGGGGAGGATGTGGAGAAATAGGAACACTTTTACACTGTTGGTGGGAGTGTAAATTAGTTCAACCATTGTGGAAGACAGTGTGGTGATTCCTCAAGGATCTAGAACCAGAAATGCCATTTGACCCAACCATCCCATTACTGGGTATATACCCAAAGGATTATAGATCATTCTACTATAAAGACACATGCACACACATGTTTATTACAGCACTGTTAAAACAGCAAAGGCTTGGAACCAACCCAAATTCCTATCAATGATAGACTAGATAAAGAAAATGTGGTACATATACACCATGGAATACTATGCAGCCATGAAAAACATGATTTCATGTCCTGTGCAGGGACATGGATGAAGCTGGATACCATCATTCTCAGCAAACTAACACAGGAACAGAAAACCAAACAGAAAACTGCATGTTCTTACTCATAAGTGGGAGTTGAACAATGAGAACACATGAACAAACGGAGGGGAACATCACACACCAGGGCCGGTAGGGGGTTTGAGGGCTAGCGGGGGTTAGCATTAGGAGAAATATCTAATGTAGATGACAGGTTGATGGGTGCAGCAAACCACCATGGCACGTGTACATCTATGTAACAAACCTGCATGTTCTGCACACGTATCCTAGAAATTAAAGTATAATAGAAAAAGAAAAGAAAACATTACGCTAAGTGAAAAAAGCCAAAAATAAAAGTGCATACAGTGTCATGTGACTAGAGATAAAGGTAGGGTGGTGATGTGAATATATGTGAAGATCCCTTCTCAGGCTGTGAATATGGCATTAAGAGGAGTGGGCGTGGGCCACTGGGTTTATGTACACCCAGTTTGGGTGGCACAGTTTGGGGGTGAAGAGGCTTACAGAGTAAGTGACTCCAGTTCAAAGAGCTTATGTATCTGAAGGCAGTTTCCGGGTACTCCAAGCTTAGGCGGGATTCACACTTCTAAGACTTAATGTCAACAGTTTCTATTGGATGACTGCAGTCATTCTACCCCAGATGTCACAAAATTGCTTATATTTCATGATTTTTGAGTTAAAAGATGGCAATATTTTATGGTTCAACCCCCATACAACTGGGAATAAGAATGGGAGTAGGAGAAAGGTCACTTTTTGACTCATTATACTTCGCAAAGCCAGCTAAGCTTGGCTTATACCACCAAGTTCTTGTTTGTGAAGATACAAAACCCATTTTATACCTTATACTATGTCCTGGCAGAAGAGGCATGTTATGCTTTCACAGTAGTATCTCAGCCTCTGCTGGATCTTCCTTCAGTGAATCTTGTCTCAGTTTCAACTGTGTTAAGAAGGATGCATACAAAGCCACTGCCAATTTCTACAAGAACTTCACATACACCAAGCAACAGAACTTCAAAGACTTACTGAAACATTTGAAAGTCATATGAAGTGGCCTCTGTTCCCTGAGTGGCCTTTTTTATCTCCTTGGTCCCCCTAACCCTATCTCTCTCCCATTCATGCTCCTCACACCTTCCTCCCAGGCCTCATTCTAAGTTCCTCTCCCAGTATGCATATCAGTTCAGCTCTTCCTGGCTTCCAAACTCCCAATTTTCGTGTTATCGTCTGTCAGGTACATGGCAAAACAACTTAATAGGATCTACCATCCTTAAAAGGCAGTCAGGGTTATCAATAAATGATTCAATACACATTTATGGCATACTAATCTGTGTTCAGCATTATGTTAGATTCTAGTAGGGAGGGAGGGGTATCAAACAATGTCCGCAAATGCCTCCTGGCTGAGAAATTCAGTCTAGTTGGGAGGCAAGTATTTCATAATAAAAGCCATACAGCTAAGGGATACATAAAAGTAGAGCTGAGGCCTCAAGAGGGATGGTGGAAAAAGTGCAGTGTGACAGCATTTTCTGAGCTAGACTGGACAGGAAACACATTTCTTTACTGAAAATATGTTTCCAATAACTACCCTTTCTCCAAATGAAACAACAAGAAATCCAAACATACCCTCCAAAACTATTCATCTATGTATGCCACTACAGCTTATGCATTTGAATAAGGTAAGCACTGACGGAGTTTCTGATTAAAAAGATAACTGATCTTGTGCACAATATTCAATATTTGGGCGATGGGTACAGTAAAAGCCCAGACTTCACTGCCATGCAATATATCCATGTAACAAAACTGCACTTTTACCCCCTAAATCTACAAAACAATACAAAAATAGTTGCTCTTTTTTTAATGGTCACCTAAGGGGAAGAATATCGTTAAATGTAATATGCAGTTCCTACCAGAAGATGAGATAGCAGGGAGTGAGATAGAATGAAGATATTAATGTTGGATCCTTTTATATGCAAATAATTTTTCTTGACTCTATCATGAAGTTTGAATATACCAAAAATTTAAGCTTCTAATAGTACAGATTCTGCAACTGACTTCCGGACCACTTCACATATGAACATACAAATGACAGGCAGACTCTATTTGCCACTGAGAAGCTAAGTTTACATTGCTAAATCCTCTAAAGCAGAAAATAGAGCTCCCAAAGCTGACTTCTAAAGGTAGAAGAAAGTATAGAGAAGTAGTTTTCAACCATGGTTATATATGAGAGTTACCTGGAGAGTTTTTAGAATGCCTGATCCTAGGGCATCACCCCTGGGATTCTGATTTAACTGGTCTGAAATGGGACCAAGACTTTTTGTGTCCCAGGGAAGCTTTTACAAATTACCGATCCCTGGGCTGCATTCCTGGGTGTTTCCAATTAAGTTGTTCTGAAGTGACTTCCAGAAATCTGTGTTTTTCAGTGTCCCAAGAGCTTCCATGTTTGGCCAGATTTTTAAAACCATTGATCTAATGCAAAATTGCAAAAAAAAAAAAAAAAATCAGTTGTTTCTAAAATTGTAAAGCGAGTACACAGGGAATAAAAAAAAAAGTAATAAGATTTTTTGTGCTGTGGCACGAAGTCTGTTCTACGGCCCCAACTACTTCACAATTTCCTGGGTCACCTGTAAAGTTAGTGTTGACAACAGCATGAAGCACTGAATGAAGCTCCCCTTCCTGAACCTTCATCCCTAGGAAGGTAAGCCAAATGACTTTTACTGTCTCCCTGTTTATGGAAGATAACAAATATATGTCCTTTAGAAAAGCATGCCTATAATTAAGCAGTCATCTAGGCTGGCAGTAGGGTACAGCTCAGTGACTATCTTTAAACAAAATGTGGGTATCTCGCTGTATTCATTGCATCAACAATAGAACATAGCAGGCTGTTAGAAAAGCTCCCAAGTGCAGCAAAAGAGGGCTTACACAGAAAAGACTGTTGAAGTTCTGACACAGCAAAAGAAGGGAACCCAATGCTATATTTTGCTAAAAGGTAAAACACATTCTGACATTATATACTCATGTGGGCAAAACAGTAGTACTACATTACTACACCATTGACTGAGAGAGTCTCCTTATCTGGAAATAAGGGAGATCTAATTCCAGAGATATCACAGTGGGATAACCATTTAAAAAGTTAAAATAATGTGGCTCATTCCTGTAATCCCAGCACTTTGGGAGGCCGAGGTGGGAGGATCATGAGGTCAGGAGTTTCAGACCAGCCTGGCCAACATAGTGAAACCCCGTCCCTACTAAAAATACAAAAAAATTAGCCAGGCATGGTGGCAGGTGCCTGTAATCCTAGCTTATTGGGAGGGTGAGGCAGGAGAATTGCTTGAACCTGGGAGTTGGAGCTTGCAGTGAGCCAAGATTGCACCACTGCACTCCAGCCTGGGCAACAGAGCTAGACTCCATCTCAAAAAAAAAAAAAAAGTTAAAATAAACATTTATATAACAACATAGACAAATAAAAACAATTCCAAATATGCATATTTGATGGTTATTCATTAGTAATCAAAAAATTATAAAATCTCAGAAATAGAAAGGATCTTCAGAGATCTCATTCAGCCACTCAGCCACCCAACAGAATGAAGGATAACTGCACTGAAGTTTATAGATTTCCAATAAGCATTGGCACATCAAGATAGACTAAGGGTTAAGGGATCTGAGTTTTACTTCATTAGGCAGCTATGGAAACTTGGGAAGTCACATAATTTTTCAGGCCTTAATCTCCTCATCTATAACGTGAGTGCGAATGAACTGAACTCAGCTTTGATGTTCTGTCATCAAGGTATGCAAATGTATGTCACTCTCTTTTAGTAAATCAATAATGAAACAAACACAACAAACAACAACCTGAAGTAATTTACCTGGCTATCAGGAAATACCTGAGGTGTCATGGGAAAGAAAAACCACAAGATTCTGTTTTATTTACTAGTTGGCTTGGGGAAAAAAAATGAAAGAACTTGCAAAGTCTTTATGATTAATATGCTTATAAGTGGTGGTTTAATCACAGCCACATTGCTTGCTGATAGTGTGCTGCATGAAGGAAGACAGCCTGATAAAATTCTTAGGGGACCAATCATCACTGCTGACATTCATCCAGCATGACAGAAGAAATCACTACTATTGAGAGTTATGCTCAGCATAATCAGTGATAATACTCTCTTTAAAATGGAAGTAAGAACCTAGAGTAACAATACCCCTTTAGGTTAAATGCATCTCTCAGAAGAGTGGTTTGTGCATTTCGCATCTCCAGCATAAGTAAAACATATTTTTATCCAGAAACCTACTGGGAGAAACATCCCATATTCAGGGATATTCTGTTGATGGCAGTATTATGGCTATTCAGTATATCAGCTGAAGCACCACAAAGTAACATGCCATATAACTTCTGTTGCTCAGCATAATTTCTTTCTAAATCTTCATTTATCTGCAGCTATTGTGACTGTCTGGGAAAACTATAGATGGTCTCAAATATCTTCCTATTCTTTGGAGGTCTTCTGAATGAACAGTATCTGTGATCCTTTTGCTTTACACAAACAAAAGACATCTCTTCAGTTATTAAGTAACGGTTTGAAATTCTTATAATTATATTAATGCATTTAAGCATATAGTCAATGTTTGCTTTATGCTTCATAGTTCTATTTAGAGAATAATGCAGGATATTTATTGTCGAATGAGAGACAAGGGGTTTAAACTTGTGAGTAATATAAATAAATCACAATCTGGTTTTATTTACTGCATTCATTCTCAGCAGACTTAATTGAAATACCTTTATGCTTTTCAAGTTTTTCCTGTATGTCTTCCCTATTGAGAAAGTGAAATCTAATATTAAGTAATGTTCCTTCAGAGTCCATGCACAGAAGAACACAAACGAAAATCATGAACTCAATTCAATAACTGAATGCATCTGCAAGTTTCTTAGCTTGTGACAGTGTGGTAACAAATTCTAATTCATTGGGCTTTTTTGTTCTTCCTCCACAGAATTATGGATGTACTGGGGAGCTCAATTTTTGTCAAAACGAAACAGCTATCCTTTAGTACATTTAAAAAGAAATCATACCCTAGTTAAAGGACTGAAAAATAAGCTGAAAAAACACAACTGAATATTAAATCTGTTTTGTCAGTTTTGTTTTAGTGTACAGAATCTGTTGGTAATAAAACAATTTGTTAATTGGTTGCTCTAGGTTATTTGGTGGCTAACCTAATAAATTCTACTTCTAAAGTATAAGCTCACCACTTATTTTTGTCAATTAATTACATTTCATTCAAGAGTTAAGTTTCTTGCAATAAATATTAACATAATGTGGGAAGATTTTATAATTTTCCAACTGACTGGGAATCTTTGACAACCAAATGCTGAACTTAAATTGAAGAATAACTCAATAGGAAATACACAATAGCAGTGTCAAGATTTACAACAAATACACTGGAAGTGTTTTAAAAATTAATAGTAGGCTGCTATGCTTGGCTTAATTAGCTTTCTTTTTCATGTACAAAGCATATCTGTCTAGTTTTACGAACTTGGTCTCCAGTCCCCTTTCCTAAAAACCTGTTTAATTAAAGTTTAACTGCTGTGTACGCTTTAGAAACAGCAGAATGATTTTTTCTCCCTTGAAATACTTAATCCTTTCTCAAAATATGATCCTTCTGAATATATATTTAAAAGGCAAGGGGTGAGGAATGAATAATCTTCCAACAGACAAACACTGACAGTTTAGCTCATCAGTTCCAGGTATGGGTAGACTGAAAATTGTCTCCCAGGCCACCAAGAAATCCAAAACCAACATTTGGCATGAGCAGATTTTTGTTCTTCAAAAATAAAATGTCAGATAGAGAAAATGACAAATGAGTAAATAGAAAATTAAGTAGAAAGAAGGCTACAAAATACTATAAAAACACTATACTTAATGATTTTTGTAAGACTTTTCCATATACTGCTATAGATATCCAGCACCCAAGTAATATGACAAATAAGGCAATGCCAGCTATCTTTATCAGTGACTTGCAAAGTCAGTGTAATACTTTATTATCAAACATGCAAATATTTTAAAAATAATGACATATATTGACCACACAATCTCTGAAATGAAGACAACAATTAAAGGACAGATGGATGTGATGAATCCCTGAACAGTATACCTTTACTTATGAGACTAAAAAGTAATACTAATAGAAATTTAGTTCAGGATCACTAGCTAAGGCATACAGTTTCACGCTGTCCCAACTCCAGATTTCTCTCCTCCAAGGGTTTCTCCAGCAATGCTGGCATGACTACTGTGCAGGAAAATATCATAGGTATTTTTAGGCCCTTTTGACAGTCAGCTCCTTGAAAAGAGAGTTTCTGACTTAGCCTCACATTCCCTACTGTGGTCTGTTTGTGGTACATGCTCATTCGATGTGTGTTGAATATGCACCTTGATACAAGTGCAAAACCAATTCATTTTTAAGAGAACTCTAAAAAAGACTTTAGTAGAGTGTATCCTTGTTCAAAATATTTGTTTCCCATCCCTGACAGAGGGATAGGTGAGTACATGCCCACCCTGTTGATTTCAGACTTGGTCATGCAGCGGCTTCTTTTGGCCAATGACATGTATGTGGAAATAATACATGCCACTTTTGAGTAGAAGCTTAAGATCCATCCCATCGTTCCACCATGCTTTTGTTCTCCATCTCCCCTGAGACTATTAATACCTTGATAGCTTTATTCCCTGCAGGAAAAAAAATATGGAGCAGAGCCTCATGCAACCCATGGGGAACATATAATGGAGCAAGAAACCAGCCTCTATTAACTGCAGGCTATTGAGATGTGGGGGTAGGGTGTTACCACAGAAGAAGTTAGTCTAAGCTGACTGACACGGGGCCCATTTAAGACTTTTCAATAATAAACAAGCATATCCTCATCCCCTTTGCTATGCAGGGACAATCCCTGCAGCACTTATGCTGCTGGAGAGAGAAAAATGAAAACAGATGGCTGAGACTCATGTTCTTTACTACTTGCTTTCCTTAACCTTCAGCAACATGAAAAACTAATGTTCAGCAAATTAGAGAGTTTACATTTTTAAAGATAAGGAGTTGGGATTGGTACTAATTGGACTAAGTTGAAATATTTCCAAAATAAATAGAATCATTTCACAGAGTGATACTCAGGATTGAAGTTTTATAAATATTGCAGAGAGCTTTCTGCAGTCATTAAATTTGACAAATACTTAGTGAGCAAACCCTTGGTATGCTAGATTTCATAAGGCAGGATTGTTCTGGGCTCCAAAAATAAGTCATTGCTCCGGACCTCAGGGAGCTCACAGATAGAGAAACACATGTACTACTCGTTCTAATATAATCAGATGTATGTTACGTCTGTCAGATCAATAAAGTATTATGGAATCAGAGAAGAGGACAATCATTCCTGTCAGGGTAAGGATACAGGATGTTCTTAGATGGATGGGGATGGAGAAGGATCTGCCACATTCAGGATAAAACATGAACACAAGAAGATAAGCATGAAAGTATTTTTTAAATCTGGAATAGTATAGCTCAAGCACATAGAGTGTGTGTGTGTGCGCGCGCACGTGTGTGTGTGCGCGTGTGTGTGTAAAACAGAGAGAGACAGAGAGAGAATGAGAATGTAGGCAGGGTCCTGAGGATTAAAGAGTATACACTGAAAAATCTCCCTCATTCTCCTGACCCTCCAGTTCCTTCTCTAAAGGCGAAGTTACTCATTTACTACTAACTACTAGTTAGTTACCAGTTTAGATTACAAAGAAAGTGGAAGTGGACTCTTAGAAAAATGACTGGGATGGAAGTGGCAGTCAGAATCTGACACTTTATGTTAACTAATTCCAGAGACAGTTTACTCATATACAAGTGTATGGGTGTTTGTGTGTGTGTATATGTATGTGTGTACATATAGATCCTTTTCTCTTAACCATCCTAGAGAAATTCTAACTTATGAATGTACTATAATGTCCTTAACTGCACTGACATACATTTAGAATGTTTTCTGTCCTTTGCTCTTATAAATAATGTTATAATTAACTCCCTTATACACATTCCTTTGCAATCATGTGAAAATATACCTACCTGATAAATTACTAGAAATGAAAATGCTGAGTAGGAATTCGCCAGGCAAAAACAAAACAAAGGGAACAAGACAAAAGGAAGGTGCTTTCTACAAAGGCAACGGTATGCAAAACGTTACATAGCTGCCAAGAAAATGCAAACTATAGGTATGGCCAGAGACAGTGGGGAGAATGTGGCTGGAGGGATACTCCGAGGCCAGATTGTGAGGGGCCGCATCTGCAGGGCTCCTGTTTATGGAAGGCATAATGAGATTAACATTTTTTAAAAAGCAGGAATGCATAATAAGATTAACATTTTTAAAAAAGCATTCTTGTGGAAGTGTGAAGAATGGATTGGCATGGGTAAGAAAGGGAAATCAGTTAGGATGCAGCCACAGTAATCCGGGGAGGAAATAATGAAGGCCTGGTAACCCATCTTCCTGGGCTCTGTGAAGGAAAATACCCACCTCGCTTGCTTCTTGCACTTTCCCTTTTTGGGAGACCTCAAAGGCCAGTGGTTAACATGCCTCACGGTAAAGTATCTGCCACTGAGCATGACTCAGCTATGGGATCCACCCCTGTACCCCGGAGTGGGAGAACAGTCTTCCTTCTACCAAAATGTATGTACTGACAGCTTCCACTTTTTCTATAGAAAAAGTAATTATTATAGAATTTAGGAGCTGGAAGACATGGAAATCATTTAGTCCAAAGGTCCTCAGATTATTGTCAGCCGCTTTCCATTTTTCTAAAGCCTTGTAATCACGGAGAGGTCAGAGATTGAGAAAAAAGTGGAAATGAACTCCTAAAGAAACAATTAGGGTGGAGGTTGTGAGCAGAATCAGACCCTTTACTTTAAAGTACCCAAAGGGAATAGGAGGACCTGACACCATGGTGTGTTTTCCCACCAAACATTCCAACCAAAATCCTAATGCTGGGAATTTAAGCTTAAGCACGGAGACAGTGGCAGCTCACTTGAAGACGACTTTGAGATTTGTGATCTAGAATGTTCCAACCTATCCTGTGGGAAGATAGCACCATTTTATACCTGATTAAACCAAAATGTAAACAAATTAAACCACTCACCTCAAATTCAAGCAGTTAATTGGTGAGAGGCCAAATACGAAAACAGGTTCTCAAATTTCAGCATGCATCAGAATCACCTGGAGTGCCTGTTAAAACCTAGATTTCTGGGCCCCATCTCCAAAGTTTCCGATTCAAAGTGGAGAGAGTGAGAATCAATAATGTATTAAATACATTTCTAACAAGTTCCCTGCTGACTCTGATGCTTCTGATCACACTTAGAGAAACAATCTACTACAACAATGCCACCCTTCATGTGGTAGTTACGTTGCCTATAGAATGTATATAGACATATATATGGTCCTCTACAATAAAGTATTTCTAGGTTTTTTAAATTTAAAATATTGAGACAAATATATTGCAACATTTACAGTAAACTCCCATGTCTCTATATCTCTAAAACCCAATAGATTAATATTAACTCACTAATAACTACAAAACCAACAGGTAAATGTATCAAAGTTATGCCAGATGTTTCAATTTCTAGAGTTCTACTTCAGGGATCTAAAACCACCAAAAATAAGATTATATAACTTAAAAATTATTTTACCTTTGTTTCTTTAAATAATCTATGAGAATGAGTAGAACTAAAAGGCAAATCACAAACTGAAGATATATTTGATCTAAATATGACACGACATTAACATATTAAAACTGTTAAGAAAACATTTAATACCTTTTTTTTTTTTTTTTTTTTGAGACGGAGTCTCGCTCTGTCACCCAGGCTGGAGTGCAGTGGCGCAATCTCGACTCACTGCAGGCTCTGCCTTTCAGGTTCACACCATTCTCCTGCCTCAGCCTCCCGAGTAGCTGGGACTACAGGCGCCCGCCACCACACCCGGCTAATTTTTTGTATTTTTAGTAGAGATGGAGTTTCACCGTGTTAGTCAGGATGGTCTCGATACCCTGACCTCGTGATCTGCCTGCTTCGGCCTCCCAAAGTGCTGGGATTACAGGCGTGAGCCACCGCGCCTGGCCTAATACCATTTTTTAAAATGGACAATTCTGGAATAGCTTTTACAAAAGGAAATAAAAGGATAATAAATGCATAAAATATTCATTCTTTTAGCAATGAAAATAATACAAACTAAAACAACAATAAGAATTTTTTTCACCTTTCATATTAGCAAAGATTAAAATGATTTGAATACTCATTAGTGGCTTACTCTACAGTGAAATTTTCGTACATCGCTGGGGAACTTTCATTATCATAACCTCCTTGATTTCCTTCCACTTTATTGTTAAGGATGTTGCAGGTTTTAATAAAAAATAGGCATTATTTTTTGAAAGTCATGTGAGAATACTAGGGCTCAGGAACATTATAAAGCTAGGAGTCATTTCAATTACCATCATGCAGTAAACATTCTCTTGATTTTAATGATAGCTGTATTAGATTTAGAATTCAGGCTTCATTTACATAATCCTCAAAAGACGGCCCCAGAAATCCATTAAAGGTCACCTTACTTTCCCATACATAAACCAAATTCTAATCTGTTCATTGGTCTCCTCAAAAGCATATTCCAGGGTTTTGTAAAGCTTACTGCTTATTATACTTTCATCTCAAATAGAAAATCTTTCCATTTTGGCTTTCCATCCTACTAAACTCCATTCCAGTATGTATTACTCACTCCTCTTCATGTTACAGTAAAAGATTAAATAGTCGTTTACTTTTTGATGTATGTAAAATTGAAATCTAGGCTTCAGAAGTATTCTTTGGAAGTATCAGTACACCTAGAGCTGAAGCAGCGTGGGATGCAGCAATTTTCACTGTCTGCTCCTGGCTTCATATTAAAATCAGGTATCACACAGTGGTCAGGGAATATAATTTATTTGTGTAATAAACAAAGTAGAAAATCTCTTTGATTCCCAGATGTCCAGTTGCAGAGCCCAAAGTTAATGACTTGCTGCTCTCCATACCCCAAATATACAGGTTTCACTACACAATTTACTCTTCTGAAAGAAAATATCAACAACTGTCAGCCCCCTAAATAAGGAAAAACATTTAATCATTTTCACTCAAATTCTCATTTGAATCCCAACCAGGAGGATGATCAATTTCAAAATCTGATTAGTTCTGCTGAGGAGAACCATTCAGACTCTCATGCAAGATTACTTTGCAGAAGAAAACTAGAGATACTTTTTTTAAAAAATAGAAATCTATCATTAATATTTCTTTCAATAAACATTTTCCAACTCTATAAAACAGCAAACAGATTTTAGTTTCATATCAACATTTAAATATGGAAATAATTACTGCTTGTTCCTGACACTATTACATACATAGGTATCACTCACAATGTGTTAGATAATATTTGAATATTTTCTATAACAATGAATGAATTGAGGAATTAAATTGCTTTTTTAAAAGTTATTAGCTCCATTTTCTCTCTACTATTGGTTTGGTCCAGCACAGTCAGAGCAAGCTAAAATAGCCACCAAAACATAACTGGAGTTGGGCTGGGCTTATAAAAGAAGCTATAAATAACATGGAATAGTATTCTGATACAGAATTTTCTCAACTGCAGCTATTCCTTTTGTGTTAAGAAGAAACTGTTTGGGCAATGAAATTTAGTATTCTTTTTTGTGAGCTTTGTCACTGCTCTCCAGTTAAGGTGCTATGCAGTGTTCTTGTAGTATAATAGCTCTTCCCCCTTGTGATATTAATTTTAGGTGCCAATTTAACTGGATTAAAAATTACTAAGAGAACTGGTAAAGGTTTATTTCTGAGTGTGTCTCTGCAGGTGTTTCCAGAAGAGATTGGCTTTGAGTCAGTGAACTAAGTGGGGTGAATCCACCCTCAACGTGGACGGGCATCATCCAATGAGCTGGGGGCTTGGATGTAACACAAATGCAATTTCCTCTCTCTCCTAGAGCTAGGATATACTCTTCTCCTGTCCTTCAACAACAGAACTCCAGGCTCTTTGGCATTTGCACCCCACAACTTACACCACTGCTCCCCTGCCCCCACCAGGTTCTCAGGCCTCTGGCCTCAGATTGAGAGTTACACCGTTGGCTTCCCTTGTTTTGAGACATTTCGGCTTAGACTGAGCCATGCTATGGGCACTTCAGGGTCTCCAGCTTGCAGGTGGCCTGTTATGGCAGTTCTCAGCCTCCATAATCACATGAGCCAATTCTCCTAATAAATCCCCTCTCATATATCTGTACATCATATATATGTATTGGTTTTGTCTCTCTGAAGAACTCTAGTATATCCATCCAACTTAAGACATATATCTTCATGGTCTAGGTGTACCCATGTGGTTTCTAGCAATTCAGGAAAATCTCACTTAAATTAACAACTCAATATTTTCTCTTTTGTTGCTCTCTGCCTCAACCAATATATAACTAACAAATCCATGGCTTTTAGACTAATTCCTCTCTTCTGTTTAAACTGTTGGCCAAGACTAAAAATAAGTTTTGTATTTTCTACTGATTTCCAAGTTAAGGAAATGAAAGTAGATAATATAGCCCACAGGTCAGCAAAACTACAGCCTATGGACCAAATCTAGTCCAACATCTGTTTTTGTACATAAACTTTTATTGGGAATTTATTTATTTTATGTGTTGCCTATGGTTGTTTTCATGCTACAATATCAGAGTTGAATAGATTTCTCAGATAGTATGGCCTGCAAAACCAAGCCTATATACTGTCTGTCTTTTTAAAGAGAAAGTATGCTGATCTCTGCTGCAGAGACAAGAAAAATATATTAAAAAAACAGTAAGTGCAATTTCTTGCCAACACGTCGCAATATGCAGGAAGAAGCAGGTTAAGATTAGAAAGATACAGTAGATAGCATTTGAGTACTTCCATGGAAAGTTTTAAAAGTATTTACACTAGAAGTCTAACACCCACCATTATGCAATATACCCATGTAAGAAACAAGCACATATACCCTATGAATCTAAAATAAAAATTTTTAAATCCCCTGAATAATGAGGGAAAAAAGTGTTTTTGTATACTTTTGCTTATGTTGCAGGCTGCATGAAATCATTGCAAAAACCACTGTCATGAAGCTATTTCACTACGTTTCTTTCTAGACGTTGCACATTTTCAGGTCTTACTTTTTAATCTAATCAACTTTGAGTTGATTTTTTGTGTGGTGTAAGATAAAGGTACAATTTCATTCTTCTGTGTCTGGATATCCAGGTTTTTTCAACATCATTTGTTAAAGAGACTGACTTTTCCCCATTGTGTATTCTTGGCACCCTTCTCAAAGATCAATTGACTGTATATGCATGGGTTTCTCTCAGTGTCTCTATTCTGTTTCATTGGTCTATAGGTATGTTTCTATGCCAGTACCATATTGTTGTAATTACTGTAGCTTTGTAACATATTTTGAAATCAGAAAATATGTTGCCTCCAATTTTGTTATTCTTTGTCAAGAAGAAAAGGATATACTGTTGTTTGGGTTATTCAGGGTACACTGTTGGTTAGAATGCAAAGTGGTTCAGCTTCTATGGAAAACACTATGGAGGTTCTTCAAAAAATTAAAAATAGAACTACCATATATGATCCAGCAATTCTACTTTTGGATATATATCCAAAAAAATTAAAATGAGAATATCAAAGAAATATTAGCCTTCCCATGTTCTTTGCAACATTCTTCACAATAGCCAAGATATAGAATCAACTTACTGACAATGAGGGGTAGAATGATATAGTAATGGTGTGTTATACTTGGAGTAGCATGACAGGAAGTGCAGTCCCAGCTCTGTTCCTTACAAAGCTGTTGAGTTCTATGAGTTTGATGTATTTTTAACCATTTCCGTAGACAGATGAATGGATACACAAAATGTGGCATATATATATATATATATATATATATATATGTATATATATGCACCAAGTTCATGTATATATATGCCAAATATATATATATATGAACTTCAAATATTTTTCAAGTATTAGTAAAAGGGAATCCTGTCACATGCAACAACATGAATGAACCTCGACAGTATTATGCTGAGTTAAGCCAGTTACAGAGGGACAAACACTGCATGATCCCACTTACATGAAGTATCTAAACCACTCAAACTCATAGAAACAGAGAGTAGAAGGGGGTTACCAGGAGCTGGGGGAGGTGGTGATGGGGAGTTGGTAATCAATGAGTATAAAATTAGGTTAAGCAAGATGAATAAGTTCTAGAGATCTCTGTACAACATTGTGCCTATAGTAAACAATACTGTATTGCACATTTAAAAATCTTTCAAGAGGGTAGATCTCATATAAAGTATTGAAATCACAATAAAAAAATTAAATTAAAAAAACTTTTAATTTGTTTGTTTCTTCCAACTTTACAATTTACAAAATTTAGAGCTATTCATTAACCTGGGAGAACATTCATATTATTTCAACAATCATAACAAAAATTTGATAATCTAAAATAGGCAAGGCATTCTGTTAAGCTCTGAAGAAGCCAAACGGAAAATTAGTCAATAATAAATTAAATGTTCATTGTGTGTTAAAGCTCACAAAGTATTGCTGCATGTATATATGGTGTGTGTGTGTGTGTGTGTGTGTATGTGTGTGTGTGTATACATATATATATTTAATTTTATTTGGTCTTCAAAATAATCCAGAAAATAGAGAGATACAAATACATCAAACTCAGAAATCAATAACTTTGCCAAGGTTACACAGCTTTGTATGGAACACAGCAGGGACTGAACTTCCTATTGCCTTACTCCAAGCATAATAACACCATCTACTATATCATGCTATTCTTCATTGTCCATAAACAGCTAAAAAATCTTTTATACACTTTTTTAATAAAAATGTAAAAGCATCCATAACTAATTAAATCAATAACTTGAATGTATCTGTTCCCTACATAAAATTCTTCCTCCCAATATCTTAAAAGAGAAACCCCGGTCAACGTTAAGTTAAACAAGGTTAACTGAAGTTGCACAAAAATAGAAGAGCTGTTTCTTAATATTAAGTAACTGTTCAGGCTGAAATATTCAAGACTCTTTCTGACATGCTTCTGAAGCTCAGCTAAAAACAGTGGGTATTTTAAAAGACAATTTGTAAGCTTCTTACTGAGATAATTATACTTACATGTCCTTTCCAAATACTTGACAGACTTACATTACCATTGACAGAGAAAAAAAACATAAATTAATATTTAGATCAAAGGAAGGTACAAAAGTTACTGTTTCTCTATATCACTACTTGGAGTTCATACCTTTAGAAAGTTATGCTACTAAGAGATGTAATTGAGCCAGCAGTAAAGAAGGCTAATTAACCCATTTATGCTAGAGTTTGCGATTTTTTGAACTTTTGCATGAGTGAAAAATCAGACGTTGGCAATAACCTTCAGGAGTAGTACATAAAAAACTCCCACACATTTAGCATTCCAATAATGGAACACTGGGCATAAGTGGGTTAATACACAAATGCACTAACCAGCTCCAAGTGTGATCTGCTTCCTGCTAGGAAACACCAGACTCCAAAGGAGAACTTCATAATGTCCATCTGTATTGGGGGAAAAGCTGAGGTTCATGGTAGAACTAAGGAGTAATGTTCCAAAGCCAGTCCAAGAAGTGGGAAAGAAGTTTTGTCAAAAGTATCAAAAGTTAGAAACTGATTACCATCTTCAGATAGAGGCATGGAGATGTGGATAAGGATAAAGCTGGATTAGTCATCCTGCTAGGCTCTGTGTTGAAGAGATTCTTCCTATTTAAGCTAAGTCAATGTGTTTCCCATCTTAGGTACCTCAGTTATTTTAGCCCATGGACTACCTAGAGAGGACATGATGGTTCTAATATTTCATTTTAGATATAGTGAGTTTAATATAAAAAATATTGAATAATGAGGACACTATTCAATATTCATTCTCCTTCCCTTACTTTTCTGTACATTTGTCTAGATCACATATCATTGCTACCCAATAATATAGTCATGATATCTTGGTGTATGCTACTGCTAGTACGATTCCAAGACTTACTAAGCAGGCAATTCTGGAATTGTCATGTCTTCCAATACCTACCTAGCAAAGGTATGCTAGTGTAACAGATATGGGGAACTCCCCACAGATAAACATCTGATTCCTTAGAAATATATTTCAAGTGCATATTTTCATTTTGGAATATTCAAGATAAAATCTGGTATAAAATCAACATTTTTCTAATCTTTTTTTATATACTTTAAGTTCTGGGGTACATGTGCTGAATGGGCAGTTTTGTTACATAGGTATATACATGCCATGGTGGTTTGCTGCAACCATCAGCCCATCACCTACATTAGTTATTTCTCCTAGTGCTGTCCCTCTCCTTGTCCCCCACCCCCCGACAGGCCCCAGTGTGTGATGTTCCCCTCCCCTGTATCCATGTGTTCTCATTGTTCAGCCACCACTTAATGAGTGAGAACATGCGGTGTTTGGTTTTCGGTTCTTGTGTTAGTTTGCTGAGAATGATGGTTTCCAGCTTCATCCATGTCCCTGCAAAGGACATGAACTCATCCTTTTTTATGGCTGCATAGCATTCCATGGTGTATATGTGCCACATTTTCTTAATTCAGTCTATCATTGATGGGCATTTAGGTTGGTTCCAAGTCTTTGCTATTGTAAATAGTGCCACAATAAACATATATGTGCATGTGTCTTTACAGTAGAATGATCCATAATCCTTTGGGTATATACCCAGGAATGGGATTGCGGGTCAAATAGTATTTCTGGTTCTAGATCCTTCAGGAATCGCCACACTGTCTACCACAATGGTTGAACTAATTTACACTCCCACCAACAGTGTAAAAGCATTTCTATTTCTCCACATCCTCTCCAGCATCTGTTGTTTCCTGACTTTTTAATGATCGCCATTCTAAGTGACGTGAGATGGTATCTCATTGTGGTTTTTACTTGCATTTCTCTGATGACCAGTGATGATGAGCTTTTTTCACATGTTTGTTGGCTGCATAAATGTCTTCTTTTGAGAAGTGTCTGTTCATATCCTTCGCCCACTTTTTGATGGTGTTGTTTGCCTAATCTTTTCAGTGTGACATAGACTAGAAGAATATATACCAGACATATGTCTGGAGGTGTGATTAGCGAGAGAGAAATGAGACCTTTTCTTTTTATGTTTTATGCTTTAGTGTTGTTTGAATTTTCCCTACTAAGCACACATTATTTTTGCAATTAAGAAGGAGGCTACAGATCTCCTTCTCATCTGAAACTCCTACACAAAATTTGTCTCCAACACAGCTGGGCCACTCAGGCCCACCAGATGTTCCTGCTAAGCTCCAGGGGTTTTAGTGCATCTTCATAGTGGCAATTCTCTTGTTATATTCCTTTTCTTTTGTTGCCTTTGTTGTCTTTCCACCAGACTATAAACTTTAAAAGGGCAAGAATTAATCTTTGGCTTTTAATATTTATAATCCCAGAGACAGGAACAGTGTTTAACACACAGGAAATATTCAAGGCACTCAATAAATCATGATTAAATCACAACAAAAACTATCACTATCTGATACTTACTGAACACATTTAAGAGCCAGGCACTGTGTTAACCAAATTATATCCATTATTTCATATAATTCTCAAGAAAGCACCGTGGAGTATACACTATTACAATTTCCATTTTATTGATGAGGAAGATTTAATTTACAGAGTTAAGTAATTTGCCAAAGTGGCAAAGCTGGGATCTGAACCAAGGCAGTTTGAGTTCATAGTTTGTGCTCATGGCTTCTACATCACACCAAATAAATAACTAGGCACAAATAAATAAACATGCAAGATTTTCATAGCTAAAGATGAACTCTATTCACGAGAGATAGGTGGACTAAGGTAGAAAATAAAACCATTCAAGGAAACCACTGACAGGGGTGGGGAGAGTATCACAAAAATAGGTGTCACCATTATTGGAAAAAGCAATTCAATCTAAATGGCCTAATGACTTTCTACAGCTGTCACACATGAAAGCGTATGCCCTATGTTTGATGTATTGCCTCCAGAAACCTCCCTATACTGCTAAACTGTTTACACAAATAATGCGTTTTTTAATCGACATTTTTCACATTTATTAATCTTGATATAAAATCAAGATTCTATATATAATCTTAAATATATGTAAAGAGACTATATATGAACTTAAGGTGACTATCTCTCTGGTGATTAGAAACAAATACCTATTGCTAAGACATACAGTTTTTATTAACAATTCCATTTTTATTCACTGATACAGCAATAGTATGGAAAATAATCCACCTACAACTTTAGAAAAGAAAGAAATATTTCCATAAAGGTATAGGTTGTCTACTAATCTATGATTCTTCAGTAAGGAAAAATTATAATTCTTTAACAAGAAAAAGGTAAGAATATCCATAATACACTAATAATTTCTAGAGGTAACATCAGAGGGATACTGATGATTTTTCACAAATGGCTCTTATTTGGTGACAACTAAACCCTTGTACAGAGCCTAAGACATTTAATTGTACTGCTCAATCCCTTGTCTATTAAACAGCAGCATCGGTCAGACCCCAAGCAGTAAAGACAGGTGTACAATACTATTTTAATTTGGGAAAATTCAGTGTTCAAATTAAACCAGGCTAAAGGGCTTCAAAGATTTCTGAACACCTTCTGCTCAAGCTACCAACAACTCAGAAACAGTGTACAAATACCCTCTGTCCTCAAAAGAACCACCTACTGGACTCCCATTTGAGAACTATAAAATAAAACTCTTAGCTGCCATGCTCTAAAACATTTTACTCATCAAATATTTAACAGGGTCCTGGACATGAGTTTCTTTTCATATCTCCCTCCTTTCAGGACAGAAACCATCTCTAATTATTAATCTACCAAAAAATGACATAAATGAATGCATGATCTTCAAGAAGAAGAGAGCCATATGGATACATTGGCTTCTATTATTCAGAGCTACTGCACCAATCATTAAAAAAAAAGAATTTATTAAACAAGCATCATTTGTAGTTTTACTGGGGAAAACTCAATTTAGTTCTGTTTTTCTTCCTATAAAGATTCATCGTTTGCTGGAACCTAATATGATTCAACCAGCTATGATAGGCTAATATTGATTTCCACATCTTCAATAGTACATTTAAAATCAACAGGCTTTGAAATGTTCAATTTCTAGTGACAAATGGATTTTTTTGCTAATACCAGAAAGTTGTTTTTAATAAATTAGGGTATTTTGACATTTTACAATATAGTCCTTAGACTCAAAGACAAATTGTCATTTAAATATTTTGCAGTGAGAGAAGACTCATGATTCTCTATTTCCGATTAGTCTGCAATATCAATACTAGTTAAAGAAAGCCTTGTGCTGTACTCACCAGCACAAAATGACTGCGTCATGAGCAGTACACACTTCTTGACAACAGCATCGATCCTCCCCTGCCTGATTCCTCCCTGGAGCCAAGAAGTGATTCTGTTTTCTCTGAATACTTCTTGGAATTCTCCTGAACAGTCAGGCCCATGAACTAAACAAAATCCAATTATGTGAAGTGATTTATAAAGCAGATTACATTTCTTTAGTAGGGCAACCATTTGTTTCTGCTTGTTTTGGCAGTCCCAGTTTACATTAACTCCCTCATGTAACAGTAAATTCATCTTTTTTCACTCTCAAAGTGTCCTAGTTTAGATGATAAGTTATATGGTCATCTTCTTCACTAGGGACTAAAAAGAGTCCATTCCCTTACTTCATTGAGGTTGCTAACCACATGGAGCCCGAGATTCCAAAATTCTATAAAATGGTATTTCACCAAGACAGAGGAAAAATGATGCTGGACTTCATTTCTGACTGGGCAGAGAAGATCTATGAAACAGAAATACAAGTGTCCCAATAAAAATGTTGATGCCTTAACAATTTCATTTGTGGTTGCCTCACATTGACTTGCTGGAGTTTAGTGCTTTGCATTCATTTTATGGTTTTCTAAAACAATGCTTCTATTTGAGTCATAACAAATTAATAAGAAAAAGCAATTAACTAAAAATAATATTTCGGTGGAACTAATGGGTCTAAGTATTAGTAGAATCAGCTTATTTTTACTGTTTGATGTTATAGATAAGCATACCCATTTGGGTCCACATTATGAAAATGACTGCATTCCTAGCTATGAGATCCAGAGAATCAAGCAATTGCCTTGTGATTTTAATCAATGCTGACATCAAGGTAGAAATTTCAGGCCCTCCCCAGTCTCATCTTTTACAACATTTATTTGTAAATTCAGCTGAATTCTCTGAAAAAGTACTCTGAAAGCCTACTTTTTGCCTTGTCAATATAATCTAAATGACTGTGACTATAAATAACGTAACGTAATACAAATAATGTAACTATTTTTATCTGAGTCATTTAAAATAACAAATAAAACTATCATGCATGTCATAAACAAGGACACAACTATTTCTACAAGAAGCTAGATATTATTTTCTCAAGAGAAAAACACTTTGACCAGTGATTTGAGTCAGATTATCCCCCTTTAGTCTATTCTCCAAGCAGCAGAAAGAGTGATTCTTTAAAAATGCCAATCAGATCATACTACTCCATGGCTCGCCATCCTTCTAAAATGAATCCAAAGTCCTTTCTAGGACCCACAAGGCTCTGAAAACCTCTCAGATCTAATCTTACTTCAGTTTCCCTCCTTCAGTAAAGTCCCAACCATGCTGGCTTCTTGTACTTCCTTGAACTCACCTATCCATTTTAGGTTTGCATTTGTTATTCCTTTGGTTTGAACTCTCCTTTCCTCAGAGATTAGTATGACTCTTTCCCTGTCTTCCTTAATTCATGAGTCTCTTCAAACATCTTTTTGTTACAGAAGTTTTCAGTGAACATCCTACAGCCCCAGACCCTTACCATTTCTCTCTACCCCCTTTTCTGCTTTGTTTTTCTTCATAGCACTTCTTACCCATGACATTGCATTATGTGTTATATATTTGTTTATTGTCTGCTTCTAACCACTAGAATGTAAGCATCATGAGGGCAGGAACACTGTCTCTTCTGTTCACTTACGTCTCTCCGGTATCTAGACCAGTGCTTTTTAAATGAATGGCACTAAGGTCTACACGGTCAGTGAACTGATTAAATGATATTTAACCTGATCACCCAAAAATTTGTGTTACAATGTTTTACCCTGTAAATCTAAAGTCCAAAATTTCCCCATTGCACATGAACTTTAAATCAATTTTCTCTAAAACAGTTTTTCATGCTGTGTTGATAAGAGTATAAACGTACACAAACCTCTTGAGAGGAAAATTTGGCAGTATATATTGGAACTAAAAATAACAACCACAATAACAACAATAACAAACTTGACCCAATATTTCCACTTTTAGCTATCTATTCTACAAAAATAAACACACAGGTGTACAAAGGTATGTGTGCAAGGATGTTCATTAAAGCATTTTGAGTTTTACAAGCTTGTGTTATTTCCATAATTTCAAACAAATCTTTAAAAGAAGTTGATTTTTCCCAGAGAGTAATGCCAAAGCAATTCTAAGGAGAGCAGATCACAGTTTTATTGAAATGTTTTTAAAGGTAATGCTGAGCAAAGTGACTGCTAATTGTAATGCCCCATTCTGGGATGTCTCATCTTATCTGTCATACCAACAAGCCCTTACCAACAGGTTCCTTATAAGTACAAGGTATGCAGCAGATGACTGGTCTATCTAGCCACAGCTGACAGGACCAGGGAAGGATGCCTACCCCAAAGGTAGTAGATCAGCTGGTTGACCAGCTGTCTGTCATGTGGATAGGTCCTAGATCTGTATCTCAAAGGGTGATACTCAGATTTCTCTCAGGTAATTCAGACATGAGGCACATCCAAGAAGTCAGCAGTTGGCAGTGGGGCAAAAGCCAATCAAAGCACAGATCGGCAAAAGCAATGTGCAAAAGAGAATGCAAGTGACAGAAAATGGAAGTCCTGCAACACTGTCATTCCCATTCTGCAGTAAAGCTAGGCTGAGCCTTGGCTCCTACTGCCCTACTTCCCCAGGTACCCTTAAGTGCTCTTTAAGCTATATTTCACTACATATCTGCTTTTGCCACCTAAAGGAGTGTAACTACCAGAACATTAAATGGAAGATTGGATTAATCCTTCAATTAATCCTTCAAGGGGTCTAACCTCAAATACTACTGAAACCTACAGTAAGTATAAATAAGTCCTAAAAAACAGGACTGTTTGCTTGATCATTTTATGAAATATCAAATTCTTTCCAAGAAAATATTTTTGGTGACCTATATTTTAGTTTAGCTTACCTAATAATATCCAGTAATATCCAGAGGAAAGATGGGACTGAAAAATCCACAGCACAGACCAAAGCACCTTGCCTGTCACAAGTCAGGGGACCAGTAGACTAAGGGCTTCTAGTAGTTGACAGCATATTTTTATAATTTTTTAATATACTCTGGCATTTTAAAAAAATTGAGTCACAGAGAAAAGATGTACATGCATCAGTAAATAATATTCTATTCCCTACATACCCCTTAACATTTGACATTGTTAGCAAATCATTATCAGACTGTATGTGTTCAATTATTAATATAAAATCCAGGAAGCCAAGGATCTTCAGGTGCCAAAGTTTCAAAGGGAAAGAAGTTTTTAATTTTCTTTAAAAACATCAAATGCTGAAAAATGATTATTTTTGAATCAATTATCAAATAGTTTTAGAGGCCACACAGTTGGAAGGTCCTTTATTTACATTTTTCATTGCTACATGATAGAGGTGTACCAAAGGGGGACAGATAGACCCATATGACCCTGGTGTCAATTCGCAGACTTTACACATGGGGTGCAGCAGTGGAAAGAGAGGAGGCAGACCTTTTACATCATCCAACTCCTGTTCCCTCAACTCCCAACTTTGCATCATTAACCCTTGCTCTGGCTCTGTTTCTGCTGTAAACCCAATATTTACATGTGCTGAGGAAAGCAACAACTTGTACTTTTCCTCAGAAAGGTCTGTTGTAGGATTTCTGATTGCACAAAGCATTTTATGTCTGATCAAGCATTGCAGTTTCACATTGTTGACTGTTCAGCTAGTGACCAATAATGATCCATCTGAGTTAAAAGCTGTGTTATCTTTGGATTTATAATATAAAATGGATCCCTTGGTATTCCTAATCCTGTTAGATTGCTTTATGTAGATGAAATTTTTGCCTGCTTTGGTGCTGCATTCTTTTGGGTTTTAAAAATAGCTTTATTAAGATATAATTCATATAACAGAGAATTTATCCATTTAAAATGTACAACTCAATGTTTTTAGTACAGTATGTTCACAGAGTTGTGTAACCATCACCACAATATAATTTTAGGACATTTTCATACTCCCCCAACACAACAAAAACCTTATACTCATTAGCAGTAACTCTCATTTCCCTTCTTCCATACCTCTGGGAATCACTAATCTATTTCTGTTTCTAGGAATTCACCTATTCTGGACCTTTCATATAAATGGAATCATACATATGTGGTCTTCTGTGACTGGCTTTCTTCACCTAGGGTAATGTTTTCAAGGTTTGCTGACATTCTTTGAATGGGATTTGCATCGTATCTATATACTGTTTTGCAAATACTAAAAATGTATTTTGGATATTTGTGATATATATCAAATGGCTTTCTAAATGTACTGCTCTTCCCAGTTTCTGCCACAAAGCAAAAGGCTGGATAGGCTCTTGAAAAAAAAACAGTCACCAAGTTCTTCTAGTTTAGAATGTACATTCTATAAGAAATGATAGCTAAGTTATTTTATACTAATAGACTTACCCCTGACTAAATCATAGCATTATATATCCTCCCCTAAATGCTCACTCCATTAAAATAATCAAAATCAAAGAACCTCTTATAACTTAAAATATAAACAACCCAATACAAAATGTGCAAATGATCTGAACAGTTATCTCACCCAAAAAGAGATATGAATGGAAAGTATGCACATGGACAGATACTCAATATCACTAGCCTTCAGAGAAATGCAATTCAAAACCACAATGAGATTCTACTTCTCACCCACTAGGATGGCTATAATAAAAAATATTCACAATACCAAGTGCTGGCAAGGATGCAAAAAAAACTAGATTCCTTATGCATTGCTGGCAGAACATGAAATGATACAGCCACTTTCTAAAATAGTTTGGCAGTTTCTTACAAAGTTAAACATGAACCTACCATAACACTCAGCATCCCACAGATACAGTTGTCCCTCTGTATTTGTGGGAGATTCATTCCCACAAATATAGATACCAAAATCCCCCCACAGATACCAAAATCCACAGATGCTCAAGTTCTTTACATAAAATGATGTAGTATTTGCATATAACTATGCACATCCCCAATATCCTTTAAATTATCTCTAGGTTACTTATTCCTAATACAATATAAATGCTATGTAAATATTTGTTTTACTGCATTGTTTAGGGAATAATGACAAGAAAAAAGTCTGTGTTTTTTTTTTTTTTCAGTACAGACACAACTATCATTTGTTTTCTCTCTCTCTGAATATTTTCCACCTTCAGTTGGTTGAAATCAGGGATACAGAACCCATGGATACAGAGGGCCAACTGTATACCCGATAGAAATGAGAATATGTTTCCACCAAAAGACCCAGATGTTCATAGTATTTATACCAATACCTGTAGAATTACTCATAATATCCCCACACTGGAAACAATCCTAATATGCATCAAGTTGTGAATGGATAAACAAAATGTGATAAGTCTATAAAATAGATTATACTCAGGAATAAAAATAAACTAATAACATGCACAATATAGAGAAACCTAAAAAACACTGTTAGCAACAGCAACAAAAAAACACAGACATCAAAGACTATATATTGTATAATTCCATTTAAATAAAATTTCTGGAGAAGGCTAAACTCTAGAGACTGAAAGCAGACCTGTGGCTGTCTGGGGTTGGGAGTTAAAGTAGGAGTTTAATGCAAATGGACAAGAGAGAACTTTTGAAGGTAACAGGTAAGAGAAGTGTTCAAAAACTAGATTGTTGTGGGGGTTGCACAATTGTATACATTTATACTAAAACTCATTGAACTGTATATTTTAAATGGGTGAATTGTATGGTAAATAAATTATACCTCAATAAATTTTTAAAAGACCTTCACTGATATCATGTAGGCTACTAATGAGCACTCAATCCTGACATGAAAATTGTTGCTACGAATTTCTACAGCAATAAGTTCTCACATTATTTGGTATCAGGACTCCTTCACATTTTACAAAATAATTGAGGATCTCAAAAAACTTTTATTTATGTGGCCACTATTTACCAGTAATTATCACATTAGAAATTAAAATAGAAAATTGTTTTAAAATTTCATTTATTGATTCAATTTAAAATACCAATAATAAACCCTTATGTTAACAAAAAGAATACGATTTAAATAAAAATTATAGTCCTTTTCCAAAAGCAAACAATAAATAGTAAAAATAATGATTTTTTTTTTTTACATTTTTGCAAATCTTTTTAGTTTCTGGCTTAATAGAAAACAGCTGGATTCTCATATCTGCTCCTGCATTCAATCAACTCCAATATTACATATCTGGAAAATTCCACTGTACACTCACAAGAGAATGAGAGTGAAAAACGGCAAGTAACACTTTAGTATTATTAGGAAAGTAGTTTTAATCTCATAGGCCCCCAGTGGGGATCCCCTGGGATCCTCTGGCCATGCTGTGAGAACTGCTAGCCTAGAATCTGCTCTAAAACTGACTGAGGTTCATTTCAGTGAGATTAGTTAATATGTGTACTATCATTAATACAAATACTTTAGGATCAAGTTTTTTTAGAAAACAGGGTCAGAAAACTTCCTCAATGTAGTAGTCAAAGCATTTTGGCTACCACATTGTATAGGCCTGGCTACAACTTGTTTAAAGAAAGCGATCACAATGAGACACATCATGCCACACAGTATTTACTTGCTGAATGTCAACAATTGTTCTTGATTTATCAGCAAGTACAATAAATACGACATTACTAAAGGCTGCTTAAACACCTGATTGTTACAATCTTATCATCTAAAGCTTTCATTCTTGTCACTGATTCGGAAGTTTCTGTTTCATATCCTTTTCAGTTTTCTCCCATCTCTATGAGTACAAAAGAGTCCTCTTAGTTTCTGCATTTGCTTCTAAAATAGTTAAATGTTCTTGAATTTTTTTAAATGAACCTTAACATCATAATCTTAATCTTAAAATAGTCATGCTACTTTTAATATCTGATCAATAATGATTTAATGATCATTTTAGACTATATGGTTAATTTAAATTAATATTTATCCTATACTTCACAATTAAAGAATAACAATATGATCAGTAAGTTTATCTATATTCCTTACAACCTGAAAGGTTAATGATGCTCACTAAAGATGTACCAGCTCATTTGGAATGTCTCCAAAACTTTGGCCCTCATGGACTTCAGATGTATTTCCCAAGTAATGTAGGTAACAGAACTCTAGATATTTAAAACTTGAACTCAGAAACAACAGTAAATACTTACCTGACAATATCTCCTTCAAGAGCAATCACTCTCTTAATGATCTTCTGTTCTGGGTTTTTAGGAGACCTAGAACAAGAAGATAACATTATACAATCAGTTATGTCTATGTTGTTTTAGGAAGATGAAAAGAAATTCTATAACAAAATAGGCTATATTAAAGTCTTTACAGATTCCTTTGCACCCCATGACATGACATCAGTCTCACTTCGGTTCCAAGTGACATGAAGTGACTACTGAAGTAATTCTCATTTTAAATAAACTCTGGGGGGGAAAAAAGCCATGTTAAAACTTTACAAAAATAAAAAATACAGAGGAATAAAACATTTTCTTATTAAGGAATAAAGTTTATTATTAAATTATTATTGTTGTTAAAGATAGGTTCTGATATGGTTTGGCTCTGTGTCCCCACCCAAGTCTAATTTCGAATTGTAATCCCCATGTGTAGAGGGAGGGGACCTGGTGGGAGGTGACTGGATTATGGGGTTGGATTCCCTCATGTTGTTCTCCCTCATGTTGTTCTCACGAGATTTTATGATTTAAGAGTGTGGCACTTCCCCTTCGCTTGCTTGCTCTCTCTCCTGCCGCCATGAGAAGATGTGCCTCACTTCCCCGTATCCTTCTGCTACGATTGCAAGTTTCCTGAGAACTTCACAGCCATGTGGAACTGAGTCAATTAAACCTCTTTTCTTTATAAACTATCCAGTCTCAGGTAGTATCTTTATAGCAGTGTGAGAACTAACACAAGTACTTAGAGGAAAGAGGATTAGTACATAAGAAAATGCTTACACATTTCTTTAAAATGATAACATACTTCAGTTTTTTAAAATTTCATTTAAAATTAAGAAAGGAGTTTTTATTTAAATCCCATAAAAACAATGAAGATGCGAAGCATTTCCTTTAAAAAATAAAGAATTAGAGAATTCTTTGAAACTACATTTGGGTTTAGCCATTTGATGATTATAGAATTCAGAGCGCTAAAACAGGGCTACTGACAGTTAAAATAAATTGACAGGTTTTGATATACTTAATACAGACATCATTTATTTCAAGCTACTTGATTATGGTAAATTTTAACTTAGAGTAATACTCTGTACTCTAAATAAATCTCTGCCTCTCCTGGTATGTATATCCTATGCAGTTCCTTTCCAGACTGTGATAGGATTCATCTGTGAGGTCAATAGTTTATGGTAAAACTGATGGTGCATCACTTTTGAGATTATGTTATAAAACAGACTTACAGGCTCTCCCTCTTTCTCTCCTTCTCTCTCTCCCCTCCTTCCTTCCTCTTTCTATTTTTTCCTCCAACATCTCTTTCATGGATCACTCTAGAAGTCTGGTCTGTCCTGAGCAGCCTAAGGAGAGACTCGTGGTGAAGAAGGAAGGTCGGCTAACAGTCACATTAGTGAGCTTCAAAGCACGTACTTAGTCAAGTCTTCAGAGACTGTGGCTCTGGTCAACAGTTTGACTGCAAATTCGTGAGAGACCTTGAGTCAGAACCACACAGCTAAGATGCTTCTGGTTTCCTCACCCTCAGAAAATATGTGAGATAATAAACGTTTGTTGTTTTAAGATGCTAGACATTGGGGTAATTTGTCATGTAGCAATGGGTAACTCTATCTTAATATGGTCAATTTCCTGCCAATAACATTTTAAGTCTTTTGATTTAACAGACGCATTTCAAGAAACATCTCATGCATCACACAAATGATCATTTAATATGTATTTCAAAATCATGCATAGATAAAAATATTTTAAATTCAAGTCACATTTTGAATTGAAGTACTTTTTAAAAGGAATGTAAATGTGCAAAAACTGAAAAGATCAAATATATTCAAACTGTACATTTCATCAAAGGAAATGTGCACTTTCAATAAGATTTATATTTCACAATATGTCTTGCAGAGAAAATGAAATCACGTAAGCTAGTTGCATTTATTTGTAACAATTAGTTTCACAGTTTTTCACTAAGTTAACTTTTTTATTTTAAAATGAAATTTGATCAGAGTTTTGATTGGCCTCATCCCTTTATTAAATCAAGTAAATATTATATTTCTATAACTTTAATGTCATTAATGTACAGCTGAAGTGAGGGGTATGGGCATATTCAAGCTAATGAAATTAAGATACTCTCTGCAGGGTTACTTATAGACCTTTTAGAAAAGTGCCCCTCCCATGTCTCCTATTTTAAAAACTAGGAAAGTATAAAATATTATTCAGCCTCAGTGGTCATCAAATAATTGCATATCAAAATAATGGATATTAAAACACTTTCTTACTATATTGACAAAGATGTACTACTAATAATAAAAATAAATTGCTGTTGAGGGATTAGGGACATTGGTACTCTCTATATAAACTGTTTGGTCATGTAACATGCCTTTCTATAACACAATATCAAGATTTTATATTCTTTTAAACATAATAATCATACTTCCAGAAATGTATCCTAATGAGATGATTACGAATGTATGCCAAATTTTGGCCACATGGATAGTTAAAGCATTACTGTCTATTTTAAAAAAGAAAAAAATTCAACAAGAGCAGACAGGTTAAATAAACCATAGTCCCACTCACATGATAAAATACAGTCATTAAAAATGATGTTATAGAAGAATATTTAGTGATATGGAAATATCAACAGAATGTATGGATTGAAACCGTATGTTAGAAAATATTATTTGTGGCATGACTTCACATCTGTAATAGCAGAGAGAGAAATGTGCATCCATTTTTACTGGGAACTAAGCAAGAAGATTCTAAAACAAAAGGAAAAGGAAAAGTTCTGTGTGGATAAAAGCTTTCATGCCCAGATTTTTGGTCCACATTATTGGGATATCCTTTAGCGGATGACAACTATTTGTGTTATATGACATTACCCAAGAAGACATGCTCCAAGATAGAGGTAAGACCTGAATTAATTATCAAGTTTACTGCCTAATATTGAGGTGAGATTAACATTAATGAAATAATATAAAAAGCAACACCTATCAGTGTAAAAAATATTTTATGCCAACAATGTTTAAGCTTTTGAGATTCTTAAAAGGTATTCTATATTTTAAAATAATCTATATTTTAAGATCCTGAGGCAAAATAGAGTATGCAAAGGGAGCTATCTATATAATTAAAGTTTTACAAATTACTACTTCAAATATATCTTTAAATTTTAATGTAATATTAAACTCATGAATCTAATCAAATAATTTCAGAATGAAAAAAGCTATTACTAACATTAATTCCATTACTGCTCAAAATCTATATCTATATTTTAATCATTAGGCTGTTGAATGCATTACTTTGATCTCAGCAGAAGTGCTCAGAGAGTTATACAGATTTACATCATGAAACTTATTAAACTTCTCTTCGTCTTAATTTTCTTGGCCACTTTCCTATCTCCTAGAAAATGTGAAGAATAACAAGTGAAGGATTATGTTTTACTTGAGGAATACAATGGATGTTCCCCAATAAATACTAAAATTTACATTTAAATTTGTAAGTTTAGTGTTTTCATAATAAGTAATGTTTTACAATATTTGTTTCTGGGATGTGGATTTTAAACATTCTGTTTTATGCTTATGATTTAATTTGGCAAGATTTCTCCAGAGACTTGGATGAGGAGCCTAGAATTGTTTCTTTACTGCATGAGTCTTAGCAGCTCTGTGTGGTATGGCAGAGAATGTCTGTAACCAGAATGGTTGCAGGCCAAGGAGTGGGGTCTAATGTAGACATAATAGAATTTCCAGTCTCTGTCACTAATTTCATGTTTTTTTATGTTCCCAAAAAGTTATAATTTTCACCCTGTTGGGAGCACTTGAAAGCTACTTTGGCATACTCAAGAGACCCCTCTAGTATTGTGGGGATGGAGAGATTAGCATATGTCCCACCTTCTCTTTTCCTGACCACCCCCACCCTGATCCTGGTGTCACATAAATAACTTAACCCTAGGTCTAAGCATTCTCTTCTCCCATTTATGATAAAATTTTAAAACTTCCCTCTGTGACTTGGGTAGATTTTTATATTCATATGGTTCAGAATTGGCCCAGATTATCACAGAATTAAAGTAACCTTAGCCACAGTCTAATGTAATCACTGAACCTTTAAAAATACTACCATGTATTGGACACTATTTACATTGCATATATCCCAAGAGGCCTAAATCTAATGCTTTATTATTGAGGTGAAAGGAAAAACGAATATTCTGGGGATGGCTTCTATTACAAGAGAATGTTTTTCACTATCCTAAAGGATAAAGCATGCATTAAGCCATATAACTTTACATCATTATAATTTTAAAAATATATGTTTTTCTATTCTTTTATCATGAAAGTAGAACGAAAAGTCCACTCAACACAATGATAAAAAGTATTATCAAATGATAGCTTATCACCTCCTTTCCCTGTCAAATTTGAAAAAATGTTGCCAGAGTTTAGCATGGTTTTCACAATGGCTAGAGCTAAAAGGCTTTGGAGTATATCTGGCTCTTCCTCTGCTTCTTTTAATATTGCCCATTCTCTATTACCCAAATTTTCCACTTGGTGACCATGTGATGGTCCTCTTGTGCCCTGCAAATCCATGGACTGGAGAGAAATGGAAATAGAGTCTTGCTGTTACTATTCCTCTCTGCTGTAAGTGAGCTGCTCCCTGTAGGCAAGCTACATAACCTATCTGGGACTCATTTTCAGGAAGGTAAGATTAGATCAGAAATCCTAAACCAGTGGCCAGACCATCAAATCTGGCTTACAGGAATATTTTGTTTGATTCATGCATTAAAAAAAAAAAAAATTTGGAGCTAGCTAAGCAAATAGGAGACGTCATATAAATTTATTTCTCTTGAAAAAACAGGTAGATCTGGCAACCCTAGTAGCACATTCTTGCATGAGAAAAGTCCACTGGAGGCTGGGTGCAGTGGCACATGCCTGTAATCCCAGCAGTTTGGAAGTATGAGGAGGATGGATGGCTTGAGCCCAGAAGTTCGAGACCAGCCTTGGGCAACATGGTGAAACCCCGTCTCTACAAAAAATACAAAATTAGCCAGGCATGCTGACATGTGCCTGTAGTCCCAGTTACTCAGGAGGCTGAGTTAGGTGGATTGCTTGAGCCAAGGAAGTAGAGGCTGCAGTGAGCAATGTTGACGCCAATGCACTCCAGCTTGGGCAACAGAGTGAGACCTTGTCTCAAAAAAAAGTCCATTAGAATTGAGAAGCAGACGATTTGCCACAGTCCCGCCAGCTTGTTTCACAAATGTGTAGTACCTGAGGGCATATGAGTCTAGAAATCTTGAAAAATGTTCCTACCTAGAGCATCATGTAACTAGTGAGAGAAAACGCATAAAAGGTCTAGCAGGAATTCTATCACATCGTAGGTACTCAGTAAATTTTAGACACCCCTTTCTATAATAAATTCATAAAGGAGATCAATTAACTGGGCCTAAGACAAGAGTTACAATCCTTTTTTAAGACTTACATGGATAGACTATATTTAAGCCCTCTAATAAAAGAATTTTCAGGTTCTCTTTCATGGGAGAACAAGAAAAGCATTGTAAAGGTTTGGTCAACTTTTATTACACAATTAGCTAAAGAAACAGCAAAACTAAATATAACTGAATCCATATTGAAAAGCACAGGTTTATTTTAAATTAGATAGGTATTATCTGTAAAATCAAGATAAAAACGAATAATTTTTAGTTTTGGATTCTGTACACTTGCTTCACTATCAGTAGTGTGAACTTTGTACATACTGCCTCATTTTTAATGATTCATTTATAAAATTCAATACCGTTTCATTAATTAGCACTCTCAAAATTTTTATGTAGGTCAGTAGTATTTCAGCTACCTTTTTCCCCTTGCATCATGTAAATCTTTCAAAATTAAACAAAATAAACTATAGACTTTAGTTGTTTTTGGGGTTCATTCATAAAATCCTCTCAAGCACGGAGCTTTGTAGTTTCAGAAAATGATATATGTATATACAATGCCTAACAATCACTTTTGTCCTGATATCCCCGAGAATGCTCCCAACCAAGAGCCTCATTACTGGCAAAATGACGTACAGATGAAGTGGCAAGAACCCATGTTAATGTTTCAAATTTGTCTTATTTTCTAGAAGGGGAAGGAAAGATCATGGGAAAGGAAACCTCAGGCAGGGGCTGAAGATTTTTAAGTGTATAGAAAACTTTAATGAAAATAGAGTCAAATTTCAAGCAATGTGACTTACACAGTCTCATTTTGTGGGGTGGGGATGGAATAAGAAAGGTATGGTTTATCTACATTGGCCATTCTCTCAGAGCATACCCTACCTGAATCAGGCTACTAAGCAGAAATAGAATCTTTCAGGACACTGGAGAGATTCCAGTCAGGTTTCTAGAGACCTAAGAAGGCAGCAGCAGAAATATCACCTTTATGTTTCAGATTTATCTTCTACAATTCCTTACACAGGAAAATGTATTTTAACAGTACTGATGAAACAACAACAGAATGAACTTTAAAGAACTGAACTGTTGTTTATTGATAAAAAGTGTTCTTGGTTAAATGTTGGAGTTATTTCACTTTCACCAAATGTGATTAGGAAAAATTTAATAAGCAAATAGTGACAACTGGTCTTATTAGTGAATCAGCCTGGATTATGTAAAATCAATTAAATTTGTATTTATGACTCTAACTTCTATAATTGAAAAGAGCTGTGTAATTGAGTATTTTTGATCCTGAAAAACAAATGTCTTCATTTAACTATGAAAAACTTAAGGAATTTAGTATAATCATAACAATAAATTAATTTCCAACAGTTTGTTAACTCAAGCATTTCAAAACACAGAATAGTGCAATCTTCAAGTATTTAATATAATTACAATTTACCTCACCATCTAGAATAATTTGTATGTAAATGAATATATACAGCACAGAAACAATATACAGCACATATGTAAAATGTGTGTGTGTGTGCACATGTATTCTACCACGTAACATGGAGTTATGGCTTTTAAAGGAACTTTAAAAAGGATCTATAAAGAAACTTCTGGTTGTGAAAATCATATTCCCTAATTTATTTTGTAAAACTTGATTTTAATATATTGAATATGCTTAAAGTTGAACATATCTGTGGAAATGAAGGACGTGAATGCTAACATAAATTTACATACTGACTACTCTTTCAATACAGATTCCCAAGTGCAGACCTTCATATAGAAGCACCACCGCTCTGTTCCCAAAGATGGACATGCACTCGGAAGCATTCTTTCCCCTTAGTCAAGCTAGGTTTCAACCCCTCATCCAAACTACCTCACTGAGTATGGCTTTGCATGGAATACCACTTAACATCATGGAATAAAACAAAATTAACTGCTCTTCCAAGGAATAAATCCATCAATCTAGCCTCATAACCGTAACACTTCAGTTAAGCTAACCAGCTTTAGATATTTGGTTTCAGTCAGGTTGGGAAATAGTACCACATATTTTTGGTAGGTTTGAAGGATATTCATACCACAAAACACCCTGAAAGAGCAAGCTATTTGTATTTTCTATATCAAACCATATCCATTGCCATCTATATGGCACAGAGAAGGCAAACCAACTGAATTGCAGAATGAATACTAGTATACAAGAACTGAGGTTGGGACCTTTAAGTCAATGTCCATGCAAAATATTAGAAGTACCTGTAGCCACCTGGAGAATGTTATTGAAGAATGGCACAGCAGTCAGCTTGTGCCCAACACAGCTTACTCGCCAGTTTGCCATGATATCAGTGATATTGTAGGGTATGAGATGCCAAGCTTAGGGTAGAAAGCATCTTGGTAAAAGTGAAGAAAGTAAGCATAAGGCTAGTCTTGAGCATTTTACCTTCAGCATTTTATGGTTACCATATGATATTTTTTCAGGGTGAGGAAAGACACGGATGGGAACGGAGACACTTCAGTGGTTGCCAGCATTGGGGATTGTTAGTAAAGGAACCTTTACAACTGAGAATCAGACAGGCCAACATGCCATCCCATGGATGCCAGCAAGGAAAGGTGTCCATCAAGGTGCAGGGTCCCTCCCCTGATGCCGTCACACAATAAACTTCTGGAGCTTAGATGTTGTTCTGACAAGATAAAGAACTATAAACAGACTTAATTTGTTTTGAGTTGCCTCAGAAAGCTCTTACATTTATCCTGAATTGAAAAGCATTGTTTGCAATAGGACACTTAAGTCTTGCTTGCAATAGGACACTTAAAATCAGCAACAGCAAAATAAAGTTATATATTTTTGCATACCTGATATTTATGGCCTGAAAATTTGTATCCATTCCATTGTCTTTATTGCATATCTCTTTTGATTAATATGCTTTCTAGTGACAATCGAGATATGCATTATTAATGTTTAAACTGTGCTACTGGATTCAAAATTTCCTAGTAAAACTGAGTTAGGTGTATGTGTGGGGAGAGGTGAGATGCCACATAATCAATGATACTATTGTAATTTCTCAAAAATGCTCACTCTCCTGGAGAATGCTGACAGTGTGGAGGTTAGAACATAAGTAGAATATGAAGTATCCTGACACATTTCTGTTCCAACCCTAATGCTATTGTTTTGCAAAAGAGCTCTCAGGCACCAGTAACTACACACAATTTACTCCTTTGAAAAGGTCAACTTTATGCCCCCAATTGTAGACTGGAATAGTATTAGCAAATTGTTTCCAGAAAAAAAAAAAATACATGATGCTTGGGATTTTAAAAAATCAACTCAACTGATCACCTCTAAAAACAGCATTACCATTTATTTGCTCAGCTTGACAGCCACTCATTCAGCTAGCTCCAGTTGCTACATTATCAGAAAGTTTTTCTATATATTTAATTTTCTGCTATTTATATTGCAATAACTTGTACTATGATAGTTTGTCAATGCTTTAACCTAAATAATACTAAAATTAAATTAAATATCTCCTATTCTTAATGTTATGCATATGTTTCTAAGTCTTCCAGTATTACCTTTTTCCTTTCTGCTGGATAAACTACATGGAGCTATAGAGAGGGGGGAAAGAGCTAGAGAAGAGGTTAATTTGGAAAGGATTTTTGGCAGCTGAGAATAAATATCTTTTGGAGAATGGAGGTAAGTTAAGAATGGCAAAATTTAGGTCAGGGGTTAAAAAAGACTGTGAAAGATCATAAGGGAACTTTGGCAACAACAGAAGAAAAACAGGGGAGATTTACTTCCAAGGACGAACAGAAGTTATCTCACTAGGGTAAACCAAGCCAGAGAGGTACAGAGCAGTGAGTAGACAGAAAAACACAGCCAGGTGACTAAGAAGAGAGAGTGCTGCCTATGGATTCCACAAAGAGAACACAGAAGCACTGACTTGGAGAAGACAGATCTTCAAAGTTGCTATGTTAGGGTTCTACTCATTTAACAGGCACCTCAGAATGAGGGAAAGTTTGGTTATCATGCTGTTACTCACTCTTCCTATGTTTGTCCTTTCCCTTATTAGGTTAGCCTGAAAAACTTCTATTGTTTGTAAGAAAATGCAGAGGTCAAAATATTCCCAGTCAATAGAATAGAATGATGGTTGCCAGAGATTGTTGGTGGAGGTTGGGGGCAGAAATGGGGAGTGGCTGGTCAAAGGGTAGATCTATTGTACAGTGTGGTGACTCTAGTCAATAATAATGTATTATATACCTGAAAATTGCTAAGAAAGTAGATCTTCAATGTTCTCACCATATACACACAAAAAGATAAATATATGAGGAAATGGCTATGTTAGCTAGAGTTAATCATCTCACAATGTGTGCATATGTCAAATCATCACATTTTATACTGTAAAAACATATAATTTTTAGTTGTCGGTCATACCTTAATAAATCTGGGGAAAAATTCCTAGCTGCCAGTGTTCTACACATAGAACACCAAAGAAATCCCTTTCCAAAAATCACAACCATATCTCAACCTGTGATGCATCCTTTCAAGAAGCTAAAGATTCTGACCTGCTATTTTTAGTTGACTGTACACAGTCAGCAATAACTATAAAATTTATTGAGGCATGTGTTTTTCATAAAAACAGTGAGTATGTTGAGGCTATAATTTCTCCGAAGATTTACCTTTTTCTATTATTCTTTAGTACACACATCCTATAGCCACTTTTTTTCTAGTTCATAAAATCTTATTCCAAATAATTAGGTACCCATTTAAAATGGAAACAGACCATGTGTGCCCGCCCACAAGTGTTGTTCCTTGCAGGAAGCTGCTTTGATTCTAGGTTGAAAGACATTGATTAATGTGAGAAGGCTTGCCTGCTTTTCAGAGCATCGGTCCCCTAATTCTGTACACATACAAAATGGACTCTAATCTCTACAGCTGTCATGTTGATGCTCTTTGTGAGTTGTACATTTCACAGACTCTGAAACCATCATTCCATTGCTCAAACATGACCAACAACTTTCTTTAAAGAAAGAGTGGGAGATTATTAAGTCAAAATGGGGCCAAACCGTCATCTTCATGTGTGGACGAAATTTGCATGGGTCCTGATAGCTATGTGGTTCCCACAGCTGAAGCTTAATAAGTCTCTCCCAGACACAGGTATAAGAACCATTAATAGTCCTCAAATACCTCTACAATTGAGTAAAAATAAGGCCAAAAAGAATTAATGGAAATAATCTTTAACTGGTCTTAAATGCCTGTGGGTTAAATGTAAGAAGGAGGCTTTGATTTAAATAAAAGCAACTTCTCAGAAACATATGCTCACCACCCACCATTCTTCATCTGAATGGCAGAAACTTGGGGATTTCGTTTCACTCTAACATGGGAGCTTTGCCAAGAGACATGGGCACAAACATCAGTGATTAAGAAAGATCTCCAGTATGAAATATGTGGGATCTAATCCACATTAGAGTGGGTTTGTAGGCAATGGCACCATGCTTTGGAATGACCACATGGATAGATATTTTGATTTACATAACAGTGTTAAACTCTATTTAAAACTTTTAAATAGTCTAACCGTATTACCTAAAATAAAATGCCTTTCTGAAAAAGATATGAAATCAAGTAAATACTTCTCACAAAATCCTCTGATTCAGTTTCGTTTTAAAATATAGAGCCCCAAAGCCTTACTGATGCATACCATGTCTCTCCCACCCTTTATCAGTTCTTTCTCACCGCTGCCATCTGTTTGCCTTGCTTTTTCCAGCACAATGCCCATCCCTCCAGGCTGTTCACTGGCACTCAGATGTCTTCCTCTAATTCTTTACATCCCCATCCAAGAAATGTTCCAGGTCTTTTCCTATTCTTCCTCCCAAAGATTTTCTTCAGCACCACCCTCTGTGTATTTTGGACACTTATTTTCAGATATTATTTGTCAATTAGAAAATATGCAAGTTTGCTTTTGGCCCTCTATTTTAAACACAATTATTTACTGCTATCTTGTTTTGTGTTATACGTAGGAGAAAAATTTTGTAAACATCTCATCTTTTACAATTATAATTCCTTAAGTCCTTATAATTCCAGTCTTTAAAAATATAAATGCAATGTTCAGAGGAGTCCTATGATAAATATGTAGTTAATTCAAATGTTTCCTGGAGCATCTTATTTCATTTTTGTTAACTTTTAATATATACAAGCCTATCTATTCATAGTTACACTGATCTAATCACATGATCATTATCCTACTGTAGAATTCTTAGTTATAAGTTAAAAACAGATATATAACATGAGTTTAAAAAATAAAAGGAAAAGAAAGGAAAGTCAAAATTATAACTCTATAGAAATAAGAAGACAAAATGTATGGTAAATGACCATTTGAATCTCTTACAGTACCTTTCAAGCTGTATAACTACCCTTCTAAATTAATATCTCATTTGAAATAGTTCCCAAAAATCCAATCTAGTCACTTTCAAGTCAAAGACTCAGCTGTTTAGAATGCAGACTGTATCATGGCTGTGGCTATGTGTACTTGACCTCCTGCCTGTTAACAAAGAGACTCAATTAATTATTTGCTGTTTTGAATGGCTATTTCATTTCACCTCCACCTTTCTTTAAGTGCTGAAAAGCTCAATTGCTTTATTACCTTAACCTTAGCTTTGGAGAATGCATGCAGAATTTCTTAACTGCCAACTAATAAACTATCTTGATCCAGAAAGTTAATTTTCAGGACCACAGCTTCTAGATGTTTTAGTGCTAGAGACAGCTGAAGTAACATAATGACCTAGTGTCATATCACCTTCCAAGACAGTCTCTTTGTTCTGAATGGTGGCTTTGGTGCTAAGCTATTCCCTTCATATGAGTCAAGAGACACACTAGCACTGCAATGGGTTATAGTGTCATAGTAACAGTTTAGAAATCTTACCACACATAAAAAATGAATGTTTTCAGTATTAATTAAAAGTATGTAAACTAACAGTATATCAGTTTTTCCTGCTTACTTTTAGTCACATTAAACTCAGTAATATAATTTCATATTCAAATATTGGAACATTAAACTAGAAGTAGCAAACAGCTTTGAAATAAATGTGAAAATGGATTTTTTTTAACGTATGGGCACAGTAGAACTGATAGCAATGATTATCTAAATGTGAAAAATTAACCACAACACCAAAACAGAGTCTGAAATTCATCAAAGATTTTCTCATATCTTTTGAATTTCTTCAGCCCTGATAATATGTAACATTTTAAAAATTCTCATTTGCTACATATTTGCTTATCTATATATTAATTCTGATTCTATAAGTAGACCATAAGATGATATGAAGGTAGTGTTACCCTTCTCATTATATTCAGTCCCAAGTCAGTTACCTGCACTTATAAAAAAACAAGTATTTGATGATGATTAGATCATAATACATATACGAAGATATTGCTATTTAGTATTTCATAAAAGTGAAATAATACAATATTTGTCCTTTTGTGCCTGGCTTATTTCATTTAGCATAACGTCTTCAAGACTCACCCATGTTGTAGCATGTATCAAAGTTTCATTCCCCAGTTACCATTTTCATGATTTACACTAGTCATTATTTTATGAATATCCAAACTGATTTATCATTCCAGTATGAGTTTCTTATAATCTAATAAAAATGGCAACTGAGATTTTAAAAAATTTTATAACTCATTTCTTTTCAAGAATATTTATACAAACATGAAAATAAATGTGTCTATAGTCCTCAGATCTTAGTTTATAGATCAGTGGTCCTGAAACTAATTTAAAGTCTAGAAGGTTAGGCCCTGGAAATCTAGAATCTGAATTTGAACAAGCACCTAGGTGATTCTGATGCAGGAAGTCTAGTCCACCTTTGATAGGCACAGTTGGAAATGCTCACATGAAAATTCTATGAAATTGAACATACTGGCTCCCTACATGTTCAATAAAGACCCAGCCTTAAAGAAAAGCCATAATATATTTCTAAAATGACCATGACAATACTGATTTTAAAACATGTACAAAAATCTAAAATTTCCTATCAGGGAAAAAACTCAATATTCTAATTCCATATTTAATATAAACCTGGAATTGAATCTACAACTAGTATGAAGCATCATAACTCTAATAAGAAAGAGTAAGACATCCCATTTCCAAAGTTTTTTAAAGAATATAAAAACCTCCTCGGATCAGGCAAAATGACAGACAAACTGTGATTTTAACAGAAAGGCTGTGGTGTTAGGGTACAGAAGAATTTATTTCTTACGGTCATTAATTCATTCAGCAAATATATGCTGAATGACAAGCAGGTGCCAGGTACTCTGTATGGTACTAGCTTACAAAACACATCTTATTACAATCAATGGCATGCATGCTTTTTAGGGTTCAGGCCCAAATACTAGCTATATCACCTTGAGCAAGTCATTTAGCTATCTTAACATCTATTTTTTCATGAGTATAAAAGGATGACAGCAAATGTTACTGCTGATCCCCAAATATTACTGTAGAGGCCCCATGAACTACTAAACATAAGCGGCCGAGCATCTGCTTTAGATAGAATGAGTCTCAGAATGAGATAATAAATTATAATGGAGAGTTCCATGGGTCTAATTCCTACTTTAAGTAGGAAAGCAGCTATAATCTCAAACTAAAACCACAAAATGAACTTCTCGCTTCTAAGATGACTACATAACATTTCTGTGAAGTCTGTGTTGTGGTTTATTACACCCAGTTAGCAATTCTGCCACCAAATAGCAAGCTTGACTCTACTTTCAAATAAATGCCAAATGACTTCTCTCTTTCCTTCCCTCCCTCCCTCCTTTTCTTCCTTTCTCTCTCTCTCTCTTTTCCTCTTTCCCTTCTTTCCTTTCTTTTTCCTGCTACCTTTCTTCTTCCTTAGAACCTTCTTCATAAGACCTTTGAAATAATTAAAGATAGTACAGATAGATTAAGCCACTTTTAGGCCCAGTAATTTGACAATTTTTTGCATTAGTTTATGAGCTGTTAAATTCGTAGCTAAATGTATTCATACTGGGAAATTTAATTGCTCCAGTAAAATGCCGAAGTTCCGTAAACCAATTTTGTGTGGAAAGTAAAGGAAATCTAATTGTTTCATCTGTTGTGTATTTTAATTAATTGTTCCTCACGAAAAACTAGGTAACAAAATGAAAGCAATAATATTTTATTTAAAATGCCCAAGAAATTCAGCAAATAATTCATAGAACATCCTTGAAAGAAAGCACAATTTAAAAAGTCTGAGGCATAACAGGTATTCAGAATAAGCCACTAGAAAGTTGAAAAATAACAATATTAGTCCACTACTTAGTCTCATATTCACTGTTTCAATGTTTTCTTTTTAGGATGATGGACTGTGCCACTTGTTAGTATATTTGTAGGCTTTTATTCCAAGTACTTTAAAATACTCTGACTTAATTATGTTAATATTTTAAAAGAGTGAAACAATTTTGCCTATATTTTACAATAAGAAAGGTATGCCATAAACAAATGAATATTTCCCAAAAAGGCACAAATTGGATTGTTGGAACTGAGACCAGGACTATGATTGGGAATCTATCCATCTATTAATCACAAAAATACATTGTAATTCCTTGTGGTGCCCATTACTATTTGCAATGTGGTTTCACTTAAAAAAAAATCAATACAAAGAAACAGGTAAGTAACAGTAAAGAAAAATTGATGGTGACATTCTAAAATTATTTTCATTTTATAAAGGCTGTGTGTCCACAATAAATTCTAAAATGAGATAAAAAGATCAAACTATTAATTGCTTAAAAAAATCCTGTTTAAAATAAGTTTATCATCTACACTAAACATTCTGAATTTTTATCTGAGAAAGAAAAAAGTATTTAACCCCAGTTTGAATACATTGATGATTAACACAAAATCCCTATAGAACCTCCAGTTAATTTTCTAACCCTTTGATCTCTAAAATTCTTTCATAAACCTTTCAAAGTTGTATACCAAAAACACGAAGCCCTGTTTAATAAAAATGGAAAAAGCTACAATCCTGCTCAATTCAAATCATTTTGTTTTGTGTGACTTTTAAAACATTAGAAACATATAAATATACTTTTTAGTAATTCTTATTAGAAATTTATATTATTTATGGGATGGACTATATAGAAAATTAAGGAGTTTGAGGTCAATCATTAGCATTTTAAGGTTGACACTTGGTATTACAGTTAGAGATGATCATGATTTGGACCAACCATGTTCCAGTAAAGTGTTCTTCTTGAACTTCATATATTTTACATATAACTTTTCTGGAGTATATGTACAACATGAATATCCACATGAATTTATACAGTATATGCTAATTTTCTCTGGGGAAGAGTGTACTATGTTGTCTGGCTATCGCTACAAATTTGTCTGAAGACATTCCTAGTACTTTTATTTTCTTACTATTTATGTCTAAATTTTTTCTCAAATCCCCCTTGATTCATTTATAATGGTTAGTAGCATTTTAGTATTTATCTTTTCTCATTGTTTTCTAACTCTACACATTTTTAAACAATAGAATTACAGATGATGTTTTGTCATTTTTTTAAATTAATAGTCTATCATTACTAGTTTTTCCTATTCTTAACTCCCAATAGAATGAGAACTTCCAGGTAGGACCAATGCAAATCAGAAGTGACAGCTTATCACAATTATCTAAAGAATTCTATCAGTATTATTGGGTGTGACCAACATGGCACATGTATACATATGTAACCAACCTGCACGTTGTGCACATGTACCCTAGAACTTAAAGTATAATGAAAGAAAGGGAGACAGAAAGGCAGGGTTTAAACTTAAAAAACAAAACAAAAACAAAACCAAAAAAACCTCAATAGTAAGAAAACAAACCAACCACTTGAAAAATGGGACAAATGCCCTAACAGACACCTCAAGGTGGAAAGGATGGAAAGTGTGCTTAAGGGTACAGAGTTTCTTTTTGGAGTTCTCAAGTTAGATAATGTTAATAGTCACACAGCTTTATAAATATACTAAAAAATGTTTAATTTTACACTTTAAAAATGTAAATTTATGGTATGTGAATTACACTTCAGTAAAGCCACTATTTTAAAAGATCCATTAGACAAAAAGTCATGGAACCTGGATTCTAACTAATCAAGTGCTATCATATTTTTATAACATGACTTCAGACAAGTTTTTATACTTTCTGGCCTTGGTCTCATCTGTACAATAAAAAGCCCTTTCATTTCGGAAATTTATGGTTCTATACCTCTAGCACTGTCTTCATGAAACCGTCCTTTGCTGATCTAAAAGTGACCACTCCCTGCTTTGAACTCTAATCCCATTAACTGGCTTATATGACTGTATTTGTGCTGCTTCTTTTTTTTTTTTTTTTTTTTTTAGGAGTCTCGCTCTGTCGCCCAGGCTGGAGTGCAGTGGAGCAATCTTGGCTCACTGCAAGCTCCGCCTCCCGGGTTCACGCCATTCTCCTGCCTCAGCCTCTCCGAGTAGCTGGGACTACAGGCGCCCACCACCACGCCTGGCTAATTTTTTGTATTTTTAGTAGAGACGGGGTTTCACCGTGGTCTCGATCTCCTGACCTCGTGATCCGCCCGCCTCGGCCTCCCAGAGTGCTGGGATTACAAGCGTGAGCCACTCCGCCCGGCCTATTTGTGCTTCATCTTATCACCTTTCTAGAAATGTGAGCCAGTTGAGGAAAGACATGAAACTGTCTTGTACATGATGTGGATTCAGTGAGTTTTTACATGACTAGATACATGAAATTATTTATATTTAGTATACACTGTATGGAATTAAGCAGAGAAATCAACCATTTTTTAAAACTTTCATTCCACCAATATAAATTTCCCTAAATTTGACAAAGTTTTGATGTTAATTTTTGGCATAATAAAATTGTAAACTTTGTAGAGTTTGAAACACCATATTAACTCTTGTTATACAGATGAGCTTCTATGCTATTCCAAAATAAATTGTGTATTATGCCATGGCAGCTTCACTGATGTTGCTATTAAACATGATGAAAATAATCCAAAATGAAAAGAAATAAAATATTTGAACCAGTGTTACTTAATTGTAAATAATCAAGTTTTTAGTATTCTAGTAGTTGTCCTGAACTACATTGTTTTTAAGCAATAAAATCTTCCAAAAAGAGACCTCAGTAAAGTACACTATTATTAAATCTGCTTTGAGAGTTTAGGCTACTGTTTTCTTGCAATTATTGAGTTTGCAAATTCTTAAAAAATAGAAAATTATACAAGCCTTATTGCCATATCTATAACTTTCCATACTGTGTGTTTGACAAGGTGAAATTTTTAGACAAAGAAGAAAGTTGTGTATAAATGTAATCAACTGCTTTTTCTTTTTTTCTTTAAATATAAAAGACAATTATCTGAAAATAAAAAAAGAAAAAAAGAAAATTATTGGGTGTGGCAATAGTCACACTGTTAATATTATTTGTGTAATTAACAATTCTTGCCTACAGTTAGGTTTATACTGGGCAAATAACACAAATCTGGTCATGCCTTATACAGCTCATAGGAAACCGTGCTAAAACTTTATAGTAAGAATGGGCCTGCTGAAATTAACAATTATAACTATACTCCTGGAGCATGAAAAAATGTTTAAAATAAAATTTCTGTGTTGAGTGGTTAGCACTAACTTTTCACTTAAAGAAAAAAAAAACCTAGTACTTTTTATTTGAAAAAAAAAAAGATTGAAGTGATAAGTAGTGTTTGAGAGTTGAAGTGACTCCTTTTTAAGATTTTGAAATATCTCAAAAATGTATTCATTAGAGTGCTGATTCAATTACATTTCCAGGACTGAGGAAATATATCTACCTTTTCAGCCCACTTAAGCAGAAACCTTTTCTAAGTTATTCAAGCTCTTGCAATGGGAATGGAACCTCTTTCTCTAAATCTGGTCCTCTTCCACTTCTGCTGCCTTCCTTATTTTTGCTCCACAGAGACATGCCCAACACAAAAAAACAACACTTGCCACTTTCTCATTTCGAAGAGTCAAGACAAGTGTCTTCAAACACCTGGAATTATAAGTACCTTCTCTTATCCTTCATTCTGCCATTTCTTGGAAAGAGGAATAAGAAACTAAATATAAAGGGATTAAATACAAAACTGATAGTAGGGCATTTTATTAGGACATTTAAGGTGAAGCATACATTGCAAGATCTTTTTCAAAGACTTTTTAAATGTTCCAATGAGAATTGGTTAGGTATTAACTGTGCAAATTTATTAATATATGCATCTGATTTCAGGTTCTATTAGAAAACCTGAGGTAACACAGTGATTTTCCCTGTATAATTCTCATGTTTTCAAAAACAACATAGATACCTTTGAGCTGCTGTCCTCCAAAAGCTAGACCCTGCTGCGTCATTCAGCCAAAGATATAAAACTGAATCAGGTCACATATCCAAGTACACACCTCCAGGAAGAGGCTTCCATTGATTCAGAACTCTCTATTTAAGGCAACAGTTTGACCTTAGCTATATCACTAGTTACTCAAAGTCAAGTAGTTTTAGCTGAGTCCATATTGCATAAGTGCTCATATTAAGGGGAAAAAGACATAGAGAACATCAAAATTTGCACCTTTGTTGGCAGTCTCTGTAGAAAATCCTGGTATTGAATAGGCATGAAGACCTAACAACTCTCTGATCCCTGGAGGTGGTCATACTAGGTCAAAAATGAAGCAAATTGGTAGGCATTATGAAGGAGCTAACACAACGGGGTTCATGAACTATCTAAAAAGACTCCACTGTGACTGTACAAGTATACTTCGTGACCACTAATGTATATTTGAAAAGATATCAACAGTATATATCAACCACATATTTTTTCTTATAACTTAAGGTTTTCTTGATTATCAGAAACTAAATAATCTACTTTCAACTACAACAAATGGATAAAGGTATTTTTTGTAAGTAGGATCTTTGCAATTCAAGTCTAGTGTGGAAATGGTAGCTTGTAAATTCCCTTAAGTCACATAATTCTTCTCATCTAATTTTGAAAAATCACATGATAGAACCATTAACTATATCTCTTAGTTTCCCAAAACAGAAAGTCATAGATTAAAGATCATTAATTATAACCCCCTTAATATCACACCTTCCCTCAACTAAGGGCCAAATGCTTATCATCATTAAATATCCCACTTATAATTTTTATTCTATTTATAGTCATGCAATTATCAACAAATAAATCCTGAAATGAAAACATTGGATGGATTCCATGTAAATAATTTTTACAAACAAATATAAATACATTGAAGAGTTCTGTTATTAAAAAGAAGTTATTGGCTATTATTATCTATAAAACAAACAAAAACTAACAAAATACTGAGAATAATTAAAGTAAGTAAATTATTAGATCCTAGACTTCAAAGAAGCCTAATAACATAATTTTCAAGGTAACATGGATATAAATAAAACAAAATATTTTTCCTCTTTTCTAAAAGTAATACTTCATATAGACTTAATGCTGTAACTTGACAGATTGATAATAAACATTGCTTCTGTAATGTCACTTTTATAAAACAGAAATCTTCTCAAAGTTCACTTGAGAAATCACTGCCTCCTCATATTCTTCCCTTCTCGTCATCATATAGAAATTTAGTTGCCAGAATCTAAAATTGTAACACCATCACCAGGAGTCACATAAAAAATGCTTTTAATATATATCATTGCAATCACTCTTAGTTCCTACATGCCTACATGATAATTAAATATTTATTGGATTCTACCTGTTTTGCTAAAATTGAAGAAAGTACTAGGATGTGAAATTCAAAGTATTTAACAAGTGTTATGATGAAGCACTGTCCAATTAGAAGAAAAGTGGGCTAGAAATGACTGTCTCGGTATTGAGGCTGAATACTAGCCCTTCTAAGGACCCTCCTCTGTCCACATACATTCAGTAGTATCAAGGGAAGAGAATGGGAAAAAGGCTATTCCTCCATTGCTATTTATTTAGTCATTAAGATTTTAGTTTTTAAGCTCTGTAGATTTTCATCTTCCTAGTTCATGATCACCCACTATCTCCCCCAAAATAGCACATGTATGGGTTCCAGATGCCACATTTATAGTCTATAGCCCTATCTCAGCCAGTCATTACATGTCTGAGTAAAGGTCAAAAGCCTGATAAAAACCAGACCAAGCAGATTCTCTCTCAAAGGGATTTGGATATGATTCAATCTCTTAGATTGACAGAGGACTCAGATATGATTTAATCTCTTACTGTTTAACGGAGAACATGTAAATGCAGACACATGGGTTAGTCATATATGGTCCCATATACTCTGACACAATGAAATCTGGTTTAGAAAGAAACAGAGACAAAAATGGGTCACGTCAGATATCAGATTAATTTTAAATATTCACTGTTTGCTTAAGCTAGTTGAGTGGTATGTTACTTATCACCAAAAAAAAAAAACCACCTAGATTTTTAAAGGAGACAGGAAATCTGTAAAAGCAGACTCCCACAGTTTCTAGATCAAATTCACGAAAATATTTAGTATTATCAAATGAAATACATGAATATTTTAAATACAGTGCTTTAGATTCAGTCTCAAAACACTAGAAGTGTGAATATACTACACAAGAGCTAATAATTTACGTTGCATAAGAGGTAAAACCAGTACTAAGCAGAGTTGTAATAGGGACTAAATTTGAAAAACATAGTAATAATTTGACTTAGGTATTCATATTTCTTTAAATCTTTTACTAGTGATATTTTATCTTGTTAAAAATTCGTGGTAATAGTCAATGTTTAGGCTTATTTTAATAAAAATATTTTGTTGATAAAAGACTTCTAATATTTTCTTCTTAGTCGGGGCTTAACCTAATTTTAGTAAAAACACTTAGGAAACAAAAATCAATAATATTTTCAAGTATGATCGTGCATCTTAAATTTGTAAAGCTAGTATGGCAGGCAAAATAATGGCCCTTCAAAGATGGCCACATCCAAATCCCCAGAACCTGTAAATACGTGAGCTTTCATAGCAAAGGGAAATTAAGTTTGCTAATCAATGGACCTTTGGGTCCCTATTTTAAAATACAGAGATAATTCAATTATTCAGGTGGGCTCAATGTAATCACAGGGTCTTTAAAAGGGGAAAGAGGTGGCAGAAAAAAAAGAGTCAGAGAAAAAGATGAGATGGCAACACAGTGTTAGAGAGATGTTTTGTTGCCAACTTTGAAGATGGAAGAGGGAGACCATGAACTACAAAAAGCAGGCAAGGAGTTAGAAAAGGCAAGAAAACAAATTCTCCCCTAGAGCCTCCAGAAAGGAACTCAACCTTACTGACACTTTAATTTAGCCCACTGAGACCTTTGTTGGACCTCTGAACTACAGAACTATAACATAATAAACATTTGTTGTTTTAAGTCACTAAGTCTGTAGTAATTTATTACAGCAGCAATGGAAAACTAATATAGGCCAGTTTTCTCAAATTGTTTTCTGTAACTTGCTTGTTAAAAATGCAGACTCTTTGGCCCTTCCTCAGACCTCTAAGGATCAAGAATCTATATTACAACAAATCATGAGGATTATTGCTATGAAATTTAAGAAACATTATTTGAAAAGTTCTTAAAAAATAGTAAGTTGGTGTCACAAATCAGGAACAAAGATGCAGAGTTTCACTATTCAAGTTTTCTTTGTTTAACATAGTTATAGTTGATGATATTACCATGACAATATAAATAAAGTATGTTAGTCAAGTTTAAAACTACTTTTAAAAGTGTGTGAATGTTTTAATTTTTATAGAAATAAACTCCATATTTGTTAAGAATGAAATAATAAAACATTTACAACATGAAAATACTGAAGTTCTTCAGTTTTCCCCCTCAACTGAGTTAGAGCATCAAAATCAGAAAGTACTTTTTCTCAAAGCCGACAAAGTTGTATTTTATTTGATATCCATTGACAGAAATTGAATGTCATTAATAAAAATGAAAACAATACTATCCCCAAAGGAGAAGAATTACATTAGAATGCAAGTTTTAAAAGTGAAAACAAAAAGCAACTAATCACATTTACCAACGTAATGATAATTTAATAAGAATACAGCTTACAAACTTGAGCAAACATAGGAAGCTCACTAGGAATACAAAATAAAAGAAAATTATTCCAAGTATAACCAGCTATCATACTAAGTGAAAGGCAATATCAGATAAAATTAGCTTATTAGTTTATTAACTCTTTGAGGGAAATTTAAGCTTTCAACATAGATGTGCGTTGGCAAATCCAAGTTGTTGCCACCTGGCTCTAACTTCTGTCATACAGTATCAATGATTCCATCTATCTGCTCAGAATTAATTTCATTTAAAATATGCTGAGCTTAAAAAAAAAACAAAGTTTGAGCTTTTCCTGGTTACACTTGGTTAGGCAAAGTTCTAGGACCCTGTTACACCAACTTCCTACCCCTGGCCCATGATGCCCCCTCCTCACCTAGGGTGTTGTTCTCAGCTCTCGTGGTTAGAAACCAATTTGATCAGCTAATCTGAGATAAAATTTTAACTCAGCATGAGTTTAGGAGAGATTCCTCCAGGCATATTTACCTTTTTTAAAGAGGCCATTAAAAATGGAAAAATCTTAAAGATATGAAGGAGTCTATCTCTACTGTATCAAACAGGACAGGTTGTGGGGAAAATAATCTCAGTTTTGAGGCTTCCCAGGTCTCTTACGAATCTTGCCTTAGAGCTTGTCACCTATTATCCCTGGTGTGAAGCTTCTTCCAGCTAACAGAATTTTTAAAAGATAAATGAGAAACAGCATAAAATGGAGGAGAGAATACAAACTCCAGAGTTGGGAAATTTAGTTTTGATTGTTGGTCAAATCTCATAGCTTCTCTTGGCCTCAGCTGGCTTATTTGTAAAACAAGATCTTTAACACCCCTCCAGTGTTGTGACACTATCACTAGGGTGGATTGAAATATATCTTCTTAGTTAGTAAAAAAAAAAAAAAAAATCTCTACTTCAAGAAAACACCCAAACACCCCAAACATTGGCTATAGGGCTCCACATATTTTATCTTTTAAATATTTTTCTTCTTGGGTCACCTATTTTCCTGAGGTAAGATAAAGTCCTATATAATGTTATGATTAGAATATCCAGTTAACTCTCACCGAAATAGTAAAAAATTCTTTACTGATGGACAATAGTAGAGTAGGAAAAATATATATCAATCTAGTGGATAGACAGGATAAACTTAGAATAAATGCCAATTTCAAGAATTCATCACTTTTCTATTTACCTATAGTATATGGACAGGTACTAACTTAAAATTCAAGAAAGAAGCAGGTTGAACTAATTACCTGACTGAATTAAATAATATATAATACTTATAAAGATGTCAAGGAAGAAAATAATAGTTGAATTCTCACAAATGCAAGTGTTCTTGTTATTTTTAAACTCTTGACAGGGGAAAGGGTAATCAGAGTTGACAGCTATTGGCAAGGCACTGCATTCCACTCAGTAAACCTGTTTCTGAAAATGCAATGACAACTTTATTTGAATCAGAACCACTTATCTCTTTTGAACTACAGGCAAAATTTAAAATGGTCCTTCTCATTTGTTTTTCTCAGTCAAGTATGTCAAAGTTTCCTTGGATTCTAATATTCTGGGATAGCATTTCCCAAACTGCGTTCCAGGGAACACTAGTTTTAGGAATGCTAGTTTTCCAAGATGTTAATGGTAGAACCTTAAGAAGGCTTCTATGGGAAATTAAACTTTGGAAACACTAGGATAGAGAAAGGAGATGGGTTTATTTACTGCAATGTTTCTCACAGCCTTTCATATGCTCATATGAACTGTACACTGCCAACAGATGGGTACAGTGTGCAGGTGTCGAAATGTCTTTAAGAACAGAATATCTTTTTGGCCTAAAACCTGTTAACATATCATAGATGGTATGGGCAACATGGCTCTATGATTTAGTTAAGAACCATTACATTCATTTAAAAATATTAATTAAAATTGCATTTGTTACTGTCTCAGCTTAAGGTCTTGAATCTCCCCCAAATAGTCTACTAAAATAAAAATACCCTTGAGGGATGGCTCATTATCCCGTTATCAATTTTTAACAGCTTAGTTCTAGATCAGTGAAAGAGAGAATGTTAGAAAAACAAATGGAGAAAGGAAAAAGGTAACTAAATAGTATGGGAAGCTGACTATGGAGAACAAAGTAGAGCCTTAATTCTCAGTATTTAGAAGATTAAGGAGGTAAGATTTAGGGTTATATGATAAAGCAGCCTAAACTAACTGCTCTAACAAAGTGCACTAAAAATGCACAATAGCTCAAATCCAATCAAAGTTCACTTATAGCTCAAATAACAGTCCAAAGTGCTTCAGTTTGGTAGCAGCCATAGGGGCAAGGCAGCTTTACTCTATTATGCAGGAGCTGGGTTGTCAATGGCTCTTCCATCATCAACACACAGCTTCCAAGGTTAGCCTAGGAGTTGCCTCCATCCCAGTCAGTAGGAAAGAAACAGATAGTAGAGGTTCAAGCATGGGAAATATCTTGGAAACAGATCTATAATTGGTGCATATGACTTCTAGTCACATTTCTTTGGCTAGAATATTGTGATGTGGCCACAGTAACTGCAAGAGAAGCTGTGAAATGTGGTCTAGTTGATGCACAGGAAGAAAAGGAAAGCACCGACTCTAGTAAATGGATAGCAACCTTTGCTACATGTGTACAGGGAAAAAGAGGTAAAAATGAGGTCATAGCAGTATGTCACAAAGCACAGTAAGGCAGCAAAAAAAACCTGGTCTATATACATGCCCAGATTCTATTTGCGTGTGCCATTAAAAAATAAAAGGAACTATTTTTGAAAAGATTAAAAATAATCCAAACATTACAAATAAGGGAGGAGTTAAGTGAATTATTGTATTCCTAAAAAGGAATAGTATGTATTCAAAAAACATGATGTTGTAGAATAATATCTGATAATTTGGAAGGATTATCATATTATATTTAAGACACATAAATATAGTATGTTCAATATAATCTCATTTTTATAAAAACTATAAAAATGATCCTCTGGGAGAAAAAGTCTGGAAAGATAGACATTAATATGTTCTTTTGCCAGGTGCGGTGGCTCATGTCTGTAATGCCAGCACTTTGGGGGACCGAGGCGGCAGATCACCTGAGGCTGGGAGTTTGACACCAGCCTGACCAACATGGAGAAACCTCATCTCTGCTAAAAATACAAAATTAGCCGGGTGTCGTGGCACATGCCTGTAATCCCAGCTACTAGAGAGGTTGAGACAGGAGAATCGCTTGAAACTGGGTGGCAGAGATTGCGGTGAGCCAAGATCGTGCCATTGCACTCCAGCCTGGGCAACAAGAGTGAAACTGTCTCAAAAAAAAAGATGTTATTTCTGGCCAGCTGTGGTGACTCATGCCTATAATCTCAACATTTTAGGAGACCGAAGTGGGAGGATCCCTTAAGCCCAGAAGTATGAGACCAGCCTGGGCAACATGACAAGATCCCACTTCTACAAAAAAATTTTTTAAAAATGAAAATTAGCTGGGTGCAGTGGCATACACTGGTGGTCCCAGCAACTCGGGAGGCTGAGGTGGGAGGATCAGGTGAGCCTAGGAGGTCAAGGATGTAGTGAGCACTCCAGCCTGGGCAACAGAAGAAGACTCTGTCTCCCAAAAAAAAAAAAAAAAAAAAGTTATTCTGGTGGCTATATTTGAGTATTGGTAGTATAGGTTAATTTTCTATTTTTATGGGCAATTCTCGTTTTTGAAAATAAATATTTATTGTACTTATAATAAAATATTTCTAAATAAAAATATTAATATATAACTAAATATACACCAATGACAAAATTTTAAAGCTGTTTTACAATAAAAGATAAAAACAAAATTAAAAATATGTACTTTATCTCTTTCCCTCACATATCTGATGGGCAAATGTTTTTTAAAACATTAGAAAAAACCTTTTAAAAGAAATGTTGGCAGGGAAAAAGTTAATAACACCTACTTTTATTGGAATATATTTTTTATTTAATAATTTCAATAAAGAAAAAAATTCTGAGTATTTACTATTAAGCTATGTAAACAAAAACCGATGCTATTTTGTCCCACCAATTCTCTGTTGATTGATGCATCAGGAATTACTTTCCATCAAGAGATTTGCTCAATAAAAGCCCATACATTATTTTCTGTGTATGGATCAGAATAAAAGCACAAAGCAGCAACAGCAAATAAGGATGTATAAATCAATGATTCAAATAAATATATATGACTACATAGCCACACAAATAAGGAATTTAATTATATACATACTGTGACAATATCCTTAATGCTTTGTAACTATAAATAAATTTATAATTTCCTCCCAATAGCATGAAAACATTAAGTATCATTTAAATAACTATCTTTGTGAATTTAAGAAAATCTTAAAATGCATGGCTGTTGCCTTCACAAATAATCCTAGCCAAAGATTCAAACTTAAATATTCTAATAGATTTATAGGAAATCTAAATGGGCCACATTTTAGATCACAGAAGGACACATTTTTATACCAACATTTATCACCCCTGCTGTACTCAGAGATAGCACCATTCTTCTAAATGTTTAATCTTAATTATTTTAGTTATACCCTAACCAGATTATAAGTACCAAGAGGATAGAGCCCTTGCCATACTTCTTTTTCATGAGGAAGCTGAAATTGTAGAAATATCATAGGCACTGGGGTCAGACTGACTGGTTTTGATTTTTGCCTCAGAAACTCTCCTTTTCTTTGTCACTTTCCAAATCCAACCCTTCATTATCTGGTAGCTGGGTTGCTGTGTAAGCCTCCTAACCAGGCTCCCTAATGCCAGTGCCAATCTACTTTAAGTTAACTTACACCAGGATTGGCTTTTAAAACACAAACCTGGGAACACCATTTCTTACTTAAAAATCTATCTTGGTTTTCCAATTGTGTGATACAGAAAGTTAGACCCATTAGACCTAACTGTACTGTCCTGGGCTATAAACCCTCAACAATGGCAAAATCTGAAGTGTTGCTGGCCAAGAATAAACCTCATATTCATATTGGCACCTTTTATTAATAGCACATTTTAATGCCCTTTCTTTGTCCTCTCTTGGAAAGAAAACTTTTCTAATTTTCATGCAATAATATGAAAATGTGTGTTTCATAATTAAAAGTAAATTTCATGAGTTACACTGGATTAGCACAAATCCTATGAGCTGTTTACATAGTACTGGTATTTCAAACCACATCATTTAGGATGATCAATGCAAAGTCTACAGAAGATTAATAAATGATAATGCTCTGAACATACAAGAAAATATTATAGCCTTGACAAAGCATCTCTGAGGTCAAAAATGGCCCATGTCACTTCGTTTCTTGAGGCTCCCACCATGTTAAAAAATGAAGAAGGTCAAAACAGGACTACGTATAGCGTGGCTTACTCTAAATGTTTATATTTAACCGATTAACATGTTCAACATTGAAAAAATGCAATGCAATATAATTCCACCATTCATAAAATAATTAGAATTTATTATCATCATAATGAATATTTTACAATTTACTAACGGTGGTGTGGTCTAGTAATAGGAGCAAAACGCCATCATTTTTTTAATCTGGTCAGTGTGTCTTTGTCACTCCATGGTAACATTAAAAACCCTCATTTCAGGCCTTTTCTAAATGGGAAACCTAGTTCCATAGGGCCATGCTGGCCCTCCTTCTGAAGGGTATAGCAATTGTCTCCAGACCCAGACCAACTAACTAATCTACTTTTTGAAAGACACACTACTAGTAGACTCTGCTAATTGCTTAGGAAATATACAGCTCTCACAACCATAATAGTAGTAACCCCACAGTGGTTACTATTACTACTACTACTACAATGACTTCCTATTATCTATGAATCAAAATACTTAAAAACACCTTCTTCTGGCACACATGGTTTCCACAATAACCGTCCACCCCTGACAATATTACTCTTCAGGCTTACCTTCTGCACCTGGTTGACCTACTCGACTCCAAATTTAGATCATGCTCTCCTCTTTGCTTTCACTTAGGATGTTTCCTCTGCCTGGAAAAGGCTACTCAATTTTGCCAATCATATCATATCCATTGGCCAAGACTTTTCTTAAGCATCCTCTCTTTAAAAAGAAACTGCTTGTACCTGACAGTTGTATTTTTATTTAAACCTTGACCGTATTTCATGTTTTTCATTGCATCAATTATAATACATGCTACAATTATATGTACATTTCTTTACTTCTCTGAGAGATTATAAGTCCGTTGAAGGTATAAAAAATCTTGTAGTGCTCTACATTTTCTGTGCCCCCCAGCGTAATGCATTATATATAACAAACATTTAATAAATATTTATTAATTAGAAATTGCAATAGCTACAGATTTTGGCAACATGCTTACTAAAGTAAATATTTCCTATGGTTTCAGTAACTTAAATACCAAACTACTTATTTAACATTAAATAACATGCTAAATAACTAGATTTGCATAACATAACTAGATTTGATACCAATTTCAAGCATACTAGGCATAAAGTATGTAGTTCATAAATATTAACAAAGAAATAGGTATAATAATAATGCATCAATAATGCTATCGGTCCTTAAAAATAAGATAAATCATAATCACAATCTAATTTTGTTTTCTGAACAGAATTTAAGCCATATTTGAAATTCAAATAAAGATGTATTACTTTCTTAAAAAATACCTTAACTGAGTTCCTAAATGTCTTGGCAAAATATTTATATAAATATAAGATATTTATATTATGATATAAGTCATAATATACAAAACATTCATTAGGAAGCTTAATCAGATCACTCAAGCATTTGTTGATATGGAAAGTTCATCCAAATGTATCAAAACTCTTAGCCAATATCAATACAACTATAATTAAGAATATATTCAGAAATAATGCTATAATTAATGCTTATTCAAATTGCCAGCTTCATGGCAAATAAATTCATCTTGTCCTTGTAGGCCACTTGTATTCAGTCCCCAGAGATAAAATAACTTGGCTTGACTCCAAGTACAAATCACTTAGTGGGGAAAAAGATCATTTTTTTAGTGAGAATTCATTGCATCAAAAGAGGTACATAATGTAAAAGATAATAACCTACTTAAACTTCCTGAACTCTCAACCTAATCTTGTTATATGAAAACAAAATGTATATTGCACTTATTTTAAAATCACAGGAGACTAAAACAACTAATTGAGAAAGAGGTAGTACTACATCAATTTTTTTTTTAAAACAGGCCAGGTTTCCCTAAGGCTTTCCTGCCTTTCAACCTATGCCAGTTCCTCACAGCCCACAAGAACAGACAGACATATGCTGTTTGAATGATTGAAATGAAAAGGAAGAAGTAACATCACCACACCTGCCTCTCCTTCTTCCTTGCTGCCCTCTTAGTACATAAGTTAACTGTACAATCATGGTTCCTATGTCTCTGCTCTAAACAGGTCTCACAGAAGTTACATTGATTGTCCAATGAACAGATCAATTGGGCTTCTTTCCTTGTAGTTGTTTTTTCTAGAAAGGTTACCCTGATGGCTGCTCCTTTCCTTGAAATTCTTATCAACACCAATGAGGATTTCTTCTATGTAGTTGCTTTTCTAGCTCTTCTTGCTATCCCTCAATAAACAGAAGTCCTCCCCAAAGCCAATCCTTCTCTCTCTTTGCTATGACATTCTCATGCCTTTACCTATTAGATTTCATGAAAAAAAAAAACAGACCTCAAACCTCTATTATTTAAAGTTCTAAAACCCTCCTTATGTGCCCTCCGACAGTCTGACTTTCTGTCAATGTCCAACTGGATATTGCATTGATATCTCAAAGTCGAATGGTCAAAAACCAAATAATTCACCTCTCTCCCTGCTCCCCTACTGCCAAAACCCCCAAACAACCAAACAAGACAGGCCACAAAACAAAATCAGCCCCTCCTGACTTCCCCATCGCTCTTGATGAACACACTCTCCTAGGGAAACATGCTAGACACTGCAGAGTGAGGTTCACTTCTTCCAGGTCCCCTCTGCCCATCTGAAGGAGTCTGCCTCTCCAGTGTCTCTCATGCCTGTCTTGTCTCTGCCCTTTGTTCTCTCCACACTTCCATGTTAGAACGTATCTTCTCTTACTTGGAAAAAAAAAAGGCTCTATTTGTCCCTCTCTGTGCCATCTCTAATGCCAGCATCAAGTTAATGTGTTGGGAAATAGCTTTGATCATTCATTGATTCCTTAAGTATTCATTACTCTCTCTCTTTTTTTTTTCTTTTTTTGCTAGAGAAACCACACACTTGGCTTTCTATTGACAAACCCCGGTTGATCTCTGCTTAGGCCCAAACCTGCTTCCTTTGCTTTCTCTTGATTTCACACAAGCCATAAGAACTTGGCCTACTCTGAACTGTTCCTGGGGTTCTTTTCTCACCTTCAAGCCTAGATACAAAATCAGATGTTGTTCCTGAGTGTCTGCTCTCGTGTTCTTTTTAGCAATATAAAAAAATTAGCCCCCAGCTAACAACTACATATTTTAGCTTCCCTTACTGCGAAGTATGACCATATGATTATATTTTGGCCAATGGGCTATAAGCAGAACCCACACGTAGCACTTCTAGAGCATGCCTTTAAAAGAAGTATGCCCTCCGCTTCTTTCTCACTTTCTCTCTTTGACCATACTGATGCCAGAAACATCCAATGGGATGGGGAGCACCAAAAAGGAAACTGGTTTCTGGACAACCTTTTGGAACAGCACATTCTCCTCCATGTCCCCTCCTACAACCACTTATAGCTTAGCTGTCTGTGTGTGAGAGAAATACATTTTTACCTTGTCTAAGCCTTTGTTATTTTGGCTTGTGTTAAAGTAACCAATGCAACCATCTAAATAATAGAGAGGCACAATCTCTTCAGCACCTCTCTTACTGGCTGACAGTGATAAGGTGTGACTCACAGGATATTGTACAGCAAGAAGGAGTTAAGCTTTAACACTTCTGAGCTTCTAATGATAGAAGAAAGGTTCAATTGATATTACACAGAAAGGAACATGGTGGCAAGAAATAAAGAAACATATTTTGAGTTCTGGACCTAGTAAGAAAATAAATCTTCCCAGAAAAGGCCCACAGCTATATAGTACATTCAAGGCACATTGAAAATTAGAGAGCTGCTGCAATCTCCATTTCTGTTAGACAGAAAAAGAGACATCTGAAGAGCACCATAGAAGTACAACTAACATGAATATTAGTCATTTGTTCATACCAAGACCGAGAACTCAGACATAAGGATCAGGAAAAACAGAAGCTATAATCCCAATGCAGACTGGCATGAAGTAAGAACCTTACGGGCTCCGTTAAAGTGAAGAAATAGAATTGGAAGAACATAAGAAGGGAAACTTACAATGGATCAGACCACGTGCTAGAACTTAGGCTAAAAGTTATAATGATTTCTGTAGTAAGGAGAAAACTTGAGTTAATACCTGTGCCCCACTAAAGCATATTTATAGTTATTTATTGATCATATTTGTGTTTATATTTAAGAGTAGTTGTAAGAAAACTGTTTTCCTCAGATGCTAATCAGCAAGAGGCTATCGAAGTGATGAGAGACACAGTAGAATTGTTCTGTTTCTTCCAGGAGATAAGAAGTACATTATTTTTATGGAGTTTGGTTCAATGACAGGAGATTTAATGAGAAGGAGGCTTCAACATCCATAAACAGTTGTTAAAATGTTTGGTACACAGACTTTGTATTTCAGTTCTTTCTGGTACAAGCTTGTGAGAATCAGGTGGTTTCCAAGATCTGGCAGGACCTTACAAACACAGGCAGCATCATAAGTAGCCATGAAACCCATTAGGAACCCTGGACCAGGGAAAATCAGGCTAAGGTATGCTACATCTCTCCCCCAGTTTCTGCTAGTCTCTGTATCCTTGGCCAAAAGAATCACAAGTTGCATGTGTATAGTTTCTATCTATCTGTAATCCACCTGGGACACTAGAATAGTAAAGAAATATAATTCTACAGGTTAGGACATTATCAACAAATCCTTTTATGGCATTCATAATACCCTGACATAAGAAATAACACCATGTAATACACATAAGATGCGTGGGGAAATACCAATAAATGCATGAGACTTAGTGCCAAACAGACCTGGGTTAAATCCCAGCTTTACCACTTTACCTTTGGGCAACCTATAAAACATCTCTCTAAGCTTCAGTTTATTCTACTACAAAATTAAGATCAAATGACAACATAGACAAGTATGCAATTGCACCTATAAGTGCTATGACAAGTCAAAATACCATTGGAGTGTGTTACAGGGCATCTGACCTAGTTCGGAAAATCAGGGAAGTCCTCTCTGAAGAAATGATATTATAGCTAAGATATGAAGAGTAAGAAGGCTTAAACAGCAAAGAGTGCTGTAGGCAAATGGGAAAGTGGCCTGTGGAGGGAAAAACTACAACACATTTCAGGAGATGAAAGAAGGCAACTGTGGCGGGAGCAGAGAGAACGAGAGGGGGGTTGGCATAAAAGGAAGCTGTAGGTATATGCTTATGTCAGACAATACAGAACAGCACAAGCCATCATTCCAATGAAGAAGCTGTAGGATGACAAGCAGCAAGGCTTAAGAAATGTTAGCTTGCTTTATTGTCACTGTTAAGAAATAACATCTGGGCTGGGTAGACCCTGCCTTGTGATCACTGACTCAGGGACCATATGAAAGAGAACCAGATTAGCAATCCCTCCTGATAGAATAGGATATTTAAAATCCTCTTTTTTTTTCTGAGTGAGCTACAAAAATATATAGGCCCTTTTCTTATTTTTTTTCAACTTTTTTATTTTAAGACTGTAAATTCACATGCAATCGTAAGAAATGATACAGAGATTCTGTATAACCTTCACTCAGTTTCCCCCAATGGTGACATCTTGCCTAGCTGTAGTACAACATCACACCCAGAATACTGACATTGATAAGATCCACCGAACTTATTCAGATTACAACAGGTTTACATGCAGTTAGTTGTGAGTGTGTGTGTGTATGTATGCGTTGGTGTGCATGCTGAGTTCCATGCAATTTTATTACAAGTGTAGATTCATGTACCACCAATGTGCAATTTTATTACACATGTAGATTCATGTGCCATCATAGTCAATCACAAAGGGCATTCATGCTACCCTTTAATAGCCACACCCACCTCCTTCCCTCTCCCCCACCTCTATTAACCTTGGCAAGCACTAATCTGTTCTCTATCTCTATAATGTTGTCATTTCAAGAATGTGATATCATATGGAATGTACTTAAAAAAAATTTACTCAGCAGGATCCCTTTAAGAGCCATCCAGTTTGTTGCATATATCAATAGTTCATTCCTTTTTATTGCTGAATTGTATTTCATGTTATGGATGTATCAGAATTTGTTTAACCACTCACCTGTTGAAGGATATTTGGGTTGTTTCCAGTTTTAGGCTATTACACATAAAGATGCTGTAGACATCAATATTCAGATGTTTGTATCAATGTAAGTTTCCATTTCTCGGGGATAAATGTCCAAGTGACAATTGCTGGGTTATATGGTCAAATTGTTTTCCAGAGCAGCAGTACCATTTACATCCCCACAAGCAATGCAGGAATAATCCAGTCGCTAAATCCTCGCAAGCATTTGGTGTTGTCACTATTATTTATTTTAGTAATTCTAATAGCTGTGTAGTGATATCTCATTGTTTTTAATTTGCATTTCCTTAATGACTAATGATGTTTAACATCTTTTCATGTGCTTATTTGCCATCTGCATATACTTTTCAGTGATTTTTTTTCTGTTCGTGTCTTTTGCCCATTTTCTAACTGTTTGCTTCTTTACTGCTGAGTTTTGAGAGTTCTTCATATATTCTAGACACAAATTCTTCCTCAGATATGCGGTTTGCAAATACTTTCTCCCAGTCTGCAGCTTGTCTTATTAGTGATTATAAATAATGATCAGTATGAAGAATTCAGGAAATAAAAAATATATACATGTGGAAGATTCAGAACTTGCCAAGTTCTTCTAATACCGGATGGTGTGAATAAAACTAGTTTCTGAGATGCTATAGAAATAGAACATGGAAGCTTCATTGTACTCAAACCTTTGCTTTCCCCTCCCATATCTGCATACGGTTTATGTGGACTCTTTCCTTCCATAATGTATCATTATTCTTAATAGAGAATCAATACAGTTGACTATATATCTCATACCCAAACTATCCTTTCTCAGAATATCAGGATATCTGGCTGGATGGTTCCCAGATCACCAGGCTTTTGCCCTCTTCCAGTATGACCTGAAAGGGTTCTTTCCTTCTACTTCTCAAACCCAGTTGTTCCGAATGCCTACAAAAAGCATGAATTTTACAACCTAGGAATTTAGGGTTATGACAGGGTAATCCAATGGCCTTTCAATTCTTACTTTCTTTGTTCTAAAATTTCTATCATAGTCATTATACCCTACAATATGCCTCCAGAAAGGCTTGTGAGGACCATACTTGTTCTCCTAGGTTGGGGTTGTTACTAGAATGAAGAGAAGATAGAGTTTTCTAGCACAAGGCAGATGATTCTCTTGCTATGAAATTGAATGCCTCTCTCATTCTAGCAACTATCAATTAATCACTGCAAATTAGTAAACATTTTATCTAAGTAAATCAAAGTTTGCTAAGTTGGCAATATGTACGCTGCTCTTTTGAATTTTGTATGGTTAAATTGTTTCTTAGGAAAATTTTCTGGATTCAAACATGGCATCCCTCACATCCCCTTAGAGGGAATGACTGGAAAGTTGGACTCAACTGGGATTGTCAACTAGAGTGCCAAATGGGGCCAATTCAAGGAAGGAATGTTCCAAGTGATAGGAAATAAATGATGACAGTTTCTTAAAGCCTGGGCTAGAAAACGGGCACAGTGTAATTCCACTGTACACAACTGGTGAAAGCAGTTGTACAGCCCCCTCAGATTCAAGGGGAGAGGATATAGGATCACAGCTCTCAATGGGAGGAATGTTAACAAACTTACAGCAATCTTCATTCCACCATACAATTTAGTGGTGGATTAGGAGAGAAATATTCTGAGTTCTTCCATATCTGAAAACGTCTTCAGTCTGTCATTTTTTGGAGGTGCATATACCATAATGGAGGCCCAGATACCATTTTAAGTTGGAAAATAGATTTTTCTCTCATAACCTCAAAAACAATGCTCCATCTTTTGGTGTCCTGTGCTGCCCCCATGTAAATCAGATCTGTGATCCTTTGTTAAGGCATTTTTTTCTTCTCTTGAAGCTTTTATAATCTCATCTTTATCCTTGGTGTTCTAAAAATTAAATATGTATCTGAGTTTAGATTATTGTTTGGGAACCATAAAATGACAAATATCCTTCTTCAGGTCTGGAAATGGTCTGCTACTATTTTCTTGTTAATTTGTTTTCTTTTTTTTTTTTCTCATTTTCCATGGTTTTTTTTTTTGAGATTCTGGATTGTACCTCTTTTATTGGCATCTATGCTTTATAGCTTTTCTCCCCCATATTTTTTTCTGTTTGTCTTCTTGCTCTATTTTCTGCAAGATTTTCTCAATGTTGTTTTCTAGTGTTATTGATTTAATTTCAACAATCATATTTGTATTCTCTAGTAGTACTCTCTAGCTCACTAATGGTTCCTTTATCATAGTTTTCCTAATTCTTGTTTTATGGATACAATATGTTCTCAAACACTTCTAAATATTTTCGATGAATAAAAAAAAAAAAAAAACCAAGATACGTATGTTCTCTGAATAGTTACTCTTTCTGCTGGGATCAGGTTTCTTCTTTGTTTATTTGATCTTTTAACTTTCTTGTTACTGGGTCTCCCCATAGGCCTGGCAATCACTGGTGGTCCATTCATAGTTACAAAAGGAGGGTGGGGTTGCTGTTGTGGGCTTCCTCTGCTGCTGAGAAAGAAGGACTTATTCCTCACCGAGTCTTTTCCTTGAGTGGGAATTTTGACTGGGGTATTTGTGTGGAGTACTAAAGCATGGTGGAGGGAATCAAAGGTAAAGGATGAAACTTTACAAGTTAAGATGAGAGAGTGAGAAACTCCCTCAATTGGCAGAGTAAGAAGAGCTCTACTCCCTTTTCTCTGGAATATCAATATCCACACTAAAAGCCTGAGTTTTCCCAAGTGGATCCATTCTGATTTTGTATGGAAGAGCCATTTTGTTGTTGTGGTTGTTGCTGTTTGTTGTGGTTGTTTTCCTAGGCACCTGCCAGATAATTCTATTCTGGGAACAGAAATTGGGGAGAGGAATGGAGGCAATTTCAATTAATCCCTGTTTACATCCACATTTCTTACTCATACCTCTATGGACCTTGCTGACTATCAGCCCAGAATTTCTCTCCTCTGTTAAGGATTTATCCATTTAAAATATCTCATAAGGGATGGAAGGTAAGCACATATTCCAAGTATACTATCTCTAAATAAAAGTTCTTGATAATCTTCTATATTTACCCTCAACTTAGACATGATAACACCCCTTGCTTTCAGAGCTACAAATGTCAAAGGATCATCAGAAGATAATGTGATGTAATAGAAATGACAATAAGGTGATAATATATTTGGGTGATGGGGGGACTTCATTTTGAAAATACCTTTTCTCATATAGCATTTATAACTTATTTTTCATTTTGCACATTAAAAACAACAGATGGATGGATGGGGCGCAGTGGCTCACGCCTGTAATCCCAGTGCTTTGGGAGACCAAGGCAGGCAGATCATTTGAGGTCAAGAGTTCGAGACCAGCCTGGCCAACATGGTGAAAAGTCATCTCTATTAAAACTACAAAAAGTATTCTGGCGTGGTGGTGGATGCCTGTAATCCCAGCTACACAGGAGGCTAAGGAAGAAGAATCACTTGAACCTGGGAGGTGGAGTTTGCAGTGAGCTGAGATAGTGCCACTGCACTCCAGCCTGGGCAACAGAGCCAGACTCCTCTGTCTTAAAAAAAAAAAAAAACAGATGGATGATTCCCTATGGTAGGCCGAAAATATGGAAATTCCACCAATATTTTGACATTCTTGTTTGTTTTGCAAATGTACCAGAATGATAATAAAAGAGCTAGAAAAGCCAAAGTTAGCAGCAAGAGCACTGAACCAAAACTGCATATAGATGATCTATGCAAACAATGATACTGATTGGCCATTTCATCCACTTGTGTCAAGTTGTTGGTAATGTGTAGACACAGCATTATCAATGCAACACAGGTAAACCTCTGCATGTAGAATCCTAGTGTAAGGACTCTAATGTCACACAGGATTTGAGAAAACATCATTTTTAAATCTCCTATACAGGTGCTAAAACACCTGTCTGTTGTTATTGTACTTTTAAAACATTGTTTTACTCATAAAATAATGTAATCTTTAATTATTACAAACATCTTTCTTTAAGACAATCTTCTATGAGGGTCCCAATATAAATAAAATCCATTCAAGCATAACTTCAACTTACATGTTTTAATATCTTATATTATTGTATTCAATCATGTATGAAAGTGTGACAAAAACAAAATTATTAAATAAATATAATATGTTCACACATAACGTTTGAACAGATTAGTTTTAAAGATATTTTTAAAACTTTGAGAGGGCAAGTTAAAATCAGCTGTTTTTATATCAAAAGAGATCTGGTTTCATTTCAACTAAGTATTTGAATGATGAATATTATGAAATTTGGAAAACAGTTAATTACACCTTACATGAATCAATTAAAGCAATATTTACTAGAATCTCACTATTAATCTGTCAAAATCCTTCACTGCTAAAACATGATTAATATGATATTTAAATGTCAGGCAAAGTTCAAACACAAAGTTAATTGTGAGCATTAGTGGTACACTAAGGTCAAACTATAATTTGCAATTTGTAATGAGCTGGGACTCTTATCAAAATATTTCATCTGATATCATTCTCAAAAGCAGTCATCAAGAAAAATAGACATACAATCCACTGCAATGTTTGTGAGATGGAAGAAACAATTAGAGACAGAGAACTCCCTACAGCTAGGTAGTTAAAGGCTGCAAAATTGATCACATTCAAATTCCTCCAACATGCAAATACCATCTAGGCATGTGGTCAAGAAATTACAAGGAAACTGAGCAAACTAAAATTAAACTTCGGCACCCACTGAGACACAACACATCAATAATACTATAATAACTATAGCCTTTTTCCTCATTTGACAAGATTAACTGAACTTCCTGATACTATGAGAGTCAAGTGCAGGGAGTACAAATGAAGAGACTCTCTGAGGTACCAGCAGAATTCTGAAAATAAGTTTAATAAAATCAGTACAGAGTAGAAGACACAAGGTATAGGTAAAAATTACCCTAAGGTAATAGAAAGCCTCTCCAGCCCAGAGGGATAAGTAAGCCTGCCTATTACCCAGTCAAAGGTGTAAAGATCCCAGGAGAACGAATGTGTTAACTGATGAGGATGATCAGAAAAAAGAGCGAAGAAAACAATCAGACTGACCAAGTTTCCCAGAGTTTTATCCAACAAATTCCTCAAATAAAGAGATGAGGAATTTGGGAGAGTTTGGCTACCTTTCACCTTTCACTAAAGATCTGTCTGTTTTAAGGCAGAGGTTCTTCAGAATTCTCTAGAGCTTAGATGAGTGCTTCAAATCTTAAGCTTTGAGTTCTTGAAGGCCTGTCAGAGGCTATAATGAGAAGGGGAGTTATGGGATGGGATATGAAGAGACTAGAGTAGTTTTGCTTTCATTTGTTATATACTTAATCAAGGGTAATTTTTAAAATGGAAAATTTACCAACTTATTTGAAATGTTTCCACCACCCTGATCACAGGTTCTCCACACATGTGCCAGATACTAAGTCAGTTTCCACTGCATCCTGACTCTGGAAATCATCCTGATGAACTGTCTTAAGCATTTAAGTCACTCGAAAGCAAGATTTCTTTTGGAATTACCACACTTGTAGTCTGTTTTGTTTTAATTGGCTCTTGTGAGTCTGGTGGGGATGAGCCAGTGTCCATGAGACTGAAAACCTTGGGGAATGTGGGTAAAACCAAATTCTCAAACTGTACATCCTGGGACCATGGTAATGCTGCCATGCAGGTAATGCTTCCTTATATGTTCTCTGAGGATCCAGAACATCCTCTAGTTGACATAGATATTGTCACTAGAACCCTCAAGCCATGAATACCATTTGAGAGGATTTTTCTGCTAGCATTATTGTTATTATTGTTACTGTTCTTAGTTTATGTTAGCATTTAGTTCATTGTTCACTTAATCAAAATAACTTGGTTGTGTTCTGGCTCTAAAACTGTTATTACTAATAATTTGCTTGCCCTGACTTTTCTTAACTGTTAAGTGGAGATAATATTTACCGATATTCTCTCAATTTTAGAGATTTTTGCCATACAATGGTCAAATAATGTATTTCTTATCACATAGTATATAAATTATAAAGCTATCTGTTTATGAATTATTTACATATTTATTTATATAATCAAAATATCATCAAAATATCCCTGCTGCATAAAGCCAGGAGTCATACAAAAACCTTCTGATTATCTAAACTACAAAGTACTACACGAATAAAAATTGTAATTGCCATTAAAATTTTAGTGTTCTTAATATTATAAATTTCAGATAGATTTTTTTTTTTGAGATAGGGTCTCACTCTGTTGCCCAGGCTGGAGTGCAGTGGTGTGATCACAGCTTCCTGCAGCCTCGATCTCCTGGGCTCACACAACCTTCCCACCTTAGCCTCCTGGGTGGCTGGGACTACAGTTGGGTGTCATCACACCCATCTAATTTTTAAATGTTTTGTAGAAATGGGGTCTTACTATGCTGCCCAGGCTGCTCTAGAACTCCTGGGCTCAAGTAATCCTCCTACCTTGGCCTCCCAAAGTGCTGGAATTACAGACATGAGACACTCTACCTGGCTGATTTAACGTCATTAATTCCAAATCCAGTGTTCTTTCTCCACCCCATTGAATGTATATCTAATTTTATCATAGGATATTTCACTTAAAACAAATTTTTTTAAAAAGTAGTTATTTAACAGACAGATATACCACTTTGTATATTCTCACCTAGTACCTATTGATAAGTTTTATAAAGAAAGCAATGAATCATTGCCAAAGATCATGGATTCTCTGAATGAAAGGTCAAGAAACAGAGAGAATGATGCATCCCAATATAGCTCAGTGGAGACTAGAGGCACACTGTCTAGATTTGAATGCTTGGTTTCACCATGTATTATCTTAGTGATCTTATACAGGTCACATAAGCTTCTATAAAAGAGAAAATAATATCCTAACTTCATAGGGTTGCCATGAGAATTATTTAATTCTCTTTTGGAGTGCAATGGCATAATCATAGCTCACTGCAGCCTTGAACTCCTGGGCTCAAGTGATCCTCCCCCGCTCAGCCTCCTGATGTACCATCACGCCTGGCTAATTTTTATTTTTATATTTTTGTAGAAATAGGGTTTTTCTGTGTTTCCCAGGCTGGTCTGAAACTCCTGGACTCAAATGATCCTTCTGTCTTGGCCTCGCAAAGTGCTGTGATTAAAGGCATGAAACAACACACCTAGCCTGTTTAATTCTCATAAAGCACTTAGGTCATTGACTATCACTGAGTAATAACTGGATAAATGTCAGTCAATGATTGCTATGGTCCAAAGTTTCCACTCTCACCTCATTGCAAAATAGATCTTCTGATGAGAAACTCAACATTATCCCTAGAATTAAAGCAATATCATGGCCCAAAAAATTTGACCACAGCTGAATAAAATAGCGTCTTCAGTCACCCAACCCCCTTCAAGGAAGGCAAAGCTGTCCAGTTTCTATATGAGGCATGTGCTTCTGGTTGTGTACTCAGTGGCTGACCCTAACTGGGCATGATTTTTCTGTTACTGTATGCTATGTGGACGGTTTATTTATTTAACTTTTAGAAATAAATCCACTAATAAAATAACAGCATTTGGGAATAAAAATAAAAGGTAGATTTTGAAATCTCAGGGTAGATGTACAAAGAAAAACAAAACTACTCTCACTTATCACATCAAAGCTATTAAATAAATGTAGCTAAATCTAATTCAATCTGTCCCAGGTTGCTATAAGATCCAATATATGTTACAGCTACTAAGTTATGAACTACTCAGGAGCCCACCCAAAAGGCAGTCACTTTTATCCTCAGAAGGATTGGAGTATGTGAATTTACTGCTCCAGATTCAAAGAGCTTGTGCCTATATTCCTATTTTGGAGGCCATCACTTCAGTGGTTCACTCTGTTGGTTTCCAAGATGGTGGTTCGATTAAGATTCCCCCCTGCCTTATTACAGGTATGCAAATTGATCCACCCAGAATGGCTGTCTGACACACACCCAGGAAGAATTGTTTCATCCTTATGCTATCTTTCCTATAGGAGAAAATAATAGAAGAAAACCATATACAGTGTTTGTTATTAGCAATCATACATCTCCTATTGTTACATAAAGTAGCTCTCGGAAATTATTAAGGAATTTGTGTTGACCTATATGTAAACTTAAGGTCCAAATTAATTACACAGAGAGAACAAACACAAGCATACCTTGCAAGGATGCCAGTTTGGGAAACTACTTAAATCTAGCATATATATCACTAATCTGTGTAACAACTAGTCCAACATCTGTTGATCTCATGCAATCAGAATTTGCATCTGCCTCAATTAAGCAGATAATAAATCTACATAGTTTGTCACTTACTGTGTTCCTGTAAGGGTGTCACAATCATAAACGACCAAGATTAGTTTCTATTCTGGGGAAGTCTAGTCTCCTATAATTGAACAGTTACTGAAAGAATCTGATTCCTTTTATGAGGTTTTGATTTTGATGACAATTACCCCTTCAGGAGAGAGTAAAGAATGCAAGTTTATTCTTTGAAAAGAGGATCTTCTGTTCTAAATGGGTCTTCAATTCAGACTAAATGCTGAAGATTGCTCTTCATAATCAATCATTCTTTCTAGCTTCAGAATGCATGGAAACAGAATTAGCGGCTGGAACACTGGTGAACAAAGGAATATGAGGCAAAGAGCAGAAACTAATTTCAGAAAGGCCAGGTTTTTTTTTTAAGCCATGGGCCCCTTGGTCAAGAGTAACTAGCTACCCTAGTCCCTCCACACAGACCTAACCTCCTGCCAGTTCTCAAGGGGCTCATCTGAGTCTGAGCCTAGAAGGCATTTTCACATTTTAGCGTAAATTATGCTTACATCTCCCATGCGGTTTAGGAAAGACTTAATTGTCACTGTCATCTTATAAATATATATCAGTGATGATACATAGATATGATCTTAAATGCCAAAGCCAATCCAAAGATAGTGACTGACTGACTCAGAAAAGATTCTGAAGACAACTCTTGACTCAATGTGAAAAAGTGTAAGGTGATTGATGTGCACTAACTGGCAAGGATATAGGAGAGGGAAAAGGATGACATTTATATCATATTATTTGGCCTCTGTATTTTATAATGCATAATTGGGCTTTATTTTCATAGACGCATAGACTTTTAACACTAAAAGTGATTCCAGGAAACAACTAGTTTAATCCCTTGAAGCAAAAGCATTTTCCCATAATAGCTATTTATTTTAACATTCATTCACTCATGAGGCATCTATTAAGCTCAAATCTTTTGATAGACACTATACTAGGAAAACCATATTTCCCTGCTTTCCTATTTCTTTCAAGAGCAACAATTTTATCTAATGTCCCAAATTCCATAGTCCTTGCTAACATCAAGCTGCTGTTGCCAGTTGCTTCTAGGATCTCAGTATCTGATTGTTTCAGCTGCCTCCTTCTCTGAACCACTGCTAACAGGCTCTCACCTTTTGCGTCTACTTTTCTCTCTCTTTCTAAAATTCCATTATAATCATGTAAGCACTTGAAGATCCCCCTTCTTTTACCTAGCCAAGCAAACCACTCTAAGAATTCCCTTTCCATCACTGACTTCATCAGTTTCTTTCCCTCTGCTGAATCATTCACATATATTCATATATCTGCTGGATATATCAGCACACAAATATGCTCGCTTGAGAGCATTTCTATCATATTTCTGACTTCCCCACTTTCCCTCCTCCCATTTTCTCTTGAACCTACTTGTATTAGTCAGTTTTCACTCTGCTATAAAGAATTTCCCTGAGACTGAGTAATTTATCAAGGAAAGGGGTTTAATTGAATCACAGTTCTACATGGCTGGGGAGGCCTCAGGAAGCTTACAATCATGGCAGAAAGGGAAGCACGCACCTTCTTCACATGGTGGCAGGAGAGAGAAGAGCGAAGGAGAAACTTCCAAACACTTATAAAACCATTAGAACTTGTAAGAATTCACTCATTATCATGAGAACAGCATGGGGGAAATCACCCTCATTATCCAAACACCTTCCTTCCTGGACATGTCAGGATTACAATTCAAGATGAAATTTGGGTGGGGACACAGACCTAAACTATTCCACTTTGGTTTTTGCTCCTACCATTCCATCAGAATTGCTAGGGTCAGCACCATTTGACACAGCTGATCACTCTCTCCTTGATATGTGCATGTCACTGGACTTTGGAAATACAAAAACTTTCTTAATTCTCTTGCCTCATCAGCTGTACCTTCTCAGTCTCCTTTACTGATTTTTCTGCCTCTCTCGAACATCTAAATGTTCAAATTCCCCAGGGCTCAGACCTCACACTTTTTTTCATGTACACTCACTCCCTAGTAAATCTCTTCCATTCTCATGTGTTTGAATACCACTGACGTGTACGTATGTACACATATAGACATGTATGTACACATATAGACATGCATGTATGTCTGTGCATACATACTTATATATATGCATGTGTGTGTGTGTGTATGTGTGGGTGTATTCAATCCAAACTTCTCTAAATTTCAAACTGACATCCTACTGCCTACCTGTTATCTCCACTTGGCTGTGTCATAAGCATCTAAAACAACATCCCAAACCAAAAGCCTGATTCCCCGACTTTCTACCATTTCTCGTCTTCTAACTCTTCCCAAATGCAATTAATAGTATCTCCATCCTTCCGGGTTAAAAACATTATTGATTCCTCTCTTTGTCTCTTACCCACATCTAATTTATCAAGTCTTGTTAGTTCTTCCTTCAAAATATATCTAGAATCCAACTACTTCTCACCATTTCCACCACTACTGGTCTGAGCTATAACCATGTATCTTCTACTACTACAATAGCCTCCAAATGCTTTTTCCTATTTTATCTCTTGCCCCTCCCCATTCTCTATTTTCAACATGATGCCAATGTGAGCCCTCTGCCATGTCAAATTGTTATATTCCTTTGCTCACATCCACCAAGGGATGTAAGACCCTACATACTATGACTCCCCCAATACTTCTATGAGGTAAAGTCCTACCATCAACCTCAACTGCTCTACTCTTGATCACACTGACTGCCTTGCTATTCTTTGAGCATACCAAGAATGCTACTGGCTCAGGGACTCTGTACTAAGATTGCTCTGCCTAAGATTGCTCTTCCCCCAGATATCTTCATGGTTCCCTCCCTCATTACCTTCAAGTCTCTGGTCAAATGTTGTATTAGAAAAATCTTCCCTGACAATTATATAAAAGAAACTGTTCCTAGGCTCCTAGCCACCTCCTATCCCTCTTAACCTTATCTTTCTCCATGATACTTATATATATGGCCACACACGTGCACACACACACACACAATGTTGCTGCTATTGTTTATTCTTCTGGCTCCTCTCTTACCTGCCCCCTATTAAAAAAAAAAATCTGTAATTTTCATGCTGACAGGAACCTTAGTCAAATGGATTCACTGCTGTATCCTCAGTGCCTAGAATACTATGTGGCACATAGTCGACACTCAAAACTATTTGTTGTATGAGTAGTGAGGGGGAAGTAATTGTGTGAGAAGGTTCAGCAAAGTTACAATGGAAAGATACAATATGGGCTAGTCTTGAGTTATAAAGAATGAATTAGGTATTTCCAGAAATTGAATAGGAAATTCTAAACAAAAGCAGGAATATGAATGGATTCTGTGCCACTTTGAGTCATCTCAGTGTCAGTTATTCATGAAGACATCCCCTGACTAACTTACATTGATTGTTTTCAAATTTAAATTTTGTGTCCTATATGGTCCACAGGTCACAGTCAGTATTTGCTTCATATCATTTTACAATTTTGGGGGCTGTTCTATTAATACAATCAGTATGTATTTATTGTTTTTCTACTATGTGCTGCCATAACGATATGCTGGTATTATCTTCTCTCTAAAAGCGATTTAAAAACTTGGTTTTCTGGCCTTATCAGATTGTTCTAGAAAAGATTTTGCCCACATCTAACTTCACTGTTGCAAACCATTTCTTCAGTTAAGCCAAAATGTTCCTATTATTTGGTAAAAGCTATAATTGCAATGATTTCACTCAACACTATATTAGTAAGCCAAATTAATTGTGGATTCAGTTCAGAACATATATGCATTTTTTTCTGAGTGTATTTTTTATTTTAGCTTTGATCTTAACAATTTCTCTAAGACCATAAATTCTGTGAGGGCAGAAATTGTATTGCTCAGGTCACCTATCATAGCCCCTCATACATAACAGGCACATAAAAAAATGCCAATAATGATGACCCATGGCATGAAGCACAGGTATACAAGAACACCTTGCAGTTGAAATATTCCCATTTTAAGTTGTTAATATGAGAAAATTTTAAATTTTGACATACTGAAAATGTATATGTTATATATGGCTTTAATCATTTATTTTTTGTTTTTGTTTTCAGTCTGTCTTCAACAAAATGGATAAAAAAAGGAAGTTAATCTTTGGCAACACCATAAGCACAGTCTAAAGGCTCACAAAGCCACTCCCACTTATTTTCATATTCTACTTTGGAAAATGGATTTTGGGTTCTCTGAGTAGAAGCTGAAAAATAAATGCTGTGGTTTTGAGAACAGAACAAAAGCACTGAAGAGAAATTCAACAAAGGCTCTGAACCTTGTTTGTGTTCTGTAACACTGCTTCAAGGCAACATTTTTATTTTTAAATGTATGCCCTCATTTACACAGGAAATTAAGAAACAAACTCTCCGTGTCAGTGTCCCTGCTACTAAACAACCTAGCCATCAGCTGATTTACAATTGAGTCCTAATTGAACAGTTATGGTTTCAACTATATCAGCATATCTGCAAGTTCCTTAGATAAATATTCCAAGCATTTCCCATAGATTTTACAGGCAAAGTAAAAAGTAAAGAGAAACCTAGAGCAGGTAACATTTTGTAGACTACTTGGCATATCATTCTGCTTCCTTTCTTAGTTATATCTCATTTCTAATACATATTTTCAAAGACTTGCTATTTAAAATATAAATGCTTTCATTAACAAATGTTAAGAAACCAAATAAGAGGTTTTAGAGAAGTCACAGAGTCTTACATCTTTAGTAATGTAACTCAAAATTTGGTTTAACAATTATTTTCATGGAGATAGATCTTAACATCATGTTTAATCATTTTAATGGTTTTCGTCATTCACAGATTAGTATATTCATTTGGATGCCTTCAGACTAGATAAAGACAGGTAATCAAGCAGTACATCCTAACAGGTATAAGCAGGCAAACATGGATAGTTTCCATTAAAACTATGGAGATTTTATAATTTGACTCATTAGCATGCTTTTCTCAAAAAGCCTCTTACTACTGATCACAGTTTACGAAATTGTTGCGCTACAGGGAATGTATAGATCCAGGCCAAACAACTATTTTGCACAGAAAGAAACTGGGGTTTGTGGACATTTGATGAGATTCTGAAGGTCAAAGAACAAGCTAGGTCCTCCATCCAGGTACTTTGGAAGAAATCAGATAACTGAAGCTCATGCTAGTGTGAAAGGTAAGCTCAGTGAGCATAAAGGAAGCACAGAGTTACAATCATAGGTCATGTTTTGGCCGGAGAAAGGACATTCATGGTCTCAAGACTACAAACGTGGCAAAGTTTCAACTGAAGACAAGTTTGAGGTATAGCCTCAAAGTTTACTGCTTAATGAGGCCATCAGAGCTGGACAAAAAAAAAAAGGTCAAGATACAGACCCAGGTGTTGAAAGTGTCCCCAGCATGCGATGAGTCAGGTCCATTATCACTGTGGAAACCAAGGGAGTACTCCTGAGATCAGTAGATGAGAGTAATCCTTGGCAAAGGGCTGTAGAAGTGAGTGGCACTGACGAGAGGGTAGAGATGTGATAACAGGCAATGATTATGGAAAGAAAAAAAGTACCCACTAAATTTTAAAATATATGGTTCTAGTTGCCAGTGGAAAGAGAGAAAATCATGTGCTAGATTAATCATGTTGAATTATGAAGACTAAATTTTAGACAGACTGCCATTTGCTGAGAGCAGTATTCATTACTATCTGATTCAGTAACGCTTATAACTAAGTGGTCAGACTATATACCTAGAGAAATATTGCTCATGTCATTCTAAAGCCACATGCACCCAAACTGGACAGGTAGCTGTGTTATTATTAAAGAAAAAAGTACCCAAAAATGCATGCACAACAGATAGTTTCCTTCAGGAATGCAGTGCATTTGAAAAACAATTTTCTGAAGAAAAGAGTCCCCTTACTATGTCATTACTCTGAAATGAAGTCTAAGGGGGAGGGAGGCAATAAATGGAGAGCCTGTGGCCTTCTTTTCTGGACCAGGATCATTTCTTATAGCTGAGTAATCATACCCTTAGCCAATATGATGTGAGAGTTTGCAGCTTTGCTACTGGGCAAGGAACGAATTCTGAAACCATGCTGCACTGAAGACGGCAACAACTGACAAGAGTGTCAGTGAGTGTTTTCTCTATATGAGTGAATAAACAAATGAAAACAAATAAATTACTCATTTACTTGTGTGATTTTGATAGGCTATGAATCAATTCTCACCAGGAAGAAAATGTGCCTTGGGTGGGGAAGGGTATGCCCTAAGCTAGAAATTGCTATGGCTCTGGTAGGAGAGCGAGCACAAAATTCTTATGACATTGCCATTTCCTGCCATCCTGTATTTCTCTCTGGGACTTCACAGCTGGGCAGCATATTACTGGAGCCCACTTTTCCAGAACCATTTCTACTCATGTGTGGAAGGCAAGAGAAGGTAAGTATGTCCATTTTCATCCCCCTGTCTATATTGAGTAACAGATATTTATGGAGTTCGAGTGGGAAAAAAGGTACAGGGAGAGAGAATTCTATTAGTTGAGGAGCTGAAATGTAATGCAGATCAAAGGTACAGGGATAAAATAAATTTCTATGGCTATTTCAGGTAAAATTTGATATGGCTAATTTTCATATGCACCATTTCTGATGAGATGTCCAAGCACGAGTTTTCAGAGTAACAATGCAATTATTTCCATTATCATTTTGAATTTATATTGTTATTCTTCCTTTAAGGAGTTTGAGTACCTCATACAATGTTGCAATTACTTTCAGAAATGACTCACTATAGTGCGAACAGTATTTCATAATAATGCAGCCAATAAAATAAAAACAAATATAAATTTCACCTAGGCAAATAAACATGAATGCATTCAGTTCCTCTACATTATACTTTTTCAATTTACAATGAAATAATTCACATATAGTAATATTTATATATGATATTAACATAGGGGCAAATGAAACATAGTTGATAAAGACACAATCCTGACTTTTAAAAAAATTTAAACCAACCTTAACAGAAATTATGTTTTAGAAGGCCAATAAATATAGATTTAGAGCGACTATTTATACATTACATATGTGGTAGCTATTCTGGAGTTTTAGGTAAGTTAGGGTGGACACATGTTTATAGGATCACAGAACAGAAATTTCAGAGATGAATGGGTCCAATCACTTTAGCTTACAGATTTATTAGTAAAGGCTTTAGCCCCTAACTTGCCGATGAGGAAATGAAAGCTGAGAGGGTTCACTGTATCTTATTTTTTCAGAACTTGTTCAAGCTTGTTGGGAGTTAGAAAATAACGAACATCCTAAATTATTGTAAGAAAATTTGCAATTAGGAAGAGGAAGGGCTTCCATATAGCTTATGTGCACTGCAGCTTTCATTCATTCAGCACAATTGTACTGCATACCTGACGTATTATACATTGCACTAGGTACAAGAACTATAGCAGTGAGCTAGATTGGTATGATTCCTAAATTCATGAACCCCACAATCCACTGAGAGAAACAAACAAGGAGAGAGGGCCTTAGAAGACCCCTAGATAAAGATTATATAAGGGAAAAGTACCTAAGGACAGATGAGGCTGTTGTGGTAAACATGTGTGAGACTGCAAAAGACCTTATAAGCCACGATAATAACTTCAGTATTAGTACTAAGAGCAATTGAGAACCACTTAAGAGTTTTATGTAAGAGGTAGACATGAGCAAATCATATTTTATAAATATGTTTCTGACTGAAGGAGGCAAGTCAAGGCAGGCAGGCTGGCCAATGAAAAGGCTTCTACAACACTTTAAGGCAGAACATGAAGTCTTGCACAAGGAAAGTAGCAATAAGGACAGAAAGAAACAGGCTTACTTTTCGAGGTAAGACTGAAAGAATTGGGTGACTGCCTGGATGGGAGGTGTGAGGGAGATGAAAACGGAAGGAGGGTGTGCAAGTTTCTGTTTTAGTAAGTGGGTGAACAGGAAGCCATTCAACATAAAAAGGAACACAGAAGGAGGAGAAGAGGAGGATTTGAGTGCAAGCAGGTTATGTTCACAGGCATCACTCCAAACTAACTCCTCCCACATACAAACTCCCATATATGCCCCTTGCCTACAAGTGGAAAAAATCATTCATTTTACAGTGAAGTAGAATGATTCCCTGTAACTTAGGCAATATTATAGAGTAAAATCTTAATTATGTATATCTTTTATTCGTTTAGTTTATCTGTGGTATATCTTGATTAAACATTAAGTAGACTGCTTATTTTTTTTTTCTTTTTTAAAAAACAAGTCTGGTTTACCACCTCATATAGCTTTCATCTTACCAAGAAAATTCTTTGAAAGACAAACATGTAAAAAGTTCCCTCATATCAAGGAGGTCTTGACCTAGGGGTCAAGTCAGGAAAACTGGACATATTTCCAGCTTCTCAAGTCATATATTCACAGCAAAACTTCATTATTTTGCTGGCAATTACTTTTCAGAAAAGTAGGCATATCCATAATCAAATATAAGTACAAACAGGCCAGGTGTGGTGCCTCACGCCTATAATCCCAACACTTTGGGAGGCCGAGGGAGGCAGATCACTTGAGGCCGGGAGTTTGAGACCAGTCTGGACAACATGGCAAAACCCCAAAAATACAAAAATTAGCCAGGCATTGTGGCGCATGCCTGTAATCACAGCTACTCAGAAGGCTGAGGCACGAAAATTGCTTGAACCTGGGAGGCAGAGGTTGCAGTGAGCCGAGATTGCATCATTGCACTCCAGCTTTGGCAGGAGAGTGAGACTCTGTGTCAAAAGAAAAAAAAATTGTGTGTGTATATATATATACACACACACATACACACACACTTATGTATGTACAAATTACATTTTAAATGCAAATATAAATGACTCCTGGATTAATCTTTGAATCACTGAACTCTGTTTTTATCATAAGTTGACTATTTAAAAGGCTTTTGGAATGATTTCTTGGATATGAAATGAAAAGCACAGACAACAAAAGCAAAAACAGACAAATGGAACTACATCAAACTTTAAAACTTTTGTGCATCAAAGGACACAGTCAACAGAGTGAAAGGTAATCTATGGAATGGGAAAAAAAATCATATATTTGATGAGGGGCTAATATAAAGAATATTCAAAAACCTCTTATATGCAACAACAACAAAAAACCAAATAAGCCATCTAAAAATTGGCAAAGGACTTGAATAGATATTTCTGCAAATATGACATACAAATGGCCAACAAGCTTGTGAAAATGCAAATCAAAACCACAGTGAGATATCATCCCACACCCACCCATTAGGATCACACCTATCAAACAAAAGAAAACACAAAAATAATAAGTGTTGTCAAAGATGTGGAGAATTGGAGCCCTGGTGCCCTGTTGGTGGCACTGTAAAATGGTGCATCCTCTATGGAATACAGTAAGGAGGTTCCTCAAAAAATTAAGATTAAAATTACCATATGATTCAGCAATGCCATCTCTGGGTATATACACAAAGGAATGAAAACCAAAGTCTTAAAGAGATATTTTCACACCCATGTTCACAGCAGCAATAGTCACAATAGCCAAGAGACAGAAGCAACCCAAATGTCCATTACCAGAAGAATGGACAAACAAATGTGATATGTACGTACAATGAAATCTTATTCAGCTTTAAAAAGGAAGGATAGCCTATCATGTAATAAAACATAGATGAACTTTGAAAACGTTATGCTGAGTGAAATAAGTCAGTCACAAGAAGACAAATACTGTATGATTCCATTTAAATGAGGTATCTAAACTAGTTAATATCATAGATACAGCAAGTAGAATGGTGGTTACCAGTGGCAAGAGACAGGAGGAAAGAGGGAGCTTTTTTAAAATGGGCATAGAGTTTTAGATTTGCAAAATGAAAAAGTTCTGCAGACCTGTTTTAAAACAACGTGAATATACTTAACACTACTAAAAAGTATACTTGCAAATGGTTAAGAGGGTAAATTTTGCTGTGTTTTTCACCACAATAGAAAAAAGGGCCACTTATTGTTTGAGTCTATCTACATGAAATGTCCAAGACAGGCAAATCAGTAGAGACAGAAAGTAGATTGGCAGTTGCTTAGAGCTGAGGAAACTGGCGGTAAATGGAGAGTGAATGCTAATAGGTAGAGGGTTTCTTTAGGGGGTAATGAAAATATTCTTGTATTAAATATTGCGGACAGTCCCAGAACTCTGTGAATATATTAAGACCACTGAATTGAATGATTTAAAAAAAAAACTTTTCGATGCTAGTGATTGACACACTTGTGTTGCCTTTTATATAGCCTCTCTCAAACACCAAAGACTCTTAAGCAATTCCCCACTTCAAACACTCTTAAGAAATATTATAAAGTAGTTCCTTCAGATATCTCAACAACTATTTTCTTAGATCCAATGCATTCAACTCCCTAGGAATCCTCAGACAACAAACTAAAATGTAGCACTAATAATGTTATGCTAAGAACAATGGCATAATGCCAGAAAATTTCAAGGATAAAAATATGAAATTCTCTTGCCTGAGATTTAGTGTGCATTGCAAAAAACAACTATATGTATCAGCCAGCTTGAGTAAGATGTTTTGACATCTTATCTCAACATCTAAAATTAAAACTACGTCTTCACTTTGCACTAAAAGCCTTGTGTTTCATCTAGGTTAAACTCAGATAAGAATATAGAATGAAGATTAGCTACATGGATGTTACTTGAATATTGTCTTCCTTCCCTGTCAAACTTGAAAAAAAGTCCAGTAATTATATATATAATAATTTATATATAAATTAATATATTTATATTTTTATATGATATATATTTTTATATATTTATATTTTATATAATATATATTTTACATTATATTTCAGATAATTATATATAATAAATATATATATTTATGTAGTTTATACTATATATTTTATAATATATATTTTATGTATTTTATATTATATATGTATATATTATATATTATAATATATAGTATATATAATATATAATACATACATATACATATATGTATATATGTACTATATATTATATATAATATATACATATATATAATGCATATATATTATGTGCATATATACATATATTAAACATATATAATATATAAATTATATTTCTATATTATATATAATTTTATATATATTTATATATAAAATATATATATTATATATATTATATAAATATAGTTTATATATGCATATATAATATATACTATATAATATATAATATATACTATATATTATATATAATATATAGTATATATTATATATAATATATATTATATAATATATTACATATAATATATATTATATATAATATATATTATATATAATTATATATATATTTATATATACTAATATATATTACATATATGATATATAATTATATGTATAATTATATATACTAATATATATTACATATATTATATATAAACATTATAGTCATTATACTCAACAGAACTTCATATTGCATTTTTTAATATATGTGCCTTTATTTATTTATTTATTTATTTATTGAGAAAGAGTCTCGCTCTGTTGCTGGAGTGCAGTGCTGTGACCAGGGCTCACTGCAGCCTCAACCTCCTGGGCTGAATCAATCCTCCTGCCTCAGCTGCCTGAGTAGCTGGGACCACAGGTACATACCACCATGCCTGGCTCGTATTGTTTTTTTAGAAATGGGGTCTCATCATGTTGCCCAGGCTGTTCTCACACTCCTAGGCTCAAGTGATCCTCTTGCCTGGGCCTCCCAAAGTACTGGGATTACAGATGTGAGCCACTGCGCCCAGCCTTGTTATTTTTAACTCCATGGTCATTACTTACTTTCCAGTAATGTCAAAAGTCTAGGATAACATAATAGATTATTATGTGGGTTAGCTGGAAGGAGGGTAATGTATACTGTACCACAATCTTGTGCCTTGAAAGTCAACTACCACAGGATCAGTGACTGAAAAACAGGAGGCTTAGATACCCCACTCCCAGATATGGAAATTGTCTGACATCCTCTTCGTTGTCCTTTCTTTTTACTCCCCTTCAGTTTACCTTTACTTGCCTTTATCTTAAGGGACACAATCCCTTCTTTACCAGCAGGTAGAGGTTTCCTTGGTTTTGACCCTTTGTGTTATGTTCACTGTCATTCTCTCTCCCTAAGAAACCCAGCTAAGGGCCCAGCCCTCATTAAGCCAGGCTCACAAAGATCCAGACAAGTCTCCTAAAAGGCAGATGACCGTGGTAGGAGCCATCAGAAGAAGAGAAACTACAGAGACAATGTCAGAGAAAATACCCATTCAGCAGAAAGAAAGACTCCTAACTTTATAAAAATAAATCATTTTGAATTATATACATAGGCTTACTTTCCCAAAGCAACAAACCTACTTAACAACACTTTTTGGACAAACTGTTAGTCATCTTGGAAAATGAAAGCAATGGATATATTTAGTGCATTTGGGCTCTAATATACATTATCAATCACTTGCAAGTTACAGCTCTTCTTAAACTGTGTTTGCTTTTCTATTTTTCAGTTCTAAGGCAGCATCATTATTCTACTATTATTTGAACCCAGGTTATTTTTCAGAAGGAGGAGGAATGTAATAATTTCCTATACATATATTGTTCTGAAAGGTAGCAAGACAAGTTTCAGTGAGGCAGAGCCACCCCAGGTGTTCATTAAAATCACCTGGCAGCATGGTGGGACACAGTGTTAATAGAACTCAGTATTAATGGGACAAGTGTTAGCGGCTCTGTGGCGCAAGTGTTAATACTGATTGCAAATTGTGCTTGATGATATACATAGGAACCTCTGGATCCTTCACTTACAAATAGCATGAAATGGTGGATGAAAAGTAATGCCCTAAAACACAGGACAGTTTCTAAAGAAAAGAAACATTTTCCTTGTTCAAACTAGAATTTAACTCTCGGCTGTTCTGTGGTTAAGATCTACAACGTAGAAACATTTCAACAGTAACTAACACATGTGGCGCTTTGTGTGTAGCAGCCACTGTTCTAAGTATTTTGCATAAACTCATTTAATACTCAACCCCTACAATGCCAACAGACAGCTAACAGAATTGTTCCCATTTCTCGTATAAAGAAACTGAGGCTCAGAGTTAAATGATTTGCCCAATACCAAATAGGTAGTAAAAGGATAAACCAAAATTTGGATGACATACTTTGGCTAGAGTCCATACCTCTAACCACTGGAAATTGTGTGTCTTTTTATTATTATTATTATTATTATTATTATTATTATTATTATTATTATTATTACAAGCATCAGTATTTTTTATGAATACTCATTTCACAATGGCATTGATTTAAAAAAAATCCTACACCTACATTTGCAATGGTTCAATCTTTCTAATAACCTAAATCAGTTAATTAAGACAAATTGTCGACTGAGTTAGTGAACATATTCAAGCTAGCTAGGGGTGTAGATAACTTCTAAATAGAGGATACACTGTAATGACTAGTTATTCCATACCTAGATTCTGTGCAGATAATTCTGCTCCTTGAAAGCAGAGATTACTATCTTTATATTCTGAGCACCTAGCATAGTGTAAACAGTCAATAAATGTGTTGAATGAGGATGGAGGGTAAATAAATCACACTACATGAAGGAAATATCTGTTGGCATTGAGAGGGAAAAAAACTGACGAGGGAGGAGGATGGGGAACTAAAGGTGACTGTGAGCTCTTTGCTGCCTTTGCTCCAGTGTTCCAGGGCTTCCTTACTTTTTGCAAAGCTCCAGGATCTGTATCCTTGCTGTGCTTGAACAGAGTTCAGGCAGCAGGGCAAGGGGCAGGGAGAGCAAAGTGGGAAGTCAGAAATCAGAGCAGCCCCGCAGCAGGGAAACTGCAGTGGTTGAGAGTCACAACCCCACCCTCCTGGGAGCACTGGCAGGAGTGAGGTGCCCAGGAAGCAGACAGAGGGGGAGGCAGCCAGTAAGGGGGCCTCCACCTACTTTTCAAAGAATCAAGAAGTCACACTGAAAGAAAAAAGGATTTAGCCTCCTCTTACACAAGGTCTTCTGTCTTCCTTTGAAAATGACTTTAGAAAAGAAAAGACAAGGTTGAAAAGGAACACAAAAGAAAGTCAGACTCCTGCCTAGAGAGTTAAAAACATGTTGGAAGAGCCAGTATAAATCAGCAGCTAATGCCAGTGCCTTTGGAAAGGACCCACTACCAGGGGTTCTGGAGGCTGGCCTGGTGACACTGTTTATTATACCCAGAAAAAAAATTCTTGGAAGTAAGGGCATAAATTGAAAGGCAACTCAATGACCCTCCTTCCCTCTGCTTTCCATATTCATACCTTTCCATTTTTCTGGAATACAGTAACATCTCCATGTCAAGCCAAAATGCCATCTCTTCCATGAAGCATTTCCGGATCACCAGAAGGATACTTTCTCTACATAGCTCTTAGATGTCACTTGTATAGTATATTCACTTACTCAACAGACACATATTGAATGTCTGCTATGTGCTAGGTATCTTTCTAGACACTAGGGATACAACAATTAAAAAAAAAAAAAAAGGCCTAGCACGGTGGCTCACACCTGTAATCCCAGCACTTTGGGAGGCTGAGGCGGGTGGATCATCTGAAGTCAGGAGTTCGAGACCAGCCTGGACAACATAGTGAAACCTTGCCTCTACTACAAATACAAAAATTAGCCAGGCATGGTGGCTTATGCCTGTAATCCCAGCTACTCGGGAGGCTGAGACAGAAGAATTGCTTGAACCCAGGAGGCGAAGGTTGCAGTGAGCTGAGATCGCACCATGGCACTCCAGCCTGAGTGACAGAGAGGGATTCCATCTCAAACAAACAAGCAAACGAAAAAACCAAGATGCAAATTCCTACATTTAGGGAACTTACGTTCTACTATAGTATATTGCACATTAAATTGGAGTTGTTGGCCGGGCAGGGTGGCTCACGCCTGTAATCCCAGCACTTTGGGATGCTGAGACAGGTGGATTGCTTGAGCATAGGAGTTCAAGACCAGCCTGGGCAAAATGGTAAAACACTGTCTCCACCAAAAACACAAAATTTAGCAGGGTGTGGTAGCATGTGCCTGTAGTTCCAGCTACTCAGGAGGCTGAGGTGGGAGGATCACTTGAGCCCAGAAGGGCAAGGTTGTAGTGAGCTGAGATGGCACTAATGCACACCAGCCTGGGCAACAGAATAAGACCCTGTCTCAAAAGAAAAAGAAAAAGAAAAAAGAAAGAAAGAAAAATAAAGTGAGTTATTGAAGTCTCCAACTATTATTGTTGAATTGTCTGTTTCTCCCTTCATTTCTGTCAGTTTTTGTTTCAAATATTTCAGTGACTCATATATTCAAATTGTTTTCAAAGGGATCTAAAAAAAGTGTGTCATGAGGTATTTCTTAAATTCCTGCTCATTTTTAACAAAATATAACAATTAGTAAAAGTAAAATAGATCAAGTATTTCCTCATTTGACTTTAATTTGCCAAAAAATAATGTGTAGTGATGAAAGCTACAACATAATTAATAAATTAGTAAATAGTAACCACACTATTCAGAATAACACTGCTCAATATAGAGAGTGGGTGAACAATACACTATTCCTTATACCAGGAAACTCCTAAAAAAGAGACTTGAGTTATAGGTTAGCTATTTCCTCATGGCAGACAAAACAGTTTCCATTATCCAGCTCATCTTTCCGCCCTTTCTCCCTCTTCTCACTCCTTTTCTCTTCTATTTAGCAAATATTTATTTTCTCATAAGCCTCAGAAAATCCTATCTGAAAGCAGGTATAAATTGAAAGCAGGTATAAAACATTCTTTGTAATTTGATTCCTTACTCACTGTATTAGTCTGTTCTCACGCTGCTAATAAAGGCATATCCGAGACTGGGTAATTTATAAAGGAAAGAAGTTTAATGGACTCACAGTTCTACATGCCTGGGGAGGCCTCACAATTATGGCAGAAGATGAAGGAGTAGCAAAGTCACATCTTACATGGCAGCAGGCAAGAGAGCTTGTGCAGGGGAACACCTCTTTATAAAACCATCAGATCATCTGGGCACGGTGGCTGACGCCAGTAATCCCAGCACTTTTGGAGGCCAAGGTGGGAGGATCACCTGAGGTCAGGAGTTCGAGGCCAGCCGGGCCAACATGGTGAAACACCATCTCTACTAAAAATACAAAAATTAGCTGGGGGTGGTGGCAGGCACCTGTAATCCCAGCTACTCAGGAGGCTGAGGCAGGAGAATTGCTTGAATCCAGAAGGCAGAGGTTGCAGTGAGCCAAGATCTCACCACTGCACTCCAGCCTGGGTGACAGAGTGAGACTCCATATCAAAACAAACAAACAAACAAACAAACAAAGCATCCGATCTCCTGAGACAGCAAGGGAAAGACCCGCCCCCATGATTCAATTACCTCCCACTGGGTCCCTCCCATGACATGTGGGAATTATGGGTGCTACAATTTAACATGAGATTTGTGTGGAGACACAGCCAAACCATATCACTCACCCTAATCAATCAACATTTCCTAAGTAGAATCACCTATGCTGAGCATTATGCCACCCTTCTTCCAAGTGAACCAAATCTGGCCCTGTTCTGCCAACAAATCCTAGTCTGAAGCCAGAGCCATTTTCTAAATCTCATATTTCCTGCCTAAGTATGGGGGAGTCATGGGCTTAGCTATAAAAATTCCTAAGACTAGGGTGGTATGAGTGAATGCAGGCTGGGCATAGCAGAAATGTAGCTCTGGCATCATAATTTCAGAATCAGTGACATCCTTAGAACGAAGTGCCCCCATCAATCTAACAAAGGAAACAAAACCCCAGCTTAATGTTTGCTTTAAGTTGCCATGATTTTCCTACAGACTCAGTGCTGCAAGTCAATCTTTACAAGTGTTTTTTCAGCCTGGGGGCAAGAAAATAAACAAGACCCCAAGAAGTGTTAGGAAAGGAGAAGACTTTTGAAACTCTACTCCTCCTCAGATGTTCCGAGATACACTGCTCCCTCAAGAATCTTAGTGAGTAGCTGTGGTTATGATGGACATGTGTAATACCCCTTTGCAAATGTTGGAATAAAAACAAAAATGAGAAACACTGATCTACCCTCACAAAAAATTTTGGCTCTTCTCAAGGATGATCTATATCCTATAGCTTCAGGACTAAAAACAGAAGCAGAGAGGTCACTAATTCATGTCATAACATCCAATTGCTCCGTCACCAATCTGCTGATCCTTTCACCAACCCACTGCATAACAGACGTTACATGGCCTTAAAAAAATCCTAGAACTCTGATCAGAAATAAGTTTCATTCATTATTAATGCTAACCTTTCTTTTTTTTATGGGAAAATGTTGTGAAATTGAATGAGAAAGACAGCAAATACACAGAGCAGATGCAACTCATTTCTGAGCCATGAACCGGACACAATACAAATTCACCTTTGCAGCTCTCTACCAACTGCTCATGCCCTCAGTAGAAAAGAAGTCATACATAATGTAGCAGTAAAACTGTTGACAGCATTCCATGGTCACAGAAGACCCCGCGAATTTGCTGCTGTGGACATGAGGATGTGATGTGCGAAGCAGGGCCTAATGAGATTTCGCATTTCTCTTAACAGTGTCCTGAAGGCAAGTTCTGGTACTTGCTTAACATCTGCAGTAATGTAAGGGATTATTGAAAGTAAGCTTTCTATTTCACACATTTTCTGTATCAGCTAAACACACATGCACTCACAAAATGCCATCATTTCCTTGTTAAATAATACTTAGATATTCAATTGTTCATGATCTTGGTAAACACATAAACAAATCATCTAGACTAGCGTGGCTCAAAATGCTCCTTTCAAACAAATATAAATTTATAAGTTTATGGGCTGGGAGCGGTGGCTCATGCCTGCAGTCCCAGCACTTTGGGAGGCCAAGGTGGGTGGATCACCTGAGATCAGGAGTTCAAGACCAGCCTGGCCAAATCGTGAAACCCTGTCTACTAAAAATACAAAAAAAAAAAAAAAAATTAGCCAGGTGTGGTAGCAGGCAACTGTAATCCTAGCTGAGGAGGCTGAAGCAAGAGAATCACTTGAACCTGGGAGGCAGAGGTTGCAGTGAGCCGAGATCATGCCATTGCACTCCAGCCTGGGTAACCAGAGCAAAACTCCATCTTAAAACAAAACAAAACAAAACAAAAATTGTAAGTTTATTCAAATTATGGATTCTTAAACTTCATGAATGACGGGGATGTAGTGGTTAATGTATGGGCTTTAGAGAGTTATGAAACCATTTAGAATCACATATGCATTGCTATGGATGAGGAGTCCATGACTCTCATCAAATTTTCAAGAGGTGAAATAACTTCAGAAAGGTTAAGAATCACTAATTTAGAGAAATAGGTGAATAGTCCAGTATATATTCAACTGTAATCTCATGACACAAGTAAGAAAAAGCAAACTATTATCAGTAATTTGTAGATGACCATATTAAACCCACAAATGAATAGATCTGAAATATTGGCCGTGTGAATTCTACCATTCAATTGAGTCAAGAATTTATCATATGAAGAAACTGAAATAGAGAATGCAGGTTGAAGCAAAGATAGGTAAAATTCTTGGGGCAAAATTTTAGCAATGCATCTTTTACCCTTCAAAAATATAGCTTTATTAAGCTATAATATGAAATAAATAGCATATATTTAAAGTGTACAACTGGATAAGTTTTGACTTATGTAAACACCTGTTCTTTCCTTCCAGAGTCGAGTAGTTTCCTCAGGCACATCAGCTGATCAGGACTCAGCTGACTACTTGAGGGGGCAGATCTCTAGAGGAGGCTCTCTGGGCAGCCCTTTTCTCTATTCTCTCTCCTACTTTATCCTAGGAACTCCAAATGCCTTGGTCTTCCCAGATTCTCAGCTCCATCACCTCAACCCAGGTAGTCTTCTGTGCTCTGTCTGGTTCCTCCTTTCTATGCTGCATCTTGAAAGTAAGCTGGGACAATGGTAAGGCTCACCTTGTTTCCCATCTCCCAGGGAACATATTGATAAAGTGCCTGATGCCCAGAGTCTTGTTTCATATATTTTGCCCTTTTTTATTGTTGTTGTTGCTTTTGTAGAAGGGTAAATCCTGACCCTGTTACTCCTCCCTGGCTTTTATCCTTTCAATAACTATCACACATCTAGAAGCCCCTTTACTCTTTAATACCAACCAAATAACTAGAACATATAATCCATAAACAACTTTAGCACCATTTACCTGTGCAGAAAGAAAAATAGCAGAGAGAAGATACCCCTGACTTTAACTTGCATATTTTTACTTGTCTTTCAAATTTTCCTTAATCATATCAGACATTTTCAGGGTTTATGATTATTTTTTGTCAAAAAGAAAACAAGAGGCTTAATTAAGGGAGTATTGAAATCAGCATATTTTAGAGAAAAACTTCTGAAATTTTGGTTACCTACAAATAACCATTACCAAATTATCAGATTCTCCAAATAGGAATGGAAATGGTTCATCTATCTCTTTCATTCCTTCCTTCACCTACTCCCTCCTCCCACCATACTCATCCCCCATATCATCTGAAATATGTCAGTTATACCACTTCTTAGCTTCCAACACAGCACTTTGAACTTTGAACAAACCAGAAACTCAGGGGCCTATACGCACCAGGCAGGTGATGTAAACAAGTAAAGTGGCTCACCACTTAATCTCTCTGAGATTCAGTTTCATTATCCATAAGATGTGGTTAGCCATGTCATCTACTTCCTAGAGTTGTTGTGAAGATTAAATGAGAAAAAGTTTAATCTTGGTAAATCCTAGAGTTTTACACCAATAAAAGTCATTTTTACCAATAAGAATTATCAGAATTAAACAAGCTATTGTAATATCCAAAACTATGATCCTGAAAGCATAAAGATTACATCCAATATTTCTGTTTAGAGGTCATATATTAGAAATATTTCCATCTAAATAAAACAGGTTGCGCCTAAATGGTTAATTCTTAAACATCTAGAAAAGGCAGAGCAATGAAGCCCCTGAAAATAAAAAATAGGTAAAATTTTAATGTAGTTTTCATTCCACCATGTAACCTGGCTTACACCTCTAATTACAAGACAGTCCTCTCTGGGAGGGTGATATGAGTTTCCTGCTTATTACTGTACTCCCTGCATCCAGCCCAGTGCTTAAGCCTAGTTGGGCATGATATTTATTGAAGAAATATATGAATGGATAGATGGCTAGATACATGGAATGAATGGTATGAATAACGAATCTCATTTTAACTAATTCTGTTTTAACATTGTTTTAAATCTGTTTTAACATTGTTTCCTCAGGAATGGAGTTTGGAATTCAGGTGGCTTTTTCTCAGATTACTTGAAGTTTGAGCAGTCCATGATTTATAATAGGCATATAACAAGTTCCCCGGGTGTTTAACATCATTAAATGTTCTTCTCTATCTGATAGATCCTTTTGCTAATATTAAACACACACACACACACACACACACAAATTAGGAAAAATGTGAAAACAGAAGAATTGTTTTAGTGTCATTGTTATCAAACTCTCAAGTAGGACACATTTTTAAAAATAAAATAGAATTTGGTAAAACTAAGTCTATAACAGTCACAACCATTGTGTAATTTTACCTTCATTCTACTACATTGTATAATTTTACCTTCATTCTACTACATTGTGTAATTTTACTTTCATTCTACTACCTGAAGCAAATAATTTCAATTCCTAATCCAAGTAGTTAGAAGTTAATGATATCTTTTTGCTCCCTATAAAACCTGGCAGCTCTATCTAAGATGGCGTGTCACAGAAAAATTTCGCCATTTAATCCTTAAAACAAAGTATCCCTTTGCTTCCCCTTATTGTAGAGGAGAGTGATGTTGACATAAAGATCAAACTATTTGCCCTCAAATGCCATTATGAGTGTATAACAGAGAGGGGAAAATGTGCAATTTAGATTAGATTATTGGGCTTCTAGCAGCCTCTCCCTGTGCCAATTATGGGCGACTTTCCATTTACATATAAATAGCTCGGAAATTCCAACACCAATGTACTTGAAAACACTGAATCAAGTAGTTCAGAAAAACATAAATTAGATGCATTTCAATTTAAGGTGTTTACAACAAGCACTCATTCAAGTAAATAAAAGAAATGGAATCAATTTTTATTACAGAAAGCAACATCTTTTTAAATTATTGAAATTATCCCCACACTGCTCTTAAACCCGTCAAGATTTCTTTTGGCATGCTGTTAGTTTCTTTTGCAGGGGAAGAAAGGATTAAGTAGTTGTATACAGTTGTAGTGTAATGTGGGGGTAGATAATGCTGGTTTTTTATTTCCTCTTTTTTTCTGTGTAAGTCAGAGATGCCTCTTGAGCTACCTGGGGCCTTACAAAAGACGTAAATAAAACCAGATACACTTTTTCAACATAACTTGCTTTTATCTCTCTGGATAATCCAGTTTAAGTTTTCTGTCCTTGTCACATTCTCTCCCACTGAAAGACATCTTAGAATGAGTGTAACTTCATTAGCAGTCTCTAACTGCTAACTCACCACAGATTAACCACTCTGTTTATTGATCTATTGCTTATAAAGAGCCACTTCAACGCCCACTGCAGTTTCTCAAATGGATTTGATACATGGTATAAACAAACAACTCAGTATGGTAGAGAACAAACAATATTGTATATCACTGGTAAGGGCTGAGTTCTCATTTGCTGAATTCTCTTGAGGGTCTAGACAGATACAAGAGAAACGAAGGCTGATGTTGTGTTGCTTATGTATTGTAATAATATTAGTGATGTTATATATTTTACAAAATACATCACAATTATTTGTTCTTTGAATATCTAAAAATATTTAGTTCACTGAATTTCACAGATAAAATAGCACAATCTAAAATGACTAGAATGACTCAATAATGATGTGGTTGCGGGAAGGAGGCAGAGAGAAAAAGAAACACTAATTTTATGTGAATGAAACTGCAGACCATTTTCTGTCACTGGGACGGCTAAAGTCATTTAGTGGGAACTTCCTGGTTTCTTCTCGGAGGGGATTCTGGAGGTACACAGGGTAGAAATGCTCTTGGTCTACAGACACAGTGAAGAGCTTGCAAAAATGACTACTATGCAAGTTTCATTTTCGACTGATAAATGGTAGAGATTATTGAGTATCTACTATGTACAGGGAAGTCTAATACTGTTTCTCTATGTGTTACACAATATTCAGGCACATATCTTGATATATCTAAATGAAGAACAAAGAAATCTCAACTTTACATTTCATGGGGCAGAAGACTCAGAATAGGACGAAATCTAAATTCACAGACTAAAGCGGTATTATTGTTTATAATCACAAAAGCTTGACAACTTAGAAAGACAGACTAGGAGAAATGATTCCTGAAAAATGAAAGGCAAAAGCAAATGAAACATTTAATAAGGAAATTTAAATTCATGGGTTAAAAATAAGTCATATATTTTACCTTAAAACTCATTTTAAGATAAATTTTCTTGAAGTGTATAGTTTCAAGGTTCATATGGTTAAAAGTTTAAGAAGTTCAAAAACAAATGGAAGAAATAAATTTAAACGAAAGAATAATAGTATAACAATTGTTAATCAACCTTCCTACACAAATTAAACAATTTAAATGAGATTTTTTCAACGTTAGCCAAAGCTTGGTAAAGTAGACTTACATTGACAAGTCTAATAACCATTAACTTGGTAAGTCTGTCATATTTTATGAGATTAAGCACACTCATACTGAGCACAGGGTCAGTGATAAACAGCAAATACTGTATATTGTTTGGCATGAAACTTTTCCCTTGGACTCTCCCACATTCTCTCTCTTCCACTCTTCAGTCTACATATTATACAAATTAGATCTTGCAATCAGCATAGGGAAATCTCATTACTGCTGAATATACTTAATAATCATCTTCTTTCTAAACAAAGATAACAGCAAACAGCTCTGAGGAAATGTTTATGCAAAGAAAAAGCTATGTAGTTTATTTCTAATGAAGATGGTATGACTGTCTGCATAACAGGTTATTAAATACACCATCAAAAGGAGATTCTCTAAAAAAATAAACTATGTTGAATTTCAAGATGGGCCTCATTATTTAAGAAGTCATTTCCCTAACAGTTTCTAGATGATGCTAACATACCAAACTTTTAGTTAGTATTCCATGGTTTTCCTTGCATTCTTTCTTTTCTCTTAATATCACACTATGTTGCTAAAGAAAAGGTTATGTATTTTAAAAGAATAAATGACATACATCTGCATATAAAATGATTGGATTTGACATAAGGAAGAAATCTTATGAGCAAGACTGTGAAAACTAAGCTGCAAAATAAGATTTTCTTCAAATGTCACTGGACTCTGAACCTCCCTTTTAAGAAAATCAGAAATACATCTAATGGATTAGAATATATAGTGCATCAATTAAAATTATACTTACATAAAATATCTATTAGCCTTCTAAAAGAATACTGCTTTAAAAATATTGCAGAAACTATCCAGACATGACTAATGGGAACAAATATGATTCTTCTAAGTAGTTATAAATCAGCTGTCATGATAAAATAGTCACTTATTGCTTGAGTTCTCAATAGATTTAAAAGTCATGGACATTGATCCAATTTCCATAAACCACTGCATAACCTAGGTACAACACAGAGTTTAACAGCTTTCATGGGACATAGTTCAAGGATGGTCAAACAGAGAATTACATCAGGGAAGGATCTGGTTTCAGCTCACTGGGAGCAACAGAGATGAGAGCCGGCAATATCTTCACACTTTTCAAAGTGCTCTTGTGGGTGGTTGGGCCCTCTAGGGAAGTACTCTCTCCATATTGGAGGTGAAAAAATGGAAACATAAAAAGGTCAAGTGACATATTTAGATCAAACTATTAGTAAGCCACTGAAGAGATACAGGTAGCTATTTCTTTGCATCAGGTGGCTCTGACCAGAGAGGAATCAACTTTCAAAGATTTGTTTTAACCTAAGATCCAAAGGTTTTCACTGAAGTCATCCAGACTACCTAAATTACCCTATCAATGTCTACAGTCCATTAGTGATGGTCAAATGTCTTCTGGCTTTTTTGTCATGAATCTAAAAATAGTAAGCCTACCAAGTTAGAAGAAAATGAAATGACTGTTATAGTTAGAAAACAAGGTATTTGGGTATTTCAATGTATTGCTCATCATTTTCCATACCAGCTATAATTTCAGCCACTTCAATCCAGCAACACATTTCTGAAACTACTGAAGGAGTCAACCTCATCTTACTGATTTTTAAGAAAATTATTGCTAGTCAAACGGAAGAACAGCTTTAAAAACACTGACAGCATAAGTGGCTTCTGGCAGGATTCCAGATCATGCTTCTTGGGCAATGTGAAAAGGGAACAAAAAGGCAGTCACTTAAATGAGACAGTGAGAGAATCACAAATCATAGAATCCCAAAACCCAGTGGTCACAACTGTTCCTTCTCCCAAGTTCCTGATTCTTTCCAGAAAGCCAGACTGTAGCTCATTCCAGCTCATTACCACAAAAGGAATATTGGATTCTGCCCCAGGAGAGACTCAATCTCAAGAGCCAAATCACAATGACAAAGATGTGCAGAGTTCAGGATTGAACCTATTGCATCTAATCACTAGCAGAAAATCAGACCACTGAGGCAATTGTTTTAAATATTAGTCACTTCCTACACTTCCTCCATCATCTAAAATTTTTTTAAAATGTGAAAAAAAAGCCTATAATATGTGCTAAAAACTGATGCTACTTAAAAAAAAACTGTTTTCCTTTCATTGAACAAACTCTTCTTTCCTTATTTCCCCATTTAATGTGAAAACATATGATCTCATAATGAATGCCAACAGATGATATACTTAGTTTTATTATTATGAAGTATTTTTTATTCCTTTCTCTTCCTTCACATGGGATCTGTACAGTTAAAATATCTACACAACAAACATGAGGAAGTCAGAGAAGATGCCAATTTGACTGTGATTAAAGATTTAGCTATGTAGTCCCTAAAGAAATTGCACTGAGTTGCTATCCCCAAGACTCCAGAGGTTCCTTTGTAGTAGAGGTGAGCTATGAAGTTCTCAACTATGAAAGGTTAATACAAATGTATTCACTTTATTTATATTAGTAAAACAGGATTAACTACATAGTTACCCACTGTATTTACTATACTTTAGAGCAAAAATGCATACAGTAGGAACAATAAATAAAAGCAAAAGTATATATATGTGTATGTGTGTACATACATATGTGTGTATATGTGTCTGTGTATATATGTATGTGTGTATATACATATGTGTGTGTATGTGTGTGTGTGTGTGTATATATATATATATATATATATATATATATATATATATATAAAATATATATACACGAGAATTAGACAAGTAAATGGATGCCATAGGATGGGAACCAGATTTCTCACTGTTAGAGTGAGAGGTTAGAGGTAAGCAAGGGAGAGTGATTAGAATCATCCATATGGTGATGAATTATGGTAGGAGACACAGTATGAACACATGTTTAGCTTAATATAGATACAGATAATTACATATAGTAATGTTTATAGTTATATGTATACACACAGGTTAGTAATCTATGCTTGTATTTCTTCGTTCTGTCAGCTGAGAGGGCCTAGAAGCAATCACATATCAGTAGCAATGAGCATACCTAGTGCCCAGACCTTGGTTTCTAACATCACTCCCCAATAAAAGGCATCCATGCTCCTTGAGAAAAGGGATGCTTCTAGGACAAGAACAGGAAATATAAAAAGTGAGCCTGGAACATTTTGTAGTGCTAGAAAATAAGGGGTGTAGGGGTGTGTGTGTGTGTGTGTGTGTGTGTGAGAGAAAGAGAAATCCTATATTGATGTGGATATGTCAAAGGGACACCAAAGCCAACTAAAACAGCTCCCAATGGCCAAAGCTGAAATAATTTAATGACCAAAATTTTAAAAACATATCGGATTATAACAAAAAGTGTAAAATAAATATCCACAAGCCTACACAGATATAAATAAATGACTGAATACATAAATGAATGAAGATAAAGAGGCAAGTATATCCAACGGAGGAAATCCAAATGATTTATGCCTATACTCTGCCCTCAAAGAGGAAGAGAATACCTCTCCACTCCTTGAGTGTGGGCTGCTCATAGTGACTATCTTCTGAAAATTATAGTATAGAAAGAAGAGAAAAATAATAACTTTACAGTGCAGAAACCTGGCAAACATTATTTCAGCCAGGTGATCAAGGTGATAAATCATGTTGACAATATGTACCCTTGATACATAATGAAAAGGCACTTTACCTCTGTGGTCTTACTCCAGAAAAAACCTATAATGCCGCTATGACCATGAAAAACACCAGAGATTTTTTTTTTTTTTTTTTTTTTGAGACAGGGTCTCACTCTGTCACCGAGGCTGGAGTGCAGTGGTGCGACTTCAGCTCACTGCAACCTCCGCCTCCTGGGCTGAAGCAGTCATCCCACCTCAGCCACCCAAGTAGCTGGAACGACAAGTGGGCATGACCATGCCTGGCTAATTTTTTTGTATTTTTAGTAGAGACAAGGTTTCGCTATGTTGCCTAGGCAGATCTCAAACTTCTGGGCTTAAGGTATCCGCCTATCTTGGCCTCCCACAGTGCTGGGATTACAGGCATGAGCCACCGCATCTGACCTGGACCATTAGTACTGGCAAAAGAATGGAAAAGCAGATCAATAGAATAGAATGGAGAGCCTAGAATTATGTGTAGACCTACATAAATATGATAAACTGATCCTTGACAAATGACTTCATTAAAACTAAAAACTTCTGCTCTATGAAAAGCACTGTTAAGAAAATGAAAAACCAAGCCACAGCCTGGGAGAAAATATTTTCAAAGCACACATCTGATAAATGACTTATATCCAAAATATAAAAAGAGCTGTTAAAATTTAACAATAAGGAAACAATCCAGTTAAAAAATGGGCAAAACAGGGCAGAGTCCAGTGGCTTACACCTGTAATCCCAGCACTTTGGGTGGTCAAGGTGGGCAGATCACTTGAAGTCAGGACTTTGACATCAACCTCACCAGTATGGTGAAACCCCCTCCCTACTAAAAATACAAAAATTAGCCAGGCATAGTGGTGGATGCCTGTAATCCTAGCTACTCAGGAGGCTGAGGCAGGAGAATTGCTTGAATCCAGGAGGTGGAGGCTGCAGTGAGCCAAGATTGCTCCACTGCATTCAAGCCTGGGTGACACAGCAAGACTCCATTTCAAAAAATAAATAAATAGGCCGGGTGTGGTGGCTCATGCCTGTAATTCCAGCACTTTGGGAAGCAGAGGTGGGCAGATCACCCGAGGTCCGGAGTTCGAGACTAGCCTAGCCAACATGGTGAAACGCCATCTCTACCACAAATACAAAAATTAGCTGGGCATGGTGGCATGTGCCTATAATCCCTGCTACTCAGGAGGCTGAGTCATGAGAATCACTTGAACCTGGGAGGCAGAGGCTGCAGTGAGCTGAGATCGTGCCACTGCACTCCAGCCTGGGTGACAGAGCGAAACTCCATCTCAAATAATAAATAAATTAAAATAAGTAAATAGATAAATAAAAATAAGAATGGGCAAAAGATATGGATGCCCTATCTAAAATGAATACATATGACAAGTATATGAAATGTTCAATATCATATGTCATTTGATAATTGCTAATTAAAACAATTAGATACTATTACACATTCAACCGTGACTAAAACCCAAAACACTGACTACAGCAAATGCTGACAAAGATGTGGAACAATAGGAACTCTCACTCATTGCTGGTGGGAATGCAAAGTGGCACAGCCACTTTGAAAGAGGGTTTGGCAGTTTCTAACAAAACTAAATAGACTCTCATCATATGATCCATCAATTGTGCTCCTTGTTATTTATTCAAATAAGTTAAAAATTTATGTCCATACAACAGCCCTCACAGGACTGTTTATAGCAGCTTTATTCATAATTGCCAAAACTTGTAAACAACTAAGATATCCTTCAATAGTAAACAAACTGTGATACATCCATACAACAGAATATTACTCAGCAATAAAAAGAAGTAAGCTATTAAGTCATGAAAAATCATGGAAGAACCATTAATGTATATTGCTTAGTGAAATATGGCAATCTGAGGAAGCTACATACTATGTAATTCCAACTATATGACATTCTGATATTTATGCATGAGACATGAAAACATATCAATACAAAAACTTGTAGTTAATATTCATAGCAGTGTTATTTACAATAGCCCCAAACTATAAATAACCCAAAGGCCCATCAACAGATTAACAGATAAATAAATAGTGGTAATATCCATATTATGGAACATTGCTCAGCTATAAAATAAAATAGATCACTGAGAATAAACTATAGTGACATAAAGCACATCAGTAGTTGCCAGGTGGTAGGTGTGATGGGAGAAGAATAACTGCAAAAAGGAAGAGAAGGAGTATGGGAAGTGACGTGAATGCTTTTTATGTTGAATTTTTTATAATATATTGAAATGTACACATAAAATTAATGAATTTCACTGTAGGTAAATTATATTTCAATAATGATGATTAAAAATAAAGTAGTTACAAAATGAGGAGGGGGAATGCAGCAATCACGTATTCAATTCTTCCTTGACACAAGGTTGTATAAAGGAGTTGAAGTACAAAGATGAATTAAGATAAAATTCTTACCCTGCAGTGAATTTACAGTCTAGTAAAAAAAGACAGACATGTACACAATCAGTGTAATATAACTATGGTAAGTATAATAATGGAGTTATAAACAGAATTTTATAGGCATAGGGGAAAGGCATTAATTATACAAGATTCAGAGAAACCTTGCAAAGAATTACGAATGAGTTGCGTCTTAAGAGGTGATTAGAATTTCAGCAAGTGATGTTTCCTAACCAATCATAAGGTATATTTCATAGTTATTTTCCTCTATATTTATCTATTCATCCATTGATCTATCCTTCCCTCCACCTATCTATCCACCCATCTATGCCTAGGGAAAGGAAGGGCTGTAGAGAAAATTCTATATTGCGGTATATAGCAATATCTAGGGATTAAGTTTGTACCATAAGAATTTGTTATTTTGTATTTTATGTCTAATAATTTCTGCACAGCAGTTAGAATAAATTTATGCTGTATAGAACTGCATATTTACTTTACCTTAGCAGCAAAAACTTAAATGTGATCCTCTCAGAAACTTATCTACTTCAAAGGGTAGCCTAGAGCTAAAACAGGCTAATGACCATAACAGCACCAGAAACTCGTTCCAGCACCTACAACAATACTTAATACTTAGTAAGAGCTGAGTAAACATTGTTGAATAAAACCAAAACAGACAGATTGTTAATTCAACTTTATTAAACTTCACAGAGGAAAACTCCACATATAACCAAACTGTACTTCCATTACAGACCCTGTATGGTTACAGTTTTTTAAATCATTTTCTCAATCGAGTCAATAATAGGATGTTAAAAGAAAACAGAATATTAAAGAATCCAATACTGCTTTGAGACAGGATCAAATAAAGCCCTGCTTCAAAACTGTAACTGCTTCTCCAAGCTTACAAAAGTGGGTAGTTTTATTTAGACTTACTATTACTACTTCATTCTGCATTTTCTACAAAACTTTGACCAATAACACTGGTAAATGGCCAACGTGTAAAGACAATGACAGAAATAAAAAGGTATCATCTATTAACCCTGTTTACACCTTTCCACAAAAACTGATGTTTGGGTAACTGAAGTAGAAAAGCAAAATAACATTTTCTAAAGCAAGCAAGAAATAGAAGATAACTCTAAACACAAATATGGACAACATAACCTAGTAGTTAAGTACAGATGCTTTCAGAGATGAGGTTACTTGGTTGGAATGAGACCTTAAACCAAAGAATACTGCAATAAATAGTGATTGCTTCTACATATGTGATCAACTACAAGTGAAAAGGGTCAAACACACAGGTGATTGTGCAGCCATAATTTTTGCAACATTGTATACATGCTGACATATACCAACGCTAGCAATAATATCTTTGAGAATTATGGACACAAGCTATGGCTAGATACTTTCAAATTATTGACAATTTCCTCCTGTCAATAAGAAGAAAGTTCCAGAAATGTTGCACATCACGTTAGATAACAATAAGAAATTACTAGATTATTTATTTTTAAAAAATTATCATTGGAGGAGTCCTTCTTAACTATCTATATTCTTCAACAAAGTAACCCCTTTCCTAAATGGAATCATCTGATATGGACTGGCCTGGTCATTCCATCTATACACTGTATAACATTCCACATTTGAACTTGGGCAAGTTACCTCCCTGTGCCTCAGTTTCCTCATCTGTAAAATGGGAATGACAACAGTACTTACCTCACAAAGTTATTGTGAGGATTAGATGAGCTAATGAATGCAATGTGCTTAAAACAGAGCCTAGCACATAGGAAGTTCTATAACTTTTAGTCATTATTATTACTATTTTTTATTATTATTGCTCATATTATTCCTTCTTTGCTACCAAACTACATCAATAAATATGGCATTTTAGAACTAGTAAAAACTTAGAACTAACATAAGAAACACAAATCTCTAGATCTAGTTCACTGCTTCTTATAATACCGTTTCCTTTAAGTGCAAGATTTACCTTTCCTCCGAAACCTTCCTCTATAAACTGGGCCCCTTAATGACAAGAGACGCACTGTGAATAAAATTCTGGTCCCAGCTCTATCTAGGCCTCCCAGAAAGCCCCAGGTAAGTCATCTCCCCTTTGGGGCCTCAGCTTTCTCATTCTTAAAATAAAAGTGTTCGCATTTGAGGATTATTAAGGTCCCTTTGAGTCCTAATATTCTGATTCAATAAATCCTTCAGGTTCTTTAATGTATTAATATGACATTATAAATTTGGCTTTTTGACACTTTAGAATTTATCTCTAGACACTTAACTAGATTATAAGCATCAGGATCCTCTAGGGCAGGATCTTTGTTCTCTTTCATTCAGAAGTTAGATAGTTTAGCCAAAAAAAAGTCTCAAAACTAAAGTATTAATAAAGCCATCAGTGCTTCTAGAAGCAAACTGGAATTTTATTGATGTTACACATCTCTTTTTAAAATACTATTACTTGATTAAAAAGCTGTTGAATTCTATCATATATTCTTGTAAAAGTGTATTTTTACAAACCAGATAACTTTATAGTTTCTGAGTTTTGGATAGGTAAATAAGTGGCTTAACATGTTCAAAACTGGGGTCACTTATTTTTCTAATGAATCCATTAAGATTATACATTTATTCATGATATCATAAGAAATCACCATGTGGGTTTTGCAATTAAAAAGAAATATTTTTGTTTATTAATGTTTTCAAGTGATATAATGTTTTGCAACAGAAAAAATAAGCATATGAATGAAATGTCAAGGACCAATAATGAGCAGTCAGAACTGCTGAGCAGATCCCTCCCTCTTAGCTAGTAACACTGCTGTATAGGATCACTCAGGCTGAAAATGAAATTTTTTACGAGGAAAAATTTAACATTTTGTCATCATTACACTGTTGTGCTATAACTGATTTTCTTCAACAAGGTGGCAGGTGCTTCAATACTTAAAATGCTAAGATTCTTAAACCAAACTAACATATACATAGTATGGAACATTAATCTTAAGATTTATATTTTCAAATTTGTAGAGGTCTAAAGGTTTTCAAGGCAGCTGTAAACATATACAATTTCTCAAGTGGAGGTTTCCAAAGACTGGGAATGCAACCGATAAGATATAAAATCAGAGGAGAAACAGTGGAAAAGTAAACATAATATAAGAGAATCACAACATGTAATGCAGTCATTAATTTCATGAGTCTCCTTGGATAGGTTTAAAGCACACTTCAGATGCATTAGTAGGATATCATTTTATATTTCAGAAGGAGTACTCTCAAGCCAAGCTTCTTTGTAGTAAATGAATCATCCAGCTATATTTTGTGAAAAGGGGTCATTTTAATTTCAGGGTCTTTTATTGCCCAGCAAGGTAACTGTGAAATGACATTCACAATATAAATAAATTCAGTTGTCTTTGCTTCAAAGAAGGTAGTTATTATTCAAGCATTTACTTTCTAGCTTATCTTACATACTGAGATTTGCATAATAGATATTGGCCTTGTTAACACTGAACATAAAGCAAACTTTACTAGAACAATTTACAGTAATTAATTATGTACAATTGCTTCTAATAAAAGGCATAATGAAAAGGGAGAAACTATGTGCAGAAAATAGCAAAAGTAAGATGAAGAGATGGTAAAGTTCACATATCTGTTTGTAGATGACAGTTTTAAATGTACTGTATTTTGTTAAGAGGTAAAAAAGTTGCGGGGATATCTTAAAGTTCTCATCCTATCTGTGTCTAAATAATCTATCCATCACAGAAAAACTCTGTCCCATAGGCCAGTGTGTGATTGATAGATACTATTATAGTGAAATATTGACCGCACCATAACTAGCAAATGTTACAATGAAGAACCTTAATTTGAAGTTAAAATATTTTCTCATAATCAATAGTAGGTACAGCAGCATATCCTAACTTAAGAGGAGAGCCTGTGGCCACCTAAAAGTACTGACAGAATTTAAAAGGCAAAGAAAGAGAGTAAGAATACACTGATTTTTATTTTTATAAAATCTAAATGCAATTATTCACAATTTGGGGGTGGTAAAAATGAAAGGAAAAGCAATACGTTGGTGGCTAGTTAATTGGAAGCACAGTGGAAAAGGAGTAAGCCCACAGCACTGCCTACTTAGTTACTGTTGAGGATCCTGTCCTCATCAATGATTAGTAATACATGAAAGAGGAGAGGAAGTAGTAAAAGTTGTCCTCTTTTCAAACCTGCTAAAGCCAACTAGGTTCAAAGACCCTGAACTAGGTTAGCAAACTCACTAAAATCAACTATGATCCTGAACGGTATGCACTGAGCGGTCACAATAACCTAGGCACCAGCATCTAACTAAAATGTAAAGAGGTGAAGAGGAGTTCTGGTTTGTTCAGTAAAACAGACCCTTGGGCATAAAACTATACAACTTCTAGCACTCAGTGGAAATATAATGAATAGAAAAGGGAGTACATTGTTTCATATGTTAAATAATCTATGGAGAAGAGTACCATTTTCAATATTTTTCAAGCCAATTTTTTATCTGACATGAGTTGAAATGAAGCATAGTTAAAAATTAAAGGGGATAATCTTTATAAATCAAGTTATTAGTAGAAAACAGATTTTAAAATCCAGGGAATTGAATATTGGAAATTCTCTCAAAGTACAAGTAATCAAACTTGGGGACGATAACTCATTAATCAAAATCAAGGTTTCTACTTGTGGCCTAATATAAATAAGGTGATAGAAATATATTTCTAAGCCTTGGAATTCAGGGAATTTTTTTTCTCTTACATCTCAGACTTCAAACTTTGGGGAACAGGGGTCATTTCTTTTTGTACATAACTTCTATTTCAAACTTTGATAAGCACAATGTATAGAATAGAATGGTCTGCTTTGGAGGCATAAAGATAGCCTGATCTCATATCTTTCATCATTTTTCACATATGAGTTCACTGCATCTGTTCCGACCATCAATTCAAAACATGTATTTTGATTTTAATTTTGGAAAACATAAAATCTCAAATTTAAAAGCTTAAGTTTCAGAATGTATTTATTAAAACTCAGTTATTCAAATGACAACTGGCGTAAAAAATATAGTGTGGTCTATTTAGGGAGTCAAAAACATGTTCAAAACATCTAGTTTATTTTTAATAAAAACAGAATATATGTTTCTAAACATAAGCAAATCTCTATTAACCGTTAAACTAACATAAATATTACACTTATGACACTTTAAGGAAGATATGCTCAGATGCCATGTTTGGTAAAGCTTATGAGTAGGTAGATACCACCTGGAAAATAAAAAACTAAATTTGGCATCAAGTATAGATAGCGCAATTCAAAAAAATTCTCATTAATTCAGGTCAGTGAGCTCTCCCCCCTTTGTATTCCCTGCTTGCATGTTAGTCCATGTAATAAAGTATTAACATGGTAGTGGTTTTTTTAAAAACCATCACAACAAAAACCGTCCAGTTTTACTGCATTAATCAAAAGTTCACAAAAATATGAAACTCAAGAAGTAATTCCAGCATCTCTATTCCTCCCTTAATCGTGTGCAAATTTTACCTAAGAAATATCTTCTCATCTTCCTATGCCTTTAATTGGCTACCACTGCATTGCAGCAGCACATTAGCCCAACTCCATACATGCAGACCCAACTATAAAAGGGTCTGGACTGGGCAGGGTGGTTCACACCTGTAATCCCAGCACTTTGGGAGGCCGAGGCGGGTGGATCACCTGAGGTCAGGAGTTCAAGGCCAGCCTGGCCAACACAGTGAAACCCGTCTCTACTAAAAATACAAAAATTAGCTGGGCGTGGTGGCACATGCCTGTAATCCCAGCTACTCAGGACGCTGAAGCAGGAGAATCACTTGAAGCCGGGAGGCAGACAGAGGATGCAGTGAGCGGAGATTGCGCCACTGCACTGCAGCCTGGGTGACAAGACCAAAACTCTGTCTCAAAAAAAAGGGTCTGGTCACTACACTACATAATTATTTCTGTGATTAAAAAATTAAACCAAAGTTTCCAAAAATTATTTATTTGAAAAGAATTTTAGGTTGCTATTAAATAACTAAATTCTTTAAATAGATATGGAGTTGCCAAAATGACCAATAATATTTTACAGGTGGACAAATGTTAGGTCACCTAGACTGATAGCAGTAGTGATATTGAAAACTTTATTCAAACAACTTGAATTTTTATTCTTACTGAAGCAAATACCCAGTTTAGGGGATGTTCTACCCTGAGTTTAATAAAATGTATTCTGCCAAACAATTACAGCAAAGGGAGTGTTTAATCAAATTTATCTAACATTTGATTGTATATCCTGAAAATCTTTTAATCTAAAAGATATTTATATCTAATATTTAAATATTAGATATAAATATCAGGTACAGCAGCATATCCTAACTTAAGAGGAAAGCCTGTGGCCACCTGAAAGTACTGACAGAATTAGAAAGGCAAAGAAAGAGAGTAAGAATTTGATTTAAATATATAAATCTAATATTTAATATTATATAATTATATAAAATCTTATAAACCTTATAAAACCTTATAAAACTATATAAAATCTAATATTAAATCTAATATTTAATCTAAAAGATATTTAAAACTGATGCATAACAAAAGATGTATAAGATTTTAACTTGGGCAATAAAGCATGGTATGATAAATCAAGTTTTAGTTACATCACTTATAAATTTATAAACATTTATGTTTATAAATTAATACTGATGCTATTACTTGGCTCAAATATTGTACTGAGGAAAAATACTCAACTTTAGCTTGCATTCACTTACAAACATACAATATCAACATACAATTCTAGCTGTTCTGAGTTATCATTCCCAGCTAGTATTTTGGTATGATAATCTTCTAGAAGATAATCCTGCTTAGGGATTAGTGGCTAATTCTTATGACCATGTACCACCTAAGGAAATTTAAATTATTGTTTTCCTGGGGCTCACAAATTTTTGAAATTTTTTCATTAAAAAATATGTAAGTGCCTACAAGGTAAAATAATATGAAACTAAACTTAGCTGAGGTGTGGTCTAAAGAATAAGTTTACAGAAAAAAAGGCCTTGAAATCAACTAAATTTGTTTCACAAAATGAGTAAAAATATGTGTAAATAAAAAGTCTAAGCATGTACTTCTGTCTTCTTAAAATGTGTCTTTGTGGCAGCTCATTCTATCTTCTTTATTATAAATATCCAATTATAGAAAAAGGCAGCAATGATCTCTTAACTGCCAGATGAGTGGCTTTTCTAGTTTGCATTCTTTTAACCACTCAGGGGCACATGTAAAGTTAAACTCTTTTTGATATTCTGTCTTTCCTTGGCTTACGAGATAGCGTTTTCCTGAATCTGTTCACTCTCAGTCTACATTTCTGATGTGTGTTTGTCACCAGTCACTTAAGTGTTACTAGATCCCGGGGCCCTATCCTTGAGAATCTCCTTTCCTTTTCTATTTGTACTCTTCTACTCTGATGGCTTAAAATTACTAGGTGCACATGATTCTGATTTGTTTTCAGCCCAGGGCTTTCCTTTGAATTTCTGACTCACACTTCCTACTAGGGCATAGACATCAGGTGTCCCGCATATAGTACATAGGGATATGAGGCAATCTAGTGTAGTTAGTGTCAAGAGCATAGGCTCTGAAGATAGAATGCCTCAGTTTGAATGCTAAGTCTACCAGTTGTGTGAACTTAAGTTGTTTAACCCTTCTGTAGCTCAGTTTCCTTATCTGTGAAATGGAGGTAAAAATAACAATCTATATTATAGGGCTTTTATAAGGGTGAAATGAACTTTGAATGGAGACTGGCATATAATAAGTATTACATAGTGTGTGTTAAATGAAATAAGTAACACTATAATTTATGATTCTTAAAATATTCCTTATAATCCCCCTTATGCACATATTTGTAAAGTTGCATGTCCTGAGTTTTAATATGGCCATCATAGATACCATTTAAAGTTTTTTCTTTTTTTTGAGACTGAGTCTCGCTCCATGGTCCAGGCTGGAGTGCAGTGGCACAATCCGGGCTCACTGAAACCTCTGCCTCCTGGGTTCCAGTGATTCTCTTGCCTCAGCCTTCTGAGTAGCTGGGATTCCAGGTGCACACCACCACACCCAGCTAATTTTTGTATTTTTATTAGAGAAGGGGTTTCACCATGTTTGGCCAGACTGGTCTCAAACTCCTGACCTCAAGAGATCCACCCGCCTCAGCCTCCCAAAGTGTTGGGATTACAGGCGTGAGCCACCAATCCCAGCTACCATTTAAAGATTTTATCTTGTGCAAGGGTTAACTTGGTGATATCTAAGCTTGAGGCACTTGGATAAACAACAAGCTCAAGCTCAAGCTAGATGCTCGCAGAGGTCAAAGGGCTCCTGGTTAGGCAAAGAGAAGCAGGGATATAGAGCAGGCCATGCTTGATCTATTTTATACTCCGCCTAAAATCTTAGTTCTGCCTAAGAGCTTAGTGAATAGCATGGTCTGCTCTGCCACAATAGATGACTAACATCTAAATTGGGATTTCAGGATTTTAAAGAAGCTTACAACTTTCAACCTTTCTCCATTCCTTCTAATCCACAATACCCTTTTCTTGACCCACTCTCTGGTATTCTGATGCTAGGGAAAATAATAAAGAAATTTAAGAAGGCTATATGTCTTGAAAGGGCAGAAATTATGTCTTGTTCACTGTAACCCAGCACCTAAGCAGAGTGCCTGGCTTATAATTGAAATTCGATAAATACTTCTTGAATAAAACAATAAATGTCAAAAGTGGATGGGGCAAAAGAAGTCAAATTTCTATTTCTACAGCTGATACTGCTGACTCAACATGCCTCAGAAACAACCATATACTACACTCCCACTCCACCTCACCCAATCCACACATACTCCTGTAATTCCTAACAGTAGCTGCTAATGGCCCAACCTGTAGTAAGTCTCAAAGACAATCCGTTATATCCTCCTTTAATTTTTAAAATATGAAAAGAAATACAGAGGATCCTTTCCTAAAGGTGTCTCTTGAATTAAGCACATCCTATGATTTGATTTAAGTGGCAAAAAATTGATTTTTAAAAGTGTTAATACAGTATAATGATAAGGTATTATAATTAACTCAGCCAGGAAGCCTGAAATTTCATGGTTACTTAATGTCCCACCTTCCTCCCCTTTTCCTCTCAACGTTAACATCTCAACAGTTTATTTATACAGTACTCAAAAATGCCTATAGGAAAATACATAAACTTTAAATGAGATGCAAATTTGACATCTGCCAGTTCAGTCTTGCACAGTTTTATCTTCTCCATCTTAGCTGAATTTGAGAGTTTTCTTTAGGTACAAATTCATTTCCTTCTAAATATTATGGGTTAAACATTAAATACAAAAAGAACAAACAGAATAGTAAAAAGCTATGTTTCAATACTGGAAAATGCAAATATCACTGTGTGACCTTTGATATAATAGTTTTTTAGTCTAACACCAGAAATAATTATATCAGTGGCCTGCTTCCTGCCATCTCTACAGAGGTGTAATGAAGAAATCTTAGTTAATATGTACTAGACAAGAAAGTAGCTTAGAAGACAATGCTTTTAATTACTAAACAGGAAGCAAAAAACAGTTGTGGACAGGAATATTAAATAGAGATCATCACTTGACCTTCAAATACAAGAGAATGACTAATAATTTTGTCAGCTCTTTTGTCAGTAAAGGGATTTGATAGGGGTATGTAAGAATGTTCATAGTCCGAAAGATACTGACCCTTTAATAAAAATAATAAAAACACTGAGGCATTCACCAAGTTAATAATTCTTGTCATTTCAGTATCAATCAAAAGACATTATGTCAAGCAACTATATTCTCTGAACCATTTTCAGTACAGTGAACTTAACTGTTCCCTGAATGCCTTCTGATCTATTTAGATGTTTCTTCACCAGCATCATCAAAAACATTATATAGAGTCTCACCTTCATATATTATGGAATAGGATAAAATGCCAAATGCAGAGAATTAAATCAACATTGCCTTTGATCTCTAAGGACCTAGAATCTGAAATTGTACATACTGGGCTGAGCATGGTGGCTCATGCCTGTAATCCCAGAGCTTTGGGAGGTCAAGGCCAGTGGATCACCCGAGGTCAGGAGTTCAAGACCAGCCTGGCCAACATGGTGAAACCCCGTCTCTACTAAAAAATACAAAAATTAGCTGGGCATGGTGATGAGCACCTGTAATTCCAGCTACTTGGGAGGCTGAGGCAGGAGAATCACTTGAACCCAGGAGGCAGAGATTGCAGTGAGCCGAGATTGCACCACTGCACTCCAGCCTAGGCGACAAGAGCGAAACTCTGCCTCAAAAAAATAAAAATAAAAATAAAATTGTACACACTATAATTCTGGATATCTTTATGAACAAATCAGATAAGCCATTTGTCAATCTACTGTCATATTTCTTAACTATTCAAAATTGGTTGATGAGTGACAGATGCACAACACTAACGCAAAAATGGCATGACCAATGGAAAGAAACAAAGGAACCAATTTGATACTTTTTTTATCCCATCAACAAGTTACAAATATGTAAGTGGGCTTTAAGTGAACTAATGAATGACAATCTTTTTAAAGTTTACATATATAGACAGTGGGTAGTTGACAACTCTGGAGACTATTTGATTATAATTTATTTATGTTTATTTATAATTTATTTATACACTGCCTGGACTTAAGGCAGCTAACAGAGCTGTGAAAATATAATGAAAAAATAACTTTAAAATGAAAAAGATAAAGCAGAGAGAATATAAAGATAGAAAAGTAATAAAGAGATAATAATTAATATATAAATTCCAGTCAATATAGCCCTGCTAGGCAAAACTGCTAAAAGCACTCACAGATTCCACTTTCAGCTTTCAGACACAAAGATTACAACAGCTATAAGGTAAAACAAAATTTGCGTCTCTGTAAAAGAACAACTATTTGGCTTGCTAGTTAGCCTACTCAGCCAAAACAACAAAAGAAATCCTTGATTTTTTCCATTTCCCTCACCTGTCAGACTCAATCCATTAGTAAATTCTATGGGCTTTACTTCCTAAATATATCCTCAAAATATGCCCATTCTTCATTTCTAATGACACAACCCTAGTCCAATATACTACCCTTTCTCATCTGGATTCTTCCAAAAGCCTCTTATCTGGTCTCTGCACAATTTATTCCCTACATAGTAACCAGTAAGATCATTTAAAAACACAAATCAAATCTTGTCACTCCTCTGTATACAACTGCCTGTGGCTTTCTACTGTACTTTCAACAAAATCCAAGCTCTTTCCCATGATATTTGTGATCCAGACCTTGACCATCTCTCTAAACACATCTCTAGGATCCTTAAAAGTAAAAACAGGAGGCAGGAGAACAGTCAGTGCCAGAGTGATGCAATATAAGACTCTATGAACCACTGCTGGCTTTGAAGGTGGAATGGAGCCATGAGCCAAGGATGCAGGCAGGCTGTAGAGGCTGGAAAAGGCAGGAAAACTAATTCTCCCCTAGAGCCTCCAAAAGGAATGCAGCCTTGCTGATGCCTTGATTTTAGCCTAGTGAAACACATCAGACTTCTGACCTACAGAATTGTAAGGTAATAAATTTGTGTTATGATAAACCATTAAGTTTGTGTTAATTTGCTATAACAGCAATTTGAAACAAATACAGATTGGAATAAAAACCTCCCACCCAAGATAAAAATACAGAACAAAATTATGAAACATCTTTTAAAAGGGTAACAATAAGGGAAGGCCAATAAAATAAAATTTAGGAGAAATACTCACTAGATAAAAATACAAATCTTAACATAATCTAAAGAATTTGAAAAAAGTTTACAAACTCAAAAAGATGAAAGATGACATGTCCATAAAATAAAACATAATTCAAACAAATTAAAAAATACCAAGTACAAATGAAGAAGAAACAATTAGAAACACAAGAATAAAATATGTATAGTCATTAAAATTTTAAAAAGAACCAATAGATTAAATAAACTGTAGACTTACCACAGTAAAAGAAAGAAGTAGAAATTTTCAAAGAGCATTAAGAGGCACACAATGCATCCCAGAAAGATAATGCAATTAAAAAAATAAAGGAGCAGTTAAAGGACATGAGGGAGATATTGAGAAGCTCCAACATATATCCAGTAGGTGTCACACAAAAGAGAGAAAGGGAAACAAAATTAGGAGAAATAATGAAAAAGAAGTTTCCAGAACTGAATAAAGATATATAGAAAAGTATACACTGAAAGTCAAGAAGGAAAACAAAAAATAAATCCACCTGTAGAAACATGATAGGGAGTCTATAATAAATGAAGATAAAAAGAAAAGCTTTTCTCATTAGCAACAGATTACAGAAGACTATTAAATACTATGTTCAAAATATGAGGGAATTAGAACTCTATACCAGCTAAACTATTAGTCAAGAATGAGCTACATAAAAGATGAATATCATTCAAGGTCTATTTTATCTTAATAATGAAATTATGTCCATATATACCAAAGAAAGGGAACAAGGGATGAAATGATAACAATAATTTACATTTCGAGGTGTTTACCACTTGCCAAGCCTGGTGTTGGGGACTCTACATTCACTACTTTCATTCACGGAGCAATGACTGAGTACTCGGGCATTGGGCCAAGAGCGTACATCTAACACAAGCTAATCCTCCAAGCACTTATCAGATAGGCATTATATTAAAAATAAAAATAAAAACCAGGGCCCATGGAAGCTAAAGCTAAAGCAGATCTTGCTAAAGCAAGATCATATATCTCCTTTGCTACTTTCATATAGCTCCTCAGCTACTAAGTGGCAGGGAATCATTTGCTTACACTTTTGCTGTTTCCTGTCTCTATGCTGGAAACACATCGTTACCTCTGCTGGGAATGTCTTTTCTCATCCCCTAACCAGGCAGTTTAACTTCAAAATGTCTTTTTTGTTTTTTTTTTGTTTTTTTTTTGTTTTTTTTGAGACAGAGTTTCACTCTTGTTGCCCAAGCTGGAATGCAATGGTGTGATCTTGGCTCACCACAACCTTGCCTCCCAGGTTCAAGGGATTCTCCTGCCTCAACCTTCCAAGTAGCTGGGATTACAGGCAGGCATCACCATTCCTGGCTAATTTTTGTATTTTTAGTACAGAAGGGGTTTCTCCATGTTGGTCAGGCTGGTCTCGAACTCCTGACCTCAGGTGATCCACCCACCTTGGCCTCTCAAAGTGCTAGGAATACAGGCATGAGCCACCGTGCCCAGCCCTTCAAAATTTATTTTAAAGTTTTTTTCTTTCTCTTGGATTTCAAGATACAACCTTGAAGCAAACTGTAGAAGCCTTTTTCCTTAGTCTTAAAATAGATTCTATGACCCTCCTTTTCTCACCGTATGTACTCCCTTCACACTCATCTAACTGTATGCTAATATCTAATTATGTGTCTTCTTAGAAATTCCAGGGGCTAATATTGAGACAGACAGACTTGGTCTAGAGACCCAGCTGCAAAATACCAGAGATTAAGGTGGTGGCTAGTTAACAACCCAGCCATTGTTGAGACATCAGTCCAAGGTCCAGGTGGACTGGGACCAAAGACAGACAGCCACCAAAACAAGATACATGTGCATTGTACTCAGCCCAATTCTTGCACACCTTCCTTATCAAGCTTTCCCTTTTTAAATGCCTGCCATCCCCCCAAAAAGCGAAGCAGTTACTTTGGATAGAAATATGGCTGCTTCCTGCCGGGTGTGGTGGCTCACGCTTGTAATCCCAGCACTTTGGGAGGCCGAGGCAGGCAGATCACAAGGTCAGAAGATTGAGACCATCCTGGCTAACACGGTGAAACCCCGTCTCTACTAAAAAATACAAAAAATTAGCCGGGCGTGGTGGCAGGCACCTGTAGTCCCAGCTACTTGGGAGGCTGAGGCAGGAGAATGGCGTGAACCCGGGAGGCAGAGCTTGCACTGAGCCGAGATTGAGCCACTGCACTCCAGCTGGGCGACAGAGCGAGACTCTGTCTCAAAAAAAAAAAAAAAAAAAAAAAAAAAGAAAAAAAGAAAAAAGAAAAAAAGAAATCTGGCTGCTTCCCCTTTACTAGTTTTGGTTAATAAGTTCACTTTCTTTCTACCAGATCTTGCTCTTGTTAACTGGACTCTGCAAGCAGTGAGCATCTGGGCCTGCTTGGCTCGGTTACAATCCTTCTGGAACTGATTCAAATACCACCTTTGTAAAGTCTTTGCTGACCACCACCATCAGTCACCATAGTTGCTTCTATTCTGTTTTCCCACTGAGGTACATATTGTACCTTAATCATAGTACTTAACATACTAACACTGGTTATTGTTAGATGCTATTTTGGGGGAAGGAGGCCTGTAATACCACCATAGTCAATAAATATTTGTTGAATAAGTCAACAAGCAAAATAACATTTTAAAATATATACTATAATGCTAGGTACATCGTCAAGAGGTTGTGATTATTAACGTGAACTCTGAGGAATATTATATTTGTGTTTCATAAAGACTATAAAAAGACAACTTGGTCAGAGCAGGATATTAGGAAGAAGTGACCATAAATAAATTCATTTAAATAACTTACATTTCCTGAGCATCTATCTTCTGCAAAGATAGATGCTCATGTACTGCAGGGACACCAAGCTGGTCGCTGTCCTCAGAAGAGATTCTGACATATCCAAATGCTACGTACATTAGTTTGAAATCTAAGAAAAAGTGTGCATTAAGTGGACCCAGAGTTGTTACACTGCCATGCTCTATTAGTAGAGACCAACTTAAATATATACCATTTTATCTGATAGCCAAATACCTCCAGGCATCTTTTAAAATTAAAATGCTAAAGAAACTGCTCTGTTTAAGCTTAGGGCATTGATTTTTATGATACTTCTTTTTTTTTTTTTTTTTCTTTTTTTTTTTTGGGACGGAGTCTCGCTCTGTCGCCCAGGCTGGAGTGCAGTGGCGTCATCTCGGCTCACTGCAAGCTCCGCCTCCCGGGTTCACGCCATTCTTCTGCCTCAGCCTCCCGAGTAGCTGGGACTACAGGCGCCCGCCACTACGCCCGGCTAATTTTTTTGTATTTTTAGTAGAGACGGGGTTTCACTGTGTTATCCAGGATGGTCTCGATCTCCTGACCTCGTGATCCACCCGTCTCGGCCTCCCAAAGTGCTGGGATTACAGGCGTGAGCCACCGCGCCCGGCCGATTTTTATGATACTTCTAAAAAGTATTAAGGGATATTAAAACTTCAGCCTATAGCTAAGTGACCTTTTAGTTTCTTTAAACTTCCAGATAATTGATCACCCTTTGTAGGAAGTTGTCATTACTTCAGAATGTCTATTCCCTTTGATCCACCCCTTAAATTCTACATACTTAGAAAATTTTCTTTTTTCTTAAAAGTGTACGTAGCAACAGAATATTAAATTGGCTCTCTTTGTCCTAGTTCATCTGAAATACTGGTTAAGAACAAAAAACTATTTGTCAAATACTTCCAAAACAAATTCCAAAGCAAAGGCAAAATGCAAGACCATTTTTGCAGGATTTGCAAAGGACGCAGTCAAAAGTTTTGCAGTTCAGCACCCACACTGAGGCCATAAAGGGACTGAAGACAGTAAATATTTAGGGGAAATTAACTGCTGTTCCGTGAGTCCCACCGCCCCCATAGGGAAGTGTGAGAAATGAAAAGAGCTACTGGGAGATGCCATCTGAGAGCACAGTGGACAGACTGGTCTGATCTTTACCAAAGAAATCTAAGAAACAGGCTGGCTGAAGAGGACTGTGAGGGAACTCTCCTCTCCTTGGTCAAAGGTTTCAATTTTGAGGAGGCACAGTCTCAAATTTCAAAATTTATTCCACTGGAATAGTGCTAGTAAAGTAAAATGATTGTGCTCCAAAATGAAGTATATAATAGGCATTCAATAAGCACTCACTGGATAATCCCATACTGTCCTTTCACGAAAACCTTTTCTAATGCAATCAAGTGGTTTTAATCCATAGAAATTGATGTCCACTGGGAGCAATACAGTAAAGAATCTTACAGATTTTGAAGCCAAATTCACCATATTTAAATTATAACTCTCTCACTTCCCCCTTCTGAAACTTGGGAGAAATTGTATCAATCTCTAGGAGCTTAGTTCTTCCATCTGTGAAATATAGGTAATAAAACCTAGTTAGAGGGTTGTGATGAATAAAGAAAACAACTGTAAAGTATCAGCACAATACTGAAAAGTCTAAACATATCAGCCCACTCTCTCTCACCCCGTTTCTATTGACGCGTTCTTTCTTTAGGTATGTTAATGTTAAATGGTCTTGTTTAAAGGGGACATCTTTTTTGCTGCTTTTTGCCTGGCAGATTGACAGTCTTTTTAAAGTGATCTTACAATATGTGAATTATCTACCGTGTGTGGATTTTAGTAGTTTAAAGTCTCCGTTTCGGGGTGACTCAATGCAACTCTAATTGCTGCCTGTTTATCAATACCAGCCTAAAAAATATATCATTTTGGGTTCAACTACATTTGTGCCTAATACATACCACATCTTTTCAAAAGTTACGTATTTATTTATGCCCTTAAAAACACACATCTGTGGTATCCATGCGCCTTGGAAAAGAAATCAGAACTGGGTCAGTTGAAAGCACAGGATATATTCAAACTGTTTTAGTCATCAGTCCTCTTGTCTAGAAAACTTCAGTGAAAGCTGAATGAGCTAATTACAGGAAAAGAAATTAACAAATAAAAAAGCTGACTTAAGAGTTGCTGGGAAACAAAGGATAAAAGAAAATATTCAGCATCCTACATAAGTAGGATGTGGTTTAAGTTTTCTTATTGCTTGAGCCTAGAAGGTCAAGGCTGCAGTGAGCTATGAGTGCGCCACTGCACTCCAGCCTGGTCAACAGAGTAAGACTCTGTCTCAAAATTTAAAAATAAACAAACTTTTTTTTATGGTCTTAAGTATTTTTATGCATTTCCCTGAGTCCAAAATCAAAGGCAAAGGGAGACTAGTGTATGACTGTTTATTTCTATATTGTCAGCATTTTAATAAAACTATGCATAGTTTTTCTCTTATGTCACTGAGTTATTTTGTTTCTGAGACCACTGAATATTTTCCCTGGGGAGCATAGGAAAGTCTTCAGGAAACTATCCTGAGCGAATGCATCTAGTGAACAGTACACAGGACAAAGAAACAGGAGAGGACCAGTCTTTGTTCTGTGTCCTCTGAAGAGTCACATCTATTCTTATTATCATCAGAATATATTTCTGAAGTGTTTCAAAGCCTTTTGATAAAAACTCTTTATAAACAGAAGGCTGCTTATGTCAGTTCAAAAATTCTGAAATTCACTATAGCTCAAGCTTTCGTATTTGAAAATCTCCTGGGGAAAAATATTTGAGAAATGTCTACCTTTTGAGATATAAGTTGTTGTCTAAAAAAACAAACAAAAAATGGATTCATTCTAATTGTGGCTATTCATGGAAGGCACCATTTTAAAAAGTCAAAGCATTTATACATTGAAACATTCTTTTATTGGTAAATCTTAGGTTGTCCCATTTGAAGAATCATGATTGATTCTATCATAAGCAGCCTATCTTTTAGAATAGGTGACAAGAACATTGGTGATACTGTAAACCAAAAATGAAATTTTAAGCCTCCAACTGACTCAATGGACCTCTCCTTTTGGCCTAGGGGATCCCAGAGAAATCTGAAAATGTAGCTTAGGCCTTGACAGGAATGGAGGAGGGATATGCTTAGTTATCCATGCTCCCTTTGGAGTTTAGGCACAAATGACCAGCATTAACATTAAAATAGAGGTCATCAGAATGACAAAACAGATTCTTTGTAGCAATACCCACCTCCAAACTGTCTCTGGTATAGCATCACAGGAAAGATGGCAGGCCCTGAAAGGAATCAAAGTATTTTATCCCAAAATATATTTCTTTGACGTATTTTAAAATGGCCTTCCAAAGCCATCTCTTGTGGAGGAAATATGCATTCTGTAGAGAATCCCTTTCCCTTTCCAGGTCTTTTCCTGACCCAGGAGAGAGTAACTAAGAGTCTGACACCTTTTAAGGTCTGATAAGAGACATTTACCATCTATTCTCTTTGAAGCCTGCTACCTGGAGCCTTGATCTATTACTATATAACAAGAATCTTCACTTCCACCATCCCCTTTTACCTTACTTAATTCAAGCATTTATTTCTATTAACTTCAACTCTTTAGGCAAAGCTTAACTTTTTCAACCAATTGCCAATCAGAAAATTTTGGAATCCATTTATGTCCTGGAAGCTCCCCCTTCAATGTTCTAGATGTGCTGCTTTTCCAGGCTGAACCAATGTATACCTTACTGTATTGATTTATGTCTTTGCCTGTAACTTCTATCTCCCTAAAACGTATAAAGCCAAGCTGTAACCCAACCACCTTGGGCATATGTTCTCAGGACCTCTTGAGACTGTGTTCCTGGCCACAGTCACTCATATTTGGCTCAGAATAAACATCTTCAAATGTTTTATAGAGTTTGACTTTTTTTTGGTCACTAGTATCAATAGTAATATCAATAGTAGTATCAATAGCCTGCCAAGAAAGAAGACAGAGACTTTATAGTGTGGTTTTCCCCTTCAGAACAGGTGCTTCTTTGCCTCTACTGTCTAAATTAATAACTAGCTTCTTTGTTGGGTCATTCCCCTGTTCTTTCCTCCCCTAAAAGGTTTCTGTTTTCTCCCACAAAAATTCAGCATCAGATAAGCTTAGCTATATCTGTATCAGAGTGTTAGCGGCAGCGAATCCATACAGGTCTACAGGAACCTCAATTCTTGCCTTCTCAGAAGAATGAATTTGACTAAGGGCCATAACGCAGAAGCAGAGACCAAGGCAAGTTTTAGAGTATGAATGAAAGTTTATTAAAAAGCTTTAGAGCAGGAACAAAAGGAAGGAAAGTACACTTGGAAGAGGGCCAAGCAAGCAGCTTGAAAGATATGTGCATGATTTGACCTTTTGACTTGGGGTTTATATGTTGGCATGCTTCCAGGGTGTTGCATCCCTTCCCTCCTGATTCTTCCCTTGGGGTGGGCTGTCCACATGTGCAGTGACCTGCTAGCGCTTGGGAGGGGAGCATGTGCAGTGTGTTTACTAGAGTTGTAGGCAAGCTCACTTGAGGTGTTCTTTCCTTACCAGTCAAATGGCCCTAGGTGGTCATATACCAGTTAAACTCCAACATTTTGCCTCTTAATGTACATGCTTGAGCTCACTCACCCAGCTCCTGAGATCTTATCAGGGAGCTGCTGATCACCAATTTCAGGTGTTTATAGAAAGACTGCCTTTCCCTAGTGTCAGCTGTGACCAATTATTATTTTAGAGAGACAGGGTGACAATTGCCTGACCATCACCTGAGGGTTGCCTGACATTCCTGGTGGTGGGGGCTGAGGGAAGAGTCCTCTCCTGCTTTGTTCATGCCTGATTAGCTACCTACTGTAACAAGAGGACATACATTATAGTAGAGCAAGAAATCCAAGAAACACATCACAGGTAGGAAACTCTATTCAGTGCCAAATGCACCAAATAATCTGCTATAAATAAGTGTATCTCTGCTGTGTCAATTCCACAAGACTTAACAAGAAGGAACTATATCAGATTACAGAATAATAAAACCCATATTGCTAAACAAATTAAGCATTTTATATTTATTATTTTAATTCAAATTAACCAAGTTCTTTATGGTAGTGAGGTAAGGTAATAAAAAAACAATTCATTTTCAGAGGGAAATTAGATTTATATGAATCATTACCATGAGAAGAATCAATGAATTGGTAATTTGTAATGACAGGAAAATAAAAAAAATGGGTCACTAGGGAAAGAAGCAAATCAGTGCACTAAAATCTTTAAAACCACCACAATATGTGAAAACATATTTTTAAGAGTGTACTTAAAAGATTTCTATTTGATATATTTTAATATACAGGAATTTAAAATTCACCCATACATTGATATCTCAATTTTCAAAAAAATCTATGCCACTGAGACAGAAGATTTTTGAATCATTCTGTTGTTTTGACTTTTTAAATGTCCTTTTCTCTCCTCAGCTATTTTTTAAGCATAAGAGCTTTCCTATCTTGAAGACATTTAAAAATAGTTCATTCTGAAGAAACTATCAAAGGGACATCAACTGGCACATATGCTTGGCATCAGGGCACACCAAATGGCCCAATTAAACCATTTGCAGTCTTTACAAGATACAATTTAAATGTACCCAAGAAATGTCAAATGGTTCCTCATGTAGAATTATCTTTACCAATGAGCTATGTCCCAGGAACTGAGCACCTAAATCCCTGCAGACATCCATGAGGTACAGTTTGTCTCAGACACACACTGGAGCATGTTAATTACCACAGAAGAGAAGGCGTTTTCAAGTTGAACACAACGATCAGAAATGCCTTCTTCAGTATGGAAAATATGGTCAGAGGAACATCAAACTCTGCCAGCACCTCCCTCTGTTGGCAAGTGTATTCCCCATACCAGGTTCTAAAATCAATTGCTCTAAAATCAATCTCAGGAGGAAAACCTCTATACTTCTTCCTTTCTCCACTGGGAAAGTCTTCGACAGTTCAGGATATGTCTTCCCGATGTGATAAATTTAAAGAACAATAGTAAAAGATAGAAGAGAATTCCTAGTAAAGTTACAGGCTCAATCTATATATTCTTCACTAGAAAACCAAAATACAGCAATAAATTAGGAAACAAAATAGTTGGGCTGGCTCAAAAGTGACCACCACTAGTAGCACTGACCCTCCCACCCATCCCTTTCTCTAGTCATGGATTTGACACGTTTCTTCCTTCTTTTTTTTTTTTTCCCAGAAACAGGGTGCCACTCTGTCGCCCAGGCTGGAGTGCAGTGGTGCAATCACGTCTCACTGCAGTCTCAAACTCTTGGGCTCGGGCAAGCTTCCCATCTCAGCCTCCGAGTAGCTGGAACTACAGGTGTGAGCCACCACGTCCACTTTTTTTGTAGACACAGAGTCCCGCAACGTTCACCAGGCTGGTCTCAAACTCTTGACTTTATGGAATGTTCCTGCCTTGCTCAGCCTCCCAAAGTGCTAAGATTATAGGCGTGAGCCACCACGCTCAGCTGAGTTGGCAAGTTTCTGAACGTGGTTCTACACCTGGCACACTGATGCAGGAAGCCTGCACCTCAGAAGGCAGAGCTCTCATAGCTTGGCTGCCCTTACTTCCTCTTTGGAAGCCTGTTTCCATTGCTAAGATACCCTGACAGGGATTCTCTTCCTAACCCGTTTGCAAACCTTTGCTCAGGCCTCTGTTCTCTTCCGCACTATCTAACTTTCTGCTGGGTGCTGGTTTCTAATTTTCTTTGACCCCTGTCTGTTGTCAAACTGCTTTCGTAGGCTGGATCCTTGGGCCGCACTTCTTCGCCACTCTGCAGAAGCTTAATTGCTGTCCTTGGTCAAGAATATATAATGACAACTGACTGAAAAATAATCCATTAGGCTCCAAAGGACATAATGGGTAGAGGGATGAGGAAATTCAGGAGAAGGAGCAGAATTACTTGTAAGCCTATAAGCATCAGCCTAACCAGTAACTATGCATATATCTGAACATACATTCTTATAATCATGGGATCCGATGTGCTAAATTCTAGTAGCTAATACGCACCATGCCAATACCAGAAATTTATCATATTGATGTATGTGTGGCAATGACATACTTAGGCTAGTGCTTTTAGAATTGGCATATTTAATAAAAACTCATGACATTGAACTATTTTTTAATATTCTGTATATTTTATCAATTAAAGCCTAATATCAAAAAGCTATGTTACTTTAAATTCATCTCTAATTCTATATTTACAGATACATTTAAGAATAACCTGTTTATTTAAACAACTAATATATCTCTGAGTATATTCATATCTATTTAGCATGGCATAGCATTTAATAGATTGTTATTAATGAAAATCTAGTAAAAATAAAGCAAATAACACAAATGCAGTCTTTATCATTTATAACATAATCAGTTCCATAAAACACTACACTAATGACCTTCTGTCAACCATATAGCAGAACATGGCAATTTTGCTCAGTGATATCTTCTTCCTGCCTCTTAGGCCTGGAGTTAAGATGAAGCCTGAGATGTAAAACCAGACAGAAAGGAAGCCCTTATATTTACACACAATAATTACTTGGAAATACACTCATCAGATTAAATCCCTCTAAATATATTGATATATCAACATCATCAACATCGTTTCAAGTAGCTATGTTAGATATTTAAAACATTTGAGGTAAAGCCCTTTCGTAATAATTACAGGTGACCCTTGAACATCACAGGGTTAGAGTTGCTGACTCTGCACTATCAGAAATCCATGTATAACTTTTGACTCCCTCTAAAATTTAACTACCAACAGCCTACTGTTGACCTGAAGCCTTACTGATAAATAGGCAGTCAATTAACACATATTTTGTGCATGTATTATATACTGTATTCTTAGAATAATGTAAGCTGGAGAAAAGAAAATGTTAAGAAAATCATAAGGAAAAGAAAATATATTTACTATCCATTAAGTGGAAGCAATTAATCATAAAGGTCTTCATCCTCAATCATCTTCACCTTGAGTAGGCTGAGGAGGAGGAAGAGGAGGGCTTGGTCTTGCTGTCTCAGGGGTGGCAGAGACAGAGGAAAATCCACATATAAATGCAGTTCAGCCCTGTGTTGCTCAAGGGTCAACTGTATACAAGTACCCCAAATTTACTTAAGAGTTTAACATATTAAGTTGGATTTCACTTCTAGATGTAATTACCTTGGAAACTTTCATTTTTACTCACAGATATGATTTTTTCAAATTGTTAATAAAATTCTTTTTTGAGTTCATAAAGGACACGACACTTTGGTTGCCACCGATAATAACTAATTTTAAGATGCTCTCACGAATCATACTCTCTCCTTCTCTGCATTTTTTAGAGCCTGCTTCCCACATTTGATTCATTGGCATGGTGCATTCACCCATAGTGCAGGCTGATGCCTTCCATAAGGTAGGCACCAGCCATCTGCCTCCTCCATTCCTCCAGAATATGAAAGGGACTCAGACTGCTTTGAGTTAATCATCTCAGAGAAAAGAAGACGATACTAAGTTGGTTTTTAAAACAATAGTCTTTTTCTATTGTAATTCTTATTAATTATAGTCTAACACCAAAAAAAAAAAACTCTTTTGTAAATCTTACAGAACAGATATGTAAGAATTTTTTAAAATAACATGACAAATAAAAATTATCCCTTGGTTAATATGCCATGGGCATTTATTGTACAGAAGGTTTAACAATATTTACCATTCATAGAAAGCAGCTTACATATTAAATGCAACTGAATAAATGGGAACCTATGTTAAAACTGCCAGTGAAATCACACCTATCAGTGACACTAGTACTCTCAAATCTAATAAATATATCCTTTCATATTATGAGGAATAGGCCTAACCCTTCTGTCAAAATTCTAATCAACTGGATGCTCATTAAGTATTATGTGGTGCTTTCAAGCCTGATGAAATGCAACCTCTAATTATTTGGCAATCAAAAGAAAATAATCAAATAATCACTGTAAAAACTTCTTTCTTTAATGTAAAACATGTGGCCATTATAAAACATTCTTGTTCATGAGGAATTTCTTCAACTGTATGTATGGATTTATATATATATACATACCTGCACATATATACAGCATATGTATATGTGTCTGTATTATATGTATTAAATGAAAGATTATCCACATTTTGTTCTTTAGGATCTTCAGCAGCTCTCTTCCCATCACAATAGAAAGGCCTGAGCTAACATTTCCATTTCTGCAAAAGGCAGATTTTGTTCAATTAAAAATTATAATGCCTTAAATTTCCACAAACACATGAATTTATCTATTTTTCTTTTACAAACCCATATAAACATAGATGCAGGCACCCCAAAGAGAGAAAAAAAGCCACATCCTTTTTCTAACTCAGGCTGTCATCCCACTCAAAGACAATCTATTATTATGAGTTCAAACAAAAGACAACTAATAAAAATATTATCTACAAAAAATGTACACCAAGACTGTACTGTTATTACAAAATTATAATGTGTATTTTACACTCATTTCTAAAATGTCTTGGCTAGCTTGTTTGCAATAATTCAAACTTCAGATTTAAAAGAGCAAACAATTCTTATAAAAAACAAGCTGAAACTAAAAAGAATTCTTGGTGTTTGTAGGACACAGTCTATTCTCATTAAATAGGAACTCAGGATAGAATCACAAATAACACAATTAAAGAGAACAGGGTTCCTTATATTATTATTTTAAAATGAATTTGCGCATTTATGAATTGGGATGATTAGAGATGAAAGAATAAATCTTACACAGCTCAGTTTGCCACACTACCTTCTAACTCATCTTAAACACAAGGCTTTAAGAACTCACAAATTATATCAGCATATAGAAACCCAAGAATACTTATACAAATTATTGCCACCTACTCCACCCTTAGAGAAATTAGCAGAAGTCTTAGGAAAACACCCACCCCCAACAAATGACCCAGCCTTTACTGACTTGAGTCCTATCCTACTAATGCTTTTGAAAAACAAAACCATTGAAAATGGAGCTGAAAACTAAAATCATTATCTTGATTTTTCTTTAAAAAATTCATTCCATTATCTCACTTTGAGACTTTATCACTGTGTTTTTTCCTTCCTTATGCCTCCTTTCTCACATCTCTTTTTTTTAACTTTTTATTTATTTATTTATTTATTTTGAGATGGAGTCTTGCACTGTCGCTGCGGCTGGAGTGCAGTGGCGCAATCTCGGCTCACTGCAACTTTTGCCTCCCGGGTTCAAGTGATTCTCCTGCCTCAGCCTCCCAAGTAGCTGGGATTGCAGGCACCGGCCACCACATCCAGCTAATTTTTTATATTTTCAGTAGAGACAGGGTTTCACTATGTTGCCCAGGCTGGTCTCAAACTCCTGACCTTGTGATCCGCCTGCCTCGGCCTCTCAAAGCACAGGGATTACAGGCATGAGCCACCACGCCCAGCCTTCTCGCATCTTGTCAATGGTAGATAAGTAGGCAGTACCTTTGCCATGTAAAATAGGACCATAAACTAAAATGAAATTAAGTGTATTGTTTAAAAGATTTTAACTTCTCTATCCACATATAGGATAGTGGAAAACATAAACCTTTTCTGATTGTTCTAGGGAAAAGTAAGCATTTTCCCCTCTATAGCAAGTGACAAAAGCCTGTAGTTCTCTAAAATATTTAATTATTACAGACCTATCTCCCCTGCTAGACTAACACTTCATGAGGGGAGGGGTCTATGTTATTATCACCTCTCTTCTCCCAGGGACTAAAATAGTGGCTAAAACATATAAGGCACTCAAATGCTCACTTAATTTTATATATTTTAGCATGAGTATTTGTCATTTACATATTCTGCTGACCAAATGGGATAGGCAATAAGCTACTGCTCAAAATTTTAACAGGAGACCACAAAGTAAATTCTCCCCAAGGGTAAACTTAATATCCTTGCCTTCTCATGATGGTGACTTCAAGTGTCTAAAAATATGGCACTCTACATGCCATAAGAAGGTACTGCCTTTTCATTCAGGGTATGAATATATAAATATATCTTTGACTTTACAGCATATGGTAATAACTTAAAAATTATATGCCTAATTGTGAAAAAAAAAAAAGAAAAAAAAAGAACTCTTCTTGCCAGAATCCAAGTCCCATGAAAGTAGCCAATGCTGTCTCATTAGTTAGTAAGCTAATGGAAATGTTGCCAGCATTTCTTTCAGTGTCTAGAAAACAGAGTGTGCAATGTGCCAAGTCTTCACTGATTTATTTTTGTAAGCAGCAGTGTAATAAACCCAAAGAAGCCAAAAAAGCAAATTTTTAAAAAATAAATATTCATTTGCTATCAAGATGGGTATGACCTTTTTACCCAAGCCTATTACTGACAATTCAGAAAGACTATGTGAAATAGTCACTCATTTATCTTAATTGCATTTGCAGGTACTACCACCACTCAAGTTTTAAAATGTTTTTAAACACTCAAGTTTGCATTCCTTTAGCTTTTATACAAGAAACCACATTATTTTACATACATATTAATTATTTTCTGACCTTTCAGGAAAACCCAATAATATAAATCTACAAAATGAAATAATACTCAAGAATTCCACTTTTCTCCCTTAGCAATGCCTGCACATAACCTTCGGCTTTAAATTCACTGTGTTTTATGGGAATTCTACAAATAAGCACCATAGCGGGGCTCAGAACCAGGCATGTCCAGGAGTAAAGCTGGTTGAGTTCTGGCTCCAGGACTTACTGGTTGTTAATACTTTGGGGCAAGTTATCTCAGCTTTCTAAGCATCAGTCTTAAATCTACAAGATGGAGATAATTCAGTATCCATCTTAGTGTTTTTGCAAAAGATCTAAATGCATTAATTCATGTAAAGTGCTTAGGGCAACTGAAAAGTCAACAGAACTCAATAACAATTATTATTATGCATCAATATGGATACTTGTTTAAAAATAAGCTGCTTGGGAAAATGGATACTGTGTATATTTTCAAAGCTTGCTTTCTCTCCCTGTTTTGATTCAGATACTGTCCTAAAACTTTAGCTATTTCACTTACTTAGATGAATTTCATCCTCACAAACTATAAGAAACCTACATATTACGGTTCTCGGATTTAGACAAAGTTAGGACCCAATGTTCCTTTTTAAAACATCTCAACATTTCTATAATCTTTTATGCATAATAAAATATCAAAAATAGACTAGACTTGCAATAGAACAGTGTTTATTTTCATGGTTGCATTCCTAAAACAAATGTATATGCGTGAAGTCTGGCTATTTAATCACCTGAGACGGAGGAGTTTCATGCTGGAGATAGAATATCAGCTAGTTTTCAAAACCAAGTAAGATTTCAGTGGTGTACATGGCATACAGGCTGGGCTAAGTAAGATTAACAGACTGAAGATAAGTGGGCACATTATTCAGAGCACAGAGATTAATCAGACTGGCTAGTGAGCCATATATACTAGTGAGAAGGTGATCAATGAAGCAGGAAAGACTAGGACCAAACCACAGAGGGCCTTGACTGACTCGCTGAGCCTGGACTTTGTTTTCTGGGCAAGGAGGATTCATTTTCAATAGTTTGCAGGTAGCACTGCTTGGAGGAGCTGGAAATGACGAAGGGGTGAATTTATGAATTCAGAGACTGGTATCAGTTGCTCAAAGTGGGGGACTTAAAGGGTGGCCAGGGGTAATTAATACTCAATTCCTCTCTCTCCCTCACATTCCTCATCTGCACCTCCTATCAAAGCTACCCCCAAATACATCTCAAGTCCACAGGTTCTTCACCATAAGCACTGCCACCTCAATTGTCCATGCCAGGCTCAGGTCTTCGACTGCTTTAGCAAACTTCTAAGAGGTCTTTTGGGCTCCACTTTGCACTGTTCCCACCCAGTTTCCAAAACACATCAATTCTCCACAGTTCAGCCAAAGTAATATTTAAAAGTGTAAACTCAATGATTTCATTGATTTACATAAAGACCTTTCAATGATTTTCCTATGATTCTTCCATTAAAATCTATGTTCTTCTTCTTTACTTACAGGAGTCTAGCTGCATGAATATTCTTCCATTTACTCTTCAAACCAAGCTTCCTCCTGCCTCAGGAAATATTATTCCTTCTTTACAGAGTGCTCTCCCGCCACCACAACATCATTTCAGAGCTGGCTCCTTTCCACCTTTAGCATCTCAGATTTAAGGTGATCTCCTTCCACACTTGCTTAGCACCCTTTCTTTTCCTTAAAGTATTTTCTGTAATTTAGAGCTCTTCTATTTTGTACATGTGTATTAGTCCATTTTCATGCTGCTGGTAAAGACACACCTGAGATCGGGCAATTTACAAAAGAAAGGAATTTATTGGACTCACAGTTCCACATGGCTGGGGAGGCCTCACAATCATGGTGGAAGGTGAAAGGCATGTCTCACATGGTGGCAGACAAGAGAAGGGAGCTTGTAAAGGGAAACTCCCATTTTTAAAACCATCAGATTTCATGAGTCTCATTCATTATCATGAGAACAGCACAGGAAAGACCCACCCTATAATTAAATCACCTCTCACCAAGTTTCTCCCATGACACATGGGAACTATGGGAGTTACAAGAGGAGATTTGGGTGGGGACACAGAGCCAACTGTATTGTTCTGCCCCTACCCCTCCCAATTCTCATGTCTTCACATTTCAAAACCAATCATGCCTTCCCAACAGTCCCCTAAAGTCTTAACTCATTTCAGCACTAACTTAAAAGTCCACAGTCTAATGTCTCATCTGAGACAAGGCAAGTCCCTTCTGCCTATGAGCCTGTAAAATCAAAAGCAAGTTTGTTACTTCCTAGATACAATGGCGGTACAGGCATTGGGCAAATACAGCTGTTCCAAATGGGGAAAACTAGCCAAAACAAAGGAGATACAGGCCTCATGCAAGTTCAAAATCCAGCAGAGCAGTCACATCTTAGAGCTCCAAAATGATCTCCTTTGACCCCATGTCTCACAACCAGTTTACACTGATGCAAGACATGGGTTCCCATGGTCTTGGACAGCTCTGCCCCTGTGGCTTTACAGGGTACAGCCCTCCTCCTGGCTGCTTTCATGGGCTGGAATTGAGTGACTGCGGCTTTTCCAGGCACATGGTGCAAGTTGTCAGTAGTGCTACCATTCTGGAGGTCTGGGGGACAGTGGCACACTTCTCACAGCTCCACTAGGCAGTGCCCCAGTAGGGACTCTGTGGGGACTCCCACCTCACATTTCCCTTCTGCACTGCCCTAGCAGGGATTCTCCATGAGAGCTCCACCCCTACAGCAAACTTCTGCCTGGATATCCAGGCATTTCCATAAATCCTCTGAAATCTAAGCAGAGGTTGCCAAACCTCAATTCTTGACTTCTATGCACCTGCAGGCTCAAAACCATGTGGAGCTGCCAAGGTTTGGTGCTTGTGCCCTCTAAAGCCACAGCCCAAGCTGTACCTTGGCCCCTTTTAGTCATGGCTGGAGCAGCTGGGATGCAGGGCACCAAGTCCCTAGACAGCACACAGCACAGTGACTCTAGGCCTAGCCCACAAAACCATTTTTTCCTCCTAGGCTGCTGGGCCTGTGATGGGACAGGCTGCTGTGAAGACTTCTGACATGCCCTGAAGACATTTTCCCTATTTTCTTGGGGCTTAACATTTGGCTCCTCACTACTTACGCAAATTTCTGCAGCAGGCTTGAATTTCTCCTCAGAAAATGGGATTTTCTTTTCTACTGCACTGTCAGGCTGCAGATTTTCCAAACTTTTATGCTCTGCTCCCCTTACAAAACTGAATGCCTTTAACAGCACCCAAATCATCTCTTGAATGCTTTGCTGCTTAAAAATTTCTTCCTCCAGATACCTTAAATCATCTCTCTCAAGTTCAGAGTTCCACAAATCTCTAGGGCAGGGCAAAATGCCACCAGTCTCTTTGCTAAAACATAACAAGAGTCACTTCTGCTCCAGTTCCCAACAAGTTCCTCATCTCTATCTGAGACCACCTCAGCCTGGACCTTATTTTTCATATCACTATCAGGATTTTTGTCAAAGCCATTCTACAAGTCTCTAGGAAGTTCCAAACTTTCCCACATTTCTCTGTCTTCTTCTGAACCCTCCAACCTGTTCCAACCTTTGCTTGTTACCCAGTTCCAAAGTCGCTTCCATATTTTCTAGTATCTTTTCAGCAGCACCCCACTCTACTGGTACCAATTTACTGTATTCATCAGTTTCCATGCTGCTGATGAAGACATACCTGAGGCTGGGAAATTTATAAAAGAAAGGGGTTTATTGGACTCACAGCTCCACGTGGCTGTGGAAGACAACACAATCACACGGCGGCAGACGAGAAGAGAGCTTGTGCAGGGAAACTCTTACTTTTTAAACCATCAGATCTCATGGGATGCTTTCACTATCATAAGACCAGCTCAGGAAAAACCTGCCCCCATAATTCAATCACATTCCACAACACATGGGAATTGTGTGAGTTACAAAATGAGATTTGGGTGAGGACACAGGGCCAAACCATATCATCCTGAAGGAGGTGGATTGATAGAATGGTGGAATGGCTTTTTGAAGTCACAATTACAATGCCAACTAGGTGATAATACTTTGCAGGGCTGGGGAAAAGTTCTCCAGAAGGCTGTATATGCTCTGAATCAGCATCCAAAATATGATACTGTTTCTCCCATATCTAGGATTCATGGGTCCAGGAATCAAAGGGTGGAAGTAGAAGTGGCACCATTCACCATCATCCCTAGTGATCCAATAGCAAAATTTTTGCTTCCTGTTCCCACAGTATTATATTCTGCTGCCCTACTGGTCTTAAATCCAGAGGGGGAAATGCTGCCACCAGGAGGCACAACAATGATTCCATTAAACTGGAAGTTAAGGTTGCCACCTGGACACCTTGGGCTCCTCCTACCTTTAAGTCAACAGGCTAAGAAGGGGGTTACAGTGTTGGCTTGGGTGATTGACCCAGACTATCAAGATGAAAGCAGTCTACTACTCCGCAATGGAGACGAGGAAGAGTAGGCATGGAATACAGGAGATCAATTAGGGCATCACTTAGTATTACCATGCCCTGTGATTAAGTTCAATGAGAAACTACAACAGGCCAATCCAGGCCGGACTACAAATGGCCCAGACCCTTCAGAAATGAAGGTTTAGGTCACTCCACCAGGAAAAAAATCCAAGCATGCTGAGGTGCTTGCTGAAGGCTAAGGGAATACGGAATGGGTAGTACAAGAAGGCAGTCATCAATATCAGCTACAACCTCATGACCAGTTGCAGAAATGAGGACTGTAATTATCATGAGTATTTCCTTCTTTTGTTAAAAACATGTTTGTGCATGTATACACTTGTAATAAGAAAATATCTTCATTTTATTTCCTTTTTCCTTTATCATGTGACATAAGATTTATTGACTTCATATCAGCATTTAAGTATTGCTAACTTTATATAATAGCATTTGGTTTGGGGATTGGTGCATTTCCGGTTGTAGAAAGGATAGCTATATTATGTTAGACATAACTAAGACTTTATTATTGTCTTTATTTGAAGATTAGGTATGATCTCAGGAGATGTGTATGGGTTCAAGTTGACAAGGGGTAGACTTGTGATGATTAATACTGAGTGTCAACTTGATTGGATTGAAGGATGCAAAGTATTGGTCCTGGGTCTGTCTATGAGGGTGTTGCCAAAGGAGATTAACATTTGGGTCAGTGGGCTAGGAAAGGCAGACCCACTCTTAATTTGGATGGGCACCATCTAATCAGCTGCCTGTGTGGCCAGGATATAAAGGAGGCAGAAAAACATGAAAAGGCTAGACTGGCTTAGCCTCCCAGCCTACATCTTTCTCCTGTGCTGGATGCTTCCTGTTCTCGAACATCGGACTCCAAGTTCTCCTGTTCTCGAACATTGGACTCCAAGTTCTTCAGCTTTGGGACTTGGACTATCTTCCTTGCTCCTCAGCTTGCATACAGCCTATTGTGGGACCTTGTAAGATAATACTACTTAATAAACTCCCTTTTATATACATATCTATCCTGTTAGTTCTGTTTCTCTAGAGAACCCTAATACAATGTGTGTGTGTGTGCGCGCGCGTGTATGCGCGCGCACGCTTGGTTGGTTGGCTTGGCTTTTGTCTGTCTCCCATAGCAGGCTGTAATTTTTTTTTTTTTTTTTTTTGAGATGAAGTCTCCCAGGCTTGAGTGCTATGGCGCAATCTTGACTCACTGCAACCTCCGCCTCCTGGGTTCAAGCAATTCTCCTACCGCAGCCTCCTGAATAGCTGGGACTACAGGTGCACGTCACCACGCCTGGCAAATTTTTGTATTTTTTAAAAGTAGAGATGGGGCTTCTCCATATTGGCCAGGCTGGTCTTGAACTCCTGACCTCGTGATCCACCCAACTCGGCCTCCCAAAGTGCTGGGATTACAGGTGTGAGCCACTGTGCCTGGCTGCTAGGCTATAAATTCTGAGGACAGGAACCACATCTGTACCAGGAAAAAGTAGGCCTTCAATAAATACTATTGAGTGAATATTTTAATGAACAAAGAATAATTAAAGGAATGAAATTTTAAAATATGAAAATATTAACAATAAAAACAAAGCAGAAGGCATTGGAAAAAAAGATTTTTGTGAAGGAAATAGGAGATGGATGAAAGAAATTGCTTCAGAAGATAACGTTTAAAATAGACGGGAACTGTGTTCCAGGTACCGCACTAGATGCTTTACATTGGTTATCTCTTAATGTTAAGAATTAAGTAATTCTCAAAGGCAATGGCCAAATAGCTAACTTTTGCAACTCCAGATCCACTCTCCCTATTGTTTTCCACTGTGTAGTACAGAATTTAACCTTCCCCCAGATGGGATCTGGCCTTTGTCCTTGGCTTCTGATGGGTAATCTCTAGGCCCCCGAAATGTCAGGAGTGTCTGATTGCCTGGAGGCCTTGGGTCATGCTAGAGAGTCTACCAATATGAATTACGGTAGGGCCTGGTCACATTAGTAAAACCAATAATTCAATTTAATGTAAGGGTTTTGGGTTACATGGTATCAGTCAACCTAGAGACTGAGATCAACCACAGAGGCAATCCATCATGTCTATGATTGTATATGGAGCCTCAGTACAAACTGTGAACCCCAAGACCTAGGTAAGCTCCCCTGCTCAGCAGTACTCTATCCATATTGTCATACATTTATTCTAGGAAAGGAATGTGTCCTGATTCCACAGGGAAAGACAATGGAAACTTCATGTCTGGTACTTTCCTGGACCTGCTCTATGTGCTTCTTTCACTGGCTGATTTTAGTTTGTATCCTTTCCCTATCATAAACCACAACCATGAGTATAGCAGCTTTCAGTAAGTTATGTGAGTCCCTCAAGCAAATTATCAAATTGGAATATAGTTATGGGAACCTCTACTCAGATGAAATCAGTATCAAAGGAGAGATCAGTGTTGGGAACTGTTCTCTCTAACTTTGTAGTTGGCTTAAACTCTCATATCTACCACAGTCTCTGACCTGGGAAGCTGACCTATATGGATGACATAAATAGGCGTAACCTCTGCCTTAAGTTTGGGTGGGACCAATGCGGAGCCCAGATAAAGGCTAGAGGCAGACGGGAGGGAGAACCTAGCATTTACGAATGTGCTTCTCCCCCAGTGGAACTGCCTTAGATTGGCTGTGTCATTTTTTGATACCAAGTCACTGCTCCTTCCCTTCTCCCTTTGGAAAAGCACATTTGTAATTAGATTAGTTCCTTTAAAAATAAATATTTCTCAACTTCTCCTAATCTGAGTGGACTATTTATTTTACTGTTGGCAAGGTCACCAATACAGAAAAGCACTATTTCGTAGGAAAACTGATGCTCAAAGAGACTATGAGGAAAAAGAAAAAAAAGACTTGTTTAAAGTTACATGGTTAAGAGGTGGTAAAAGTGACATTCAAACCCAAGTTTGTCTAATGGCCAAGTATATGCTCTTTCCATTACCTTAGGCCAAAGAAAAATTGACAAAGGAGATAAAGAACAGCAAGAGAAATAGGGAATGAACCAGGAATATGCATGGTCATAGTCTCTAACAGATAAGAGAATCGCAGCAAGAGATTAAGGATGTGGGGAGAAGTATGAAAGATATAAAATCCTTCAAAGAAGACTTAACGCTTAGTAATCCTTCAATTAAACCAGTGTGCTACCAGGATATTTGAAGTGTGAAGCATTAAATATAAAAAAGAAAAATAAATAAATAAAATCATAAACCATTTTGCACTGTAGATCAATTAACAGTGGTAAAGAAGAGTATATGTATATGTGTATCAGCAAATGTATACACACTCACCTACATACATACATACATCAAGAGACCACAGAGAATACAGACTAAGAGAAGGAAAGAGTGTGAGAAGACAGATGGCTAAATTTATTTTGTGTATCACTAGTAATTTTGCAAAAATATTTGTGACTGATGGGCAGCATTTTTCATTGTGAGAAATAAATATTTCATAATAAACTTTGACAGAGAAAAATATATTTTGTATAGAATAATTTCTCACAGTTCCAGACTGATATAAATTAATATGTAAAACCACCAAGAAACAAGTGATTGGTCTTCATATTTTCATGAAAACAATATGCAGCTTAAACTTGTCATTTTATGAATATTTTGCAAAACAGTACTGCTTTACAGTTCTGTGGGGGAAGTGAGAAAAAGCTCAAGATGTAGGGTTTAAAATTTAGCAAACATTCTTCAATCAAACAAAAGAAATGCTTTCAAGGAAGAATATCCAGTAATAAATTACAATCATTCCAAGTACTTATTGTTTTTATTATTTATAATAGCACAAGTATCAGCTTTTAGCAACAGAGCAACCTCTCAGTGATATCGTAAGCCAATTAAAAAGCCTCCTTCAATTTCCAACTAAAATGTAAATACAGAAAATAGCAACATTAATAGACCCTGTCTAGTCTCTGAACTTTAAACTTCCCAGAACAAACCATGAGATCATTCTAATAATTTTAGAAATGACATGTCAGAAGCCTAACTCAAATCCCATTTGTTGTTCTGTCCACTAAGTTAGTGGGCTATCAGGGATGATAGCCAATACAATAAAGTAATGATTGCCAACACAATAAAGTAATAGTTCTTTGAGAGAGTCGCTTTTTACTCAGCACTCAGTCTCCTTAGCTATGCACATGGATAACTTCTGGTAATGTAGAATGGACACTATATTGAGCCAAGAGGCTTGCTTGGTAAATGATTCCTTTTGCAACTTAAGCAAATAACTTCATTATTTTATTTTGTAATGTTCCCATCTTTAAATTGAGGGTACGAGACTAGGTCTATTAAAGCAAACAGATTCCTTCCTTTGTACCAACTTGTTTTACTGGTGATGACTGCTGGGCATGAAGAAGGATGCTTTGTGCTCAGTGAGAAGGACCACTTTGATCAATTAGCAATGACTTCCATGGGCAAGCTGCAGTAGAAATGTTGTTTATCTGACATATCTGGGCTAGATGATTGTTAGCTGCCCTTTGAACTCAAACATTTGGTAAAATGAGGAATAGTAATGAACTAATCTATAACAATAGGACATAAAGAGAACTGAAACTGAGTGAGTTTTTAATCCATCAAATTAGAAACTTACAGTGGGTACTACCTAGGGTCTTTGAAAAGTAAAACGTTCTGTTTCTAGGTAAAAAATATTTTAATATATTTCTTTACTGCTATTTAGAGATTATTATAATGAAGACTGATTACTATAATGACAAATGTTTAGTAGCATTTGGATTCCAAACACATAGATATACATGTAGATACACAAAGCAATGAGTGTCCGAGACTCTCTGCAGTATTGCTCATAATACTGCTCACCCAGTTACCATTTAGGGCTCACATGAGGAGGCGAGATGGGGTGATCTGGAACTGGTCTCCTTCCTGGAGAGAAAGCTAAGGTAGAATGACAGCTACACAAATCATACAAAAAAATTGACCCCCAGGATCTCATTAGATCTTTCCAGAGTATGCTATTGAACAAGTTTCCAGGGCCAAAGACAGGACAATGTTCCACTAAAAAGTTATTCTACTATTTGCAAACATATCATGAAAGAAACCACATTTTAGCCTTGGGTACCGGCATCCCTAAAGTTTCACATCCAGGGTGCCCTCCTTCAAAGACAGTCCATATATAACATAAGAAAGGTGATAAATATTATCCAGAACCTCACAACACAGATTTACAGGTTGGAAGGAAAACAGTTTTTAGCTAAAGTAGTTCACATTTTTGTGAGGAATGTAGGACTAGATGTAAATTGATAGTGAAAAAAAAATATGTAAAGCGTAAAGTATAAAGTCCAAAGAATCTTTGAATAATGAAAAGAAAGTTATAAATTCAATTGGAAAAAATACTGAGCACCACAAAACTACAAAGGGTTGCAGGCTTCACCTCACAAGGCAGCCTTTGCATCTGAAAATATCAGCAGTCTAACATGCTGCAAAACATTCCACAACGTTTAAAGTAGCATACTGTATGGCTGCACTGCTTCTGTCATGGCAAATGATGATTAGTGTTCAGTCCACGAATTCTATTAATGGTATACAGAGAAAAAATTACAGAGAAAGACAACAGCTAGAAAAAACTTATTTTTTTTTTGGTTAAATAAAAATGTTATCTGTCTAGAAAGGAACTTATGATTGGATATTTTTGACTAAGAAAATAAGGAAGATTGATAAAAACTTAGAGTAAGTTGTTTTTGCAAAAGAGACTTTATAAGTTTGCCAAATTGAGCCTCATCCAAGAAATACTAATTGAGTTTAAAAGGATTTTCCCTAGTGAGTTGAAATCACTAATACACTGAGAAACTCCAGAATGCTCTGCTGCACCATAGTGGCCATATTTGGACAATATGTAAGGCACCTTGGACAGCAGGTGTAGTATATGATATTTTAACTGAACCTTAGATACTTTAAAATACAACAAACCTACACTTCTTAAATATAAGTAGACACATCTTCAAGTTGTAGTTAGGTAATTTCAAAGATTATCTATTTGATATTTTCCTTGGTACTATTATTAATTCAAGTCTCTCACTTAAATTTCGGATCAGGAGAAAAATCATGACTTTAAAAACATTTGTACTTTTTAAATAACATGATGTTATATATTACTAAAAGTTTATAGCTTGTAAAGAACTTATATAAATCAATAACAAAAAGACAGATAACCCACTTTAAAAATGGGTAAAGGACTTGAACAGACATTTATTGAAAGAAGATAAATAAATGGCCAACAAGTACATGAAAAAAATTTTCAACATAATTAGTCATTAGAGAAATGCAAATCAAAACTATCAGATGTTACTTCACACACACTAAAATTATAAGAATTTTTAAATCCCCACACATACAAAAACAAAAAATAAAGACTACTGGTAAGAAAGTGGAGAAGAAATGTAACCCTCATACATAGCTGGTGGGAATGTAAACTGGTGCAGCCAATTTGGAAAACAGTTTGATGATGCTTCAAAAAGGTAAACATAGGATTACCATATAAGCCAGTAATTCCATTCCTAGGTACGTATACCCTGAAACTAAAAATACGTACTCAAGCAAATACATGCACATGAATGTTCATAGCCGCACTATTTATAATAGTCAGAACATGAAAAAAAGAAACAAATATCTGTCGATGGATAAATGGAGAAACAAAATGTTATATATACATAATACAATATTATTCAGCCATAAGAAGAAGTACTGATTCATGCTACAATGTGGATGTATCTCAAAAACATTATACTAAGTGAAAGAATCCAGACATAATGGGTCACATATAATTCCAACTATATGAAATTTCTAGAATAGGTAAATTCACAGAGACAAAAAGCAGATGGGTAGTTGCCAAGAGCAAGGGGAAAGGGAGAACAGGAAATAACTGCTTAATGGGTACAGTTTTTTTTTGGTGTGGTGAAAACACTTTGTAACTTGATATAGGTGGTGGTTGTACAACACTGTCAATGCATTAAATGCCAGCAAATTTATACATTGTACATTTATAAATGATTACTTTTATGTTATGTGAATTTCACTTCAATTTTTTTTAAGTTAATACAAATTTTCATAAAGTTCCCAAGACTGCTGATGATACCATCCACTAAAAAAATGAGGGGTCATGACAAATGAGTGAAAATGTTAAAAGGAAATATTACCCACCAGCCAAATATAGGGCAATTTAAGAATCACAATAAATAATGATACTAATAGCTTACAACTCATTGTTGGGAAAAAAAATCCATTAGTCCTTACTGGCACTAAACAAGAAGGGAGAAGAGAAAGCTCTTCCTTACAACGGAATGGAATTCCAACTAGTAAATACAAAAGGAATGACAGAGTTAGAAACAATCATTTTACAACATCATAATAGTACTTGATTCAGGCAAGAATCATTGGTGACTGCAAAACTATTTCATAAAAGTTGATGAGGAATATAATATGTATACAAAATACTTAATACCAGAAAAAGTTCACCCTACAGTGGAGAAACCTGGCAGATACTATGTTTGCTAAAGAGATCACAGTTGATGTCACCGAATCTGGGGCAAACTGGTATCTTGTGCCTTTTGATATGATGAACTTAATGCAGTGTAAACTGCATTACTCTCAAAATGTGTAACCTCAATCCATGCATGAGGAAATATCAGAAAAACCCAAAAATAAAAGACATTCCACAAAACTCAAAAAAAAAAAAGTCAGCATGACAAAAGACAAATAAAAGCTGAAAACTTTCAGATAAAACCAGTCTAGGCTGGGTGCAGTGGCTCACACCATAATCCCAGCACTTTGGGAGGCCGAGGCAGGCGGATCACGAGGTCAGGAGATTGAGACCACCCTGATTAACACAGTGAAATCCCATCTCTACTAAAAATACAAAAAATCAGCCGGGCGAGGTGGTAGGCATCTGTAGTCTCAGCTACTCGGGAGGCTGAGGCAGGAGAATAGTGTGAACCCAGGAGGCGGAGCAGCGGAGCTTGCAGCGAGCCAAGATTGCACCACTGCATTCCAGCCTGGGTGACAGAGCAAGACTGTCTCCAAAAAAAAAAAAAAAAAGGAGTCTAAAGAGACATGACATCTGACAGTAATGCATGATCCTGGATTAGATCATTGGTAAAGGCAAAGACATGGCTATAAGGAACATTCTAGGAATAACTGGTGAAATTTGAATATGGAATATATATTAGATAATAGCACTGTACTGATGTTAAATATACTGAATTTGATAATTGTACTGTGGTTATGTAAGAGAAAAACTTCTAGAAAGGATGTCGGGTTAAAGGGTCATTATATCTGCAATGCACTTTCAAATAAGTCAACAAAAATGATGGTCATAAAAATGACAATGAGTGTATATATACACATAAACACACTCATATACAGCCATATCGCTATATGTGTGTGGTGGGGGAGACAGAGAGAGGAGGAGAGAGAGCAAGAATGAGAGTGGGTGTGACAGACAGAGAAAGTGCATAAAGGTACCAAAATGTTATAAATTGCTGAATATTTGGGGGTTCATTGTGCTATTCTTGCATATTTTTTACAAGTTTAAATTTTTTCCAAAATTGAAAGTTAAAAATTTAAAAAGTAGTATCCCTGAGATAGTTTTTTTCATTCAAGCCTGCATGCTTGTACAGATCTGAGACTATGTTCTCAGCCATATTCTCTCTTCCTGGCCATTTTCCTCTTAGAAACATGGCAAACAGAAATGAGAAATCCCATTTGCTTAACAAGTCTACCTGCTTGCCAGTGCCAGATTATTCCCTGTGGCATCATTTTTACTTCAACTTTGAGTACATTTTTAGGAGTCTCAAATGTGTGGGATTCCATTTCCCTTGAGAGGCATCTTCTGTTAACTCTCTTTTCCTGAAATAGAGATCACCCTTAAATGTTTCCTTAGTTGTGTTACCAATTATGTAGCAGAACTCTGCCACTCAGGAAGATACTACTTATTTCTAATGGTCTGTACACTAATGTTCTTTAATTATTAACCTTTGTCTTTGTTGTAGGGAAATTTGAGAAATGTTGTATTTGGGATAAATTGTTGCATATAAGTATGCATGTGTTATTGGTCAGTCTTCTGTTCCTCTCTATCCCTTGGTCTGTCCACAGAACCCAGGACAATGTCCAAGCTCTAATATCTGACCATTCAAATGGAAATCACTTCTGCATAGATAACACTTGCTGGACTCTGCTTTGTTACCCAGTAATTTTGACTATTGAACTACATGCTCACAAAACATCAAAGCTGGAAGGGACACCAGAGACAACCAGGTTTATACCCTCATTTTACAAATAAATAAGGTCCAGACAGGTTAAATGACCTACCCAAACTAATACGTTAAATTGAAGTCAGAGCAAAAATAAGAAACCTAGTTTATTCACTTCCTGACCTGACTGTCATCTTTCCACCTACAATGATGACTCATCGACTGTCATTTAGCTGATTATCACTTTGTGTTTGAGAGAATTTATAGAATACTAATTTGCTTTTCATAAACACCACACTTGCAATAAACTTTTAAAGCAAGATTTATTTCTAGCAATGCTGAAAAAGCCTTCTTTCTTAAGGTTCGGAGCAAAACCCAGTTAATCTTGGTCCTATGTAAAATACATGGGCACATGATGCATATCTTTAGTCTTCTCATTTTTGGACATATTTCTGCCTAAATACTTGTTTCTCTGCCAACTAACTAGAATTCTCTGAACAATATTTAGATCACTTTGGAAAAGGGAAGTTGGCTCACAGAGTTTTCATCTACACAGACACAGCTGGAAACCAAAATTCTAATGTTCTTCCTAATGGGGCTTGATCACAATAGAAAAGGGTGACAGAGTCTCAATTTTTCTTCAAATGCCTTTTTAACTTCCACATTCCAATACCTGTTTTTCCTTTCATTTCTGGTTTTGGCCAAGATTGCAATCACGTATTTGGTTTTAGCAATAAGGATAGTTTTGCAGTACTTTTGGCTACGATCAAAAAACAGAAATGCGGAAAATATCAAGAGAAAATCTATTTGTACATAGAATCTTTAAGAACAAAGAAATTTGAGAGACTTTGGCAACGTGCAAGTGACTGATAAGAACCATTCAACACAATGACAGAGATCAAAGGCTAATCAGCGTGGACGGAAAAGATCATGGGAAGCAAGAAAGTGGAGAGAAGGGCTAGGAGGCAATGGGGTTCAAGAACTGTGATTGTAATGGGAGCAAAAAAATTTGGCTGTTATATTTTAAATAGCTTGTTTTCAGACTTTTTTTTTTTTTTTTTTTTTTTTTTTTGAGATGGAATCTCTCTCTGTCACCCAGGCTGGAGTACAGTGGCACAATCTCAGGTCACTGCAACCTCCACCTCCCGGGTTCAAGTGATTCTCCTGTCTCAGCCTCCTGAGTAGCTGGGACCACAGGCATGCACAACCATGCACTGCTAATTTTTTGTGTTTTTAGTAGAGATGGGGTTTCACCATGTTGGCCAGGCTGGTCTCGAACTCCTGAACTCAACTGATCCAACCGCCTTGGCCTCCCAAAGTACTGGGATTACAGGTGTGAGCCACTGCACCCGACCTTGTTTACAGACACTTAAAAGTTTTATTTATATCTATCATAAATGAATATTAGTAGTTGCCTAATCTGATAGTGAATATTCTGTTTTCATAATACTCGAAATTGCAGGAACATTTAGAACAGTCCCTCCTTTCTTCTTGAGAATGTTTTTTCTCTGAGCCTCCATAACACTAGGCTCTTCTGGCTTTCTTTTTGCTGGTTGCTCTTTCTCACTGTCCTCTGCTGGCTCTTCCATCTTTATTTCACATTAGATAATAGAGTGCCCGAGGTCAGACTCTCAGGACTTCTTGTCTCTGTGTACACTTTTTCCCCACGTTGTCACATCTAAAGATAGACATGCTGATGACTTCTAAATTTACACCTTAAACTCCGATCTCTCCTCTGAGCTCCATGCTTTTATATTTTAAATTTGATGTGTCCATTATTTCGCTAAAAGGTAGCCCAGGCTTAACTCACTATTCTGAACTATTAGAAAAAAACATAATGTTTTACTTTTGTTTACAGCCAATTTAATTGTTCACCTCTCCCTTCCACTTGCCAGCTACCAGAAAATCAAATGAACTAAATTTCTTATCTAGTTAAAATTTGGTCTAGTCTAATAGTTTCATAGATCCTTCCAATAATACTTCATTTCTCTCTAGGAAAAAAAAGTTTGGTTCTTCAAATAGCCCCCCTCATGATATTGGTGGGGAGGAGTCCATTGGCCTTCATGATGATCCTGTATGTGTGCTAGCTCTTTGCTACTCAAAGTGTGATCTGTGGACCAGCACCACCAATGTCTCCTGGCAGGCTGTTGGAGATGCAGGCTAAACTCCAGCCCTACTGAATCAGAATCTGCATTTTAACAAAATCCTTAGGTGATTCATAAGTCTGAGAAGCACTGAAGATCTGATATCTATTCAATGTGCCCCTGAGTACTACTTGCACTGCTGACATTGAAAGCTGTGATCTATGGTTGGTAACATTTTTGTGGAGGTTTGGATGGTTGATTGCCTTAATGTGGGGATTTTTTGTTTTTTGGCCCCATTGGTTTGCTGAGAGCCTGATAGTTCTTTGTAGCTGAATCAGCCTCACCTCAGCCTCCACTGGCAGCAACCTCCTGAATGACTCATTTGTCTTCCATTCAGTCTGTAGCTCAGGAATCAGCCCAGCCTCTGCTGTTGGGACCCTTTGTCCATTAGCCTTCTGTCTCTCAACCCAGCATCTGTGGTTCAGAAAAGCTAAATCATAGGGAATCCCTCTGTCCACATAATAGTGTGGTCAATTTGCTGTGGCACAGTATAAAAGTGATGGGAGAACAAAGAGGTGATATTTTACCAGAGATGGGGGCAATGATGTTATTGTTTACTTAATGCACCTACCCATCTCCAAGCTAAAGCCACAAGGGTACGTCAGAATACACCTCTCTAACTACCTTACTCTCATCTCTCTCCTCTCTTTTCTCCCTAAAAATCCTCAGGGCAAAATAAAAGGCTTTTACTTTCCTTCTACTATATTTTATTTTTCTTCTTTCTGACTCTAGCTAGACCTCAATAGTGAATGAGGTCTCTCCTCCAACTAGGGAAAAATTGCATGAGCTGAGTCTCAGGCTCAGGTGGAATCAGGAAAATCTTATCTCAAGATGAAAGGCTGGCTTGCTGTATTTGGTGCAGAAATTCACAACCTAAGGCCTTTGTATTAGTTGTTTCTTCTGCTGGTTGCATAGTTATATTTTTGCAAAACAAAGCTGCATCTTATACTGACTACTTCTTGGAATTTCTTGTTACAAATCTGAATCTCCCTTCAGGGAAATAAATGACTAGGGCTGATGAGGGCAAAGTTTTTTGTTTGGTTGGTTTTTTTGTTTTACATGGTTAAGCAACAGATAAAAGCATTTTAAGCATTTTAAAACATTACCCTTACATTACATGAGAAAGACAGAATTCTGTTTGGGGATGAGGGCAACTTGCTCTTCTCTCGGAATCCCGCCTCTCACTTTATAGCACCATTATCCACATAGCAGCACCACTGTCTACTATGATGTAGAAGTCTGACTTAAATCCTCTTTTGTCATATCCCTTATACACAATCCATTAACAGTCTTTATAGGTCTGGGTTTAAAATATCTCTGGAATACTGTCATCTCTCAACATCTCTTCAGCTATCAGGGAAGTCCAGTATTCAGCATCTGTTGCTCCCCTTAACTCCTACCTGCCTCTAACCAATTCTCCATGTAGCAGCCTAGTGAGTTTTGAAACAGTGAGTACAAATTTTAAGTGTACTAATATCTCCACCCTACTTAAAATTGTCTAATGGCTGCCCATTACAATTAAAATATAATTCCTTTCCATGGTTCGCAAGACTATAGGAGATCTCATCCCTGGTCACCATTCAGGCCTCGCGTCCTAACACTTCCTCTTTGTTCATTACTCATGCACACTGGCCTTTTTCTGTCCCTAGGATATGCCAAGGACCTTTGTGCACACTGTTCTTCTGCCCGTTATACTTTGCCTTTGTTTCTTGGCCTGACTCTTCTTTCAACATTCATGTCTGTGCTCAAATGTTACCTTCTAAGGCTGAACCTCTTTAATACTGCATGTTAATAATCCCTCTTTGTTATTCACTATAATATTACTTTGTTTTAATTTTTTAATGGTATTTACTAATGTCTGGAATCATTATTTACTTGCACGTTTATCGTTGCCTATTTATCGTCTACCTCTTACATCACCCCAAGTAACATTTCTGAAAACAGTGACTTTATTTTTCACCTTTATATCCCAAGCATCTAGGACAAAACCTGGACAGTTGTTCAAATATATTTCCTGAAGGAATGAATGAAAAAATAAATGCTGGCAAGGGCATGATAGAAATGAGACTCATACTTGCTGTGTGAACTTGGTATGCGCTTTCAGGAAAGCAATCTGTATAATATATCAGGAGTCTTGGAATGCCTCAATCTTTTGGTCTAGAATGTCACTTAAAGCAATCCGGTCCACTGATTATTGCTACTGCATTATCTGCATTATTCACAATATAGAACATTTTTAAAAATTAGGAAACAAACGTCCAATATTTGGAGAATGGAGTATCTATATAGTATTAATATGGGCACTAAAATAATAAAGATTATTTTTATGACATAATTTTTAAAATATGGAATATTTTCTACTATGCAAGGGCAAAAAAATGTACCAAAGTATACCAAAGTGGTATATACAATATATCCTTTGATGTGCAAATGCTTTCTTCCCCATTTCTTTATCCTTTTTGAGTTTTCAAAATTTTTTACAATAAAGCTGTGGTATTTTTTATTTTTATTTATTTATTTATTTATTTATTTAAGATGGAATCTTGCTCTGTCACCCAGCCTGAAGTGCAATGGCACGATCTCAGCTCACTGCAACCTCCACCTACCAGGTTTCAGTGATTCTCCTGCCTCAGCCTCTGGGTAGCTGGGACTGCAGGCATGCGCCACCACACATGGCTAATTCTTCTATTTTTAGTAGAGACGGGGTTTCACCATGTTGGCCAGGCTGGTCTCGAACTCCTGACCTGAGGTGATCCACCTGCCTTGACCTCCCAAAGTGCTGGGATTACATTGTGGTATTTTTTAAATAAACATTTTAAAAGCCAACATTAATTTAGTTAAATAACATAGAAGGAATCAAAATCAATACATGTTTCATTGAATTAAATATGACATTAATTTTTTTCTTTTTTTTTTTTTGAGACGGAGTCTCGCTCTGTCGCCCAGGCTGGAGTGCAGTGGCGGGATCTCGGCTCACTGCAAGCTCCGCCTCCCGGGTTCACGCCATTCTCCTGCCTCAGCCTCCCAAGTAGCTGGGACTACAGGCGCCCGCCACTACGCCCGGCTAATTTTTTGTATTTTTAGTAGAGACGGGGTTTCACCGTTTTAGCCGGGATGGTCTCGATCTCCTGACCTCGTGATCCACCCACCTCGGCCTCCCAAAGTGCTGGGATTACAGGCGTGAGCCACCGCGCCCGGCCTAATTTTTTTCTAAATTCACTAAATCTAATACTATACAAATTGGCATTTACTTATATTTAAGTTCACTATATTTTAATCATTCTTAGAATTTTATCTACCCTAGGAAGACTAGTTTTGACCTGGGCCTTAAGACAATGTCCCAAATCGCACATGAGGTACTGCATAATTCAAAGCACATGTGTGCTTGCATATGCATAGTAAAGACCATAACATTTTTAAATTAGTAAATGAGCTCCTAACTTTATGATTATACATATATACTGATAATTTGGATAATAACTAAAGTCTCCATTTGTCTTCAAATTATAATCTCCTATGGTTTGAATGTGTCCCCAAACTTCATGTGTTGAAAGCTTGATCCCCAAATTCATATACTGATGGCACTTGGAGGTGGGGCCTTTTGGAGGAAATTTGGTTTAGATAAAGTCATTAGAGCTGAGCTCCCATAATGAGACTGGTAGCTTTATAAGAAGAGAAAGAGAGACCTGAGCAGGCATGCTCTTGCTCTTTTACCATGTGATGCCCTCTGCCATGTGTGATGTCATAAGGTCCTTATTAGATGCAGCCCCTTACCTTGAACTTCGCAGCCTCCAGAACTACAAAAAAAAAAATGTCATTTCTTTATAAATTACCCAGTCTATGGTATTCTGTTACAGCAACAGAAAATGGACTAAGACACAATTCCTTTGTTCTATGAACAAATTTAAGTCTTCTAAACAGTACTTACTTCTCCAAACAAAATGATGCTTGGTGTTAATTGAAATGTAGGACTGTTACAGTGGACTGCAGATCTTATTGCTGCAGGCAGAAACAGAATTATAATGAATATCTCATGTTCTGTGGTACTTGGAGGCATTTTGAAAACTCTTCCATTAAGAGAATAAAATACAAACATAACCACTGTACTTGAAACAAAACAAGGGCTGTTAGATTTGACTCAATCCTTTCAATGCAATTTTATCCAATATATATATGTAAACATACACACACACACGTATATACTTATATACACATGTATATTCTTATATACATAAATATATGTATATTCTTATATACATGTGTGTATTATATATTATGTGTGTATAATATATAATGTGTGTATAATATATATTACATATGTGTGTATGTATACACACAGAATATTTCAAAAAAGATTATAAGTGATTGAAAGGACATGGAAAAATTAGACTTTTTAGCTAATTGTCTAAGACAGTTAAACATTTGCTGTTTCCATCATTCTACACTCAATTAAGCCAGGCTAAGGATCATCTTATAAATGCTGACTTTGTTGTATTTTTCTCATATCAAACAATTCAGTTCAATCTCCTCTTACTAAATGCTTACTATACGCTAGGCATTGTGCTGAGGACCAGGAATACAAAGATGCAGACATCCTGTTCACTGCCAAATTTTGACAAGGGACCAAATATATATCCATTTTACAAACAGAAACTTCATAGTAAGTTTCAGTATTAGAATTTTCTTGTCAGCAGCCATGATATCTAAACTGCTAAATATATACCCTAAGTAAATATTCTATAAGCACATCAGATCAGAAACAGCTGGCAGCTTCAGGCTGTTCATTTCAAAATGAATTGAAGACCTGTAATCAGACTAGTGAGGATATTATTGATAGGATAAGTATTTGTGTACTTTCACATGAATAAACTTTCTTCTTTCATGCTTTCAAATTTAGGGCCTTTTTAGTGGTGTTGGGATGCCCCATTAAATGCTAGAAAACTATTTAGTTTATCCTTAGTCAATTCTACTGAATTTGGCACCTCTTAAATTTGGTTGAGGAAGAAATCTGCAAAAGACAATTACATGAAATATATGTTTATTAAAAATGCGAGACTGCCAATATATTTAAGGAAAAAAGAAAATGTAAAAACAAACAAACAAAAGACTTTCTTCTGACAATGCTGTGTTAGTGTTTCACATTTATAATTTTTTAGTATTAATCTGTAAGAATCCATGAAAGAAATAAACTTGTACTTGCTTATTGTGCCTGTTTCTAGATTTTAGACATGCTAGCACCTCTTTGTAACAGTGGTCTTCCAAAGAGAGACTTGACCAACCTGTGCACAGAGGGAGTGTCCTTAGTGCAGTGCTAAAGCTCTGGGCTATGAGTCCAAAGATCTCATTCATTCATAGACTCTTTTGCAGGCAAGACACTAACTGCTATGACAGTCAGCAAAAAGTAAAACAACAAGTAATCTATACATATTTATTAATTTCTGCATTTGTGGATTAACTGTGTTGATACATCTCTCGTTTGCTGAAAGGATTAAAGTAGCTCAACACAGAGGTAAGAATGACTTCCTCCTGTGACTTTCTATATGGGTGTAGAGGTGGCAACCTCTGACTAGGTGTCTGCATAGCAAATTGTATACTTTTAAAATAACGTCATTGACCATATCAAAAACAGGGAGAGGGATGATAAAGAATATACTGTAATGAAAGTCCCGCAAACCCTACTTTCCAGAGTGAGGAAGAAAGAATGATTGCCTGATATTTTAAGTAGGAGCTGCTTTCTTTGCTGTAGGTTGGCAGAAGCTGGAGAGTGGAGCAGGAGTCTCCTAGAAGCAGTGTTTTCTCACTCCAAATCTGAGTTGGATGCTCATTAATGAGCACCAAGCACCAGTTTGCAGTAGCCATTCTGAATTTAACAGTAACCATTTGGAGGCTACAAATCCTGAGGTCTGACTCTGAACATGTGTTTGTTTATTGGCACAGGGATAGCACTACACCATTTAGTTATAAAGTACAACGGAGCAAATCTACATTAATATGAGAATCCATATTTTGTCCTGCTTTTTCTATATGTCACACTTCTCAGTGAGACCCTAACAAGAGCAGGAATTAAGAATAGGTCAGAAGAACATCTGCTTTTCTTATTTTGATTACGTGGGCAAGCAAAGGAATTTGCTTTTATAACACCAAAATAACTTGGAATGCGGCAAAAATAAACGCACCTTCTGTCTCATGGAATGTTATTACAGTACAACGCTTTGTGAATGCTTGTTGGCATTTTCAAGCATTTTTTGTTCTCCTCATTTCTTTCTCAGCTCCATAATGCAATCCTCATGGTTTGAGCACTAGACTTCAAATGAGACATCTATTCAGAGAGTGTTCAGACAAAACGAGTGGTTTCCTTAGTAATGGGAACTATGTGAAAGCCTTCAGCACAGCCCCTTCAGACAGCCAGGCTTCTCCCAGGCTTGTGGTTCACACATAGGCTCTCAGTGAGCATTATACAGCTGGGGAGCACCCCCAAAGTCTAAACTGACCAAAGCACTGAATATTCATTGCATTTCTAATCAAATGTACCCTTTATAAAAGGTTAAAGATGTAAGAAGTGCTCTTAATGGCGAGGGTTAATTTGCTCATTTTCTGCATCATGTCTATGGAATGGAAAGAAAGATAAGCGATTTTGCCAAAAAAAAAAAAAAAAAAATGACACGTGTTGCTCTTTTGTTTGATTGTATTTTACATTTCCTTACCTTAAAAACCTAAGCCTGTCCTATTCTTGTTCCTTCTATGCCTAAAGACTACTACTCTGATTTTCCAGTTTTCTGCATAACAATCATCTTCAATAAAGCTTTGAAACTCTGCTATTAAAACAGGGTGCAAATGTTGCCTTTTGTAGTCTCAAATATATTTAAAATATAGTAAAGTAGTTTCATGTATACCAATGTTGAAGTTTTATGTATGTGTATCGATCCATTTTGTTATTTAGTTTCAGGACGACACAATAATTAGAAAAAGAGCTGGATAATACAATTGTCATTCATCTTAAATATTGACTCTTAAAGGCAGACAAATAACAACAACTATCCAAAATAAAAACCAACATGAAAATAATAAAAAATTATCTCAGCTGATATAATGTTTGCCTTTGAGGAATAATGATTTATAGATACCTTCACACTATGTTAATCATCCAATTAGGAGAATAAAAATATTGTCAAACATTTTGGGGTTGAAAAACATGAGGTATAGCTAAATTGTTAGTCTTCTACCATGAATATTTTTTGTCAATCTGGTTACACATAAGCAAACACAGGAAGCAAAAGTTAAGCTATAAAACCCGCAAAGGAGAGGAGAACGAGGGCCTCAAAAGATCACTGAAGAGAAGAAAATACAGTTTTAAGACTGTTGGCTTTGAAGCCTGACTTGCATTCTAGCTTTCCTTCTTCACTAGCGTGACAACTGTAGAAGTTCACCAACCCCAGTTTCCTCTTCTGTGAAAAGGGGAAAGTCCCTGACTGCCTCACGGTACTGTAAGAATGAAACCATATGTGTGCAGGGTCTACCAAGTTTCAGTGTCTTGCATCGAGTTAAACTCAACAAATGCTATTTAATATTATTCTAGGTACTTTAATTTCAGCATACATAATTTCTGCATGTGTACAGCTATGCATATTTTAAAATCTGATCTATTTCATTGTGGTTTGTGGATAGCTCAAGGAAAATCATTTCTATTTTCTGAATAATACCAATAATAAATATAACAACAAAAATACTAAATTTGCTGTCAAGAAATAATTGAACTGAGGAATGAAGAGTGAACAGTAAGAAGTAGGCTTGCTAAACACAAGTGTGAGCCTGACTGTGTTGTGGAGGAAGGGAAGAATGGACTAGAAGGTATGAGATTGGAAGCAAGAAAGATGAACTAGAAAAGATGAGACTGGAAGCAGGGAAGTTAGGAGAAATTGCAGCAGCCAAGGTAAGAGACGATGAATATCTAGCAGACAGAGAAGATAATTTAAGAAAACTTCAGAGTAAAATCAAGTTGTATATGGTGAAATGCAAGATATGAGGCACAAGATCCAAAGTTCCTGTAATTCTCTAGGTAACGAGGCAGCAGCAGAAATAAAATTAAAAAAAAAAAAAAAAAAGAAAGGAAAAAAGAAGAAAGCCAGTTTAGGGGAGCGCTTAAGAGGTCAGCTTTAGACACGTAGAGTACAGAGTGCCTGGGGATCACGCAAGTAGAGACATTTACCAGACAATTGGAGGGAAGGATTGATAGGTAGAAAGATAGATAGACGGATGGATGGATGGATGCACGGATAAAGAGACTGATTAATTTTACTTGCAAGAGCACTGATATAGGTTTGAAAGTAGTAATTACATAGTAGTAGAGACAATATTATCTAAGAGAGCATATAAAGAACAGTAGGCAAAAGAACAAGCCTAGGATAAATACTTAAGAGGTAGATGAACCCACAATGACAAGAGACAGAATGTGCAGACAAGCATGAAGATGACTTAGGAGGCTTTGATGTGCAATAACCAAATTGGGAGGGCACTGGTTGAGATTCCAAAGCAGAATTTCAGTAACAAGTTTGGATTAGAAATCAGAGAAAAGTCAACTGACAAAGTAGGTAGAAAGTGATGATATGATTGTAGCAAATATTGATAGCTCTTCTGAGAAACTTAATGTGAGGAGAACAGAGAAGGAAAGATAGATGAGGGTTCAGGATTAAAGGGATGATTGTTGTTATTATAGTATGAGTAACAAGTAAATGTATGGATTTTGTGGAAATATTGCTAGATATTGTTTCACATCGCTAGAAAAGGAGTAAAAGTCAATCCCCTGAGTGAAAAGAATGGAGAGAGACATAGAGAAAAGCCAAGATGAGAGACCTTTTTGGATCTACAGAGAAATATAAGGAGAAACATAGGGAAGAATAAAGGAATCTGAGGAAGAGACAGAGAAAAAAATTTGTCTCATTGATTCCTGACATGTCATCCTTGATTGTGAATTTCTTGGCATAGTGAGATTACTTTTGTTCTTCAAATGATTCGTATCTTTCATTAAAAGTAAGACCTTTGGGTATATACACAGTAATGGGATTGCTGAGTCAAATGGTATTTCTGCCTTTAGGTCTTTGTGGAATCACTGTCTTCCAAAGCAGTTGAACTAATTTACACTCCCAACAACAGTGTAAAAGTGTTCCTTTTTCTCCACAACCTCGTCAGTAGATTGAAGCTAGTTGATTAGGATATTTAGCTGTTAACTAAATTTTTGTGGGTTTGCGTCCCATTAATCTAGTAAGGACTCAGTAAGGTGTTTTTTGACTTTTTTAATAGTAGCCATTCTGACTGATGTGGGATGGTACCACATTGTGGTTTCTATTTCCATTTCTGTAATGACCAGTGATGCTGAGCTATTTTTCACATGATTGTTGGCTGCACATATTTCTTTTTTTGAGAAGTGTCTGTTCATATCCTTTGACCGCTTTTTATAAAGACACATGCACATGTATGTTCACTGCAGCACTATTCACAACAGCAAAGATATGAAACCAACCTAAATGCCCATCAGTGATAGACTGGATAAAGAAAATGTGGTACATAAACACCAAGGAATACTATGCAGCCATTAAAAAAGAACAAGATCATGTCTGTTGCAGGGACATGGATGCAGCTGGAGGCTACCATCCTTAGCAAACTAATGCAGGAACAGAAAACCAAATACCACATGTTCTCACTTATAAGTGGGGGCTAAGTGATGAAAAATCAACAGCCACTGGTGCCTCCTGGAGGGTTAAGAGTGGGAGGAGGGGGAGGATCAGAAAAAACAACTAATGGCTACTAGGGTTAATATGTGAGTGATGAAATAACATGCACAAAACCCCGCCCCATGCCCCATGTTTACCTTTGTAACAAACCTGCACATATACCCCTGAACTTAAAATAAAAGTATTTAAAAAAAAGACGTGGACTGGTACTGTGGCTCATGTCTGTAATCCCAGCCATTTGGAAGGCCGAGGTGGAAGGTTCGCTTGAGAGCAGGCTGGGCAGCATAGAGAGACCCCATCTCTACTCAAAGAAAAAAAAAAGAAAAAAAAAAAAGAAAAAGAAAAATCAGCAGGATATGGTGGCTTGTGCCTGTGGTCCTAGCTACTCTGGAAGCTGAGGTAGGAGGAACATTTGAGCCCAGGATTTCGAGGTTATTGCAGTGAACTATGATCATGCCATTGCACGCCAGCCTGGGCAACAGAGCAAAAACTGTCTCAAAAATAAAGAAAAAAAAATTAAAATTAAAACAAAACCTATAGGTAAATAAGAACCTCTGTTTTTCTCCAATTCTACTTTCCAAAACTCCTTTGAAAAAGAAAATGAGAACTCTGACCCAACTTGCTTTAGTTCAACATTCTAACAAACAGTCAGTAGTACTACTACTCACCTTACATCATGTTTCTAACTGAATTGAGAACTAATCTGTTATTAGAATTAGACCACAAAGGACAAAGTCATTGAAGACCTTCCTAGCACAATGTCAGCCCCTCACCATCAGTGACTCATTCATATGTATTTAGCTTTCTGAGCATATCGACTCATTTTTTCCACTAGGCACTGCATTTCTTCAGAGCTCTACTTCTCAAATCATGACAGCAATAAAAATTCCGTCATCAAACCTGAACAACCACTACTGTATAAAAGCAACCACTGTCTTGTGCATAAAACTAATTCCTTTTTAAAAATAGTATTTTATTTTTGGCATCCCTTGTTGCTGACTATATTGCATTGGTTGGCTCAGCCATCCATCAAGCATTCATTTATTTTACAAGTGAATATTGAGTACCTTGTGCAGTAGAAAGAGCTTTGGCTCTGTAAGCAGACAGAACTGAGTTCAAATTTTAGCCTCATTATTTAATAGTTTTGGGACATTGGGCAAGTAAGCTAGCTTCTTTCAGCCAATGTTTCTACACTGCCAATTGAAGGTAAAAATATCTATCTTTGCCGGGCGCGGTGGCTCACGCCTGTAATCTCAGCACTTTGGGAGGCTGTGGCGGGCTGATCACGAGGTCAGGAGATCGAGACCATCATGGATAACATGGTGAAACCCCATGTCTACTAAAAATACAAAAAATTTGCAGGGCATGGTGGCACGCGCCTATAGTCCCAGCTACCAGGGAGGCTGAGGCAGGAGAATCACTTGAACCCGGAAGGTGTTGGTTGCAGTGAGCCGAGATCGTGCCACTGCACTCCAGCTTGGGCAACAGAGCAAGACTCCATCTTAAAAAAAGAAAAAAAAAAAAAAACAACGAAACACTAGAATAGCTATAATTCAACTGGAATAGGTATAATTTATATATCAATCCCAATTTGAATAGAATATTTTTGAAGTTAATATATATAAAATATACAAATATATGTTAGTGCTCGACAGATGTTATTTTATCCATTTTATATGCATTGTGGAGCTTAAAAACTTAACAAGACATATACTCCCTCTAGGAGAATCTTATATGCTAAAAGGGGAAACAGGTAAAATTACAGAAACAATTATAATACCAAAAAAATGGTAAGTAATAAGAGCGATAAAGAGTGCTATTGTGGGTCAAATGAGAGATTATATCTTGTTAAAGGAGGAAAACAATGACCATGATAACAATGACCACTACCATAATAATGCCAGTAATAATGTCAAACATTTGTTCAAGACTACTATATTTCAGCACTTTTCTAAACCCGGTATACATATTAACTGTTTTAATGTTCATAACAATTCTAGGAGAAAAATGACATGCAGAGATAATACTTTTAAACCAAGATGCACGATGATACTTAACAGAGATGATACTTAACATGATGCTCAGAGTCTCTAGGAAGTGGCAAGGTAAGGATTCAAACCCAGACATTGTGGCTCTAAAACCCACATTCTACCGACTGTCCAGGCTACTTTTCTAAGAAAAGCACACAGGCGAATAAAGCCCAGGATTTGATGAAATAGCAATAAACAAGTTAAAAATCCCAACCACTAAGTCAGTGAATATCTACTGTACCCAATATTTTCTTATTTGATGATGAAGGCAAAACTCTTTCAGTATAATTTAAGGGTTGTAATTATTCATTTACATTTTAAAACCATTTCAATACATTTCCATTAAAACTCAGTATTCATCTAGGAAACCCTGTAGACATTTCCTACAATGTAGGTAACATGTACAACCATGTAATACTGTGGTTTACAATGTGAAATTTCTCTGAAGCTTTAGTGCCTTCTAAAGGAAGAAACTTAAAAAAAAATGAAGGGAGAGAAGGAGGGAGAGTAAGAAGAAGGAAGAAAAGAAGGAGAAGAAGGAAAAGAAGAATTAGCAGAGACCTGTCAATCATCCAGTAGATGATAGGGTAATATGGTGGAAAAAACCTGGAATACCTGAGGGGCTCTATCCTGGCTTTAATGTGCCAACTGTGTGCTAAGATTCCATGGTTCTCATTTGATGATCACTCACAATTGTATTAATTCAAAAACCCTAAAATCCTTACTGTATTACAATGTAACGTCTTCATATGGTACTTCATTATATAGATGTGATACCAAAATAATTTTTTCATGTATCTTTGGAGAGAGCCACATTTCATATTTACAGTTAAGGACTGAACGCCCTGATAAGTGAAAAAACACCCAAAACACACACTGATTCCATAAAGCTGCTGATGCTCTTGGAACAAGATAGAAATTCCAGTCAAAGAACAGAATCGCCATCCTTTTCATCCAAAGCCAGAGTCATTTTCTCTTTCACATTAAAATCTCATTTCTAGTGCTCCATGATATTAAATTTATAAAAATGAGTATAAAATATTTTAAATTTATCATGTACCTACATTAAAAGGACAATTGCAGGAAGAGCACTCTGATCTCCCACTTTCAAAAGAGTGATCATTTAGTTAAAACAACTTCCTATGAAATAATGTAAGATAACATATAAATGGCTACCTTTAACAATTCTAACTGAATCAAAACTGAAAAGATTTTTTCTTGATTTCTGAAACAGACTGAAATTTAAGATATTAGGTATGACTGCAGTTTCATTTAAAAACCAAGAGAGGAGTTTAATCATGTATCTGACTATCACAACTTACCTTCATTATGGGAGTGCATTATAATTGGTTTGATTACTGGACTTGTCAATTATACAGTCAATACCAATCAATGAAAATTAATCACTTAAGATACCATGGCATAAATAAAAATTCTCTTTTTACAAATAATTATCACAATTTTAAGATTATTCTTCCATATGTGGAAATAAATCCTGCAGATACTGAAATAATTTGGAATATTAAAGAAACTAAGATTTGCTAGATTAAAATTAAGGGGTAAGAAGGATGATTATTACTATTATTAAAAGTACATTAAATTATATGTAAATATACTCTAACACAACATCCCAACACTCAACCATGATCCCTAACATACAGAACTGACTCAGTGCTTTCTGAGTAAATACTAGAGTATCCAGTAAATAATAAAACCTTACAATAATATTCTGAAATAAGTATTAGGTTAAATGAGATGCTACTTTTATCTTGAACTTATTTTGATTCATTTGAATAAATTCTTATAGAAAAAAACATTTGGGAACTGTTTCTAGAAAACTACAGAGTGAAAATATTCAGTATTTAAAGACAAGCCTACTGTTTAAAATTTTTCCTGGTATTATTATTATTATAATAACTGCAAACTATTGTTCTATGTCATGTCAATAAGCACTTAAGGAGCAATTAGATGTGAAGGTTTTGTTTTTTTTTTCCTAAGTAAATCTAATAAGTGCCATTTCTCTTTACTCCACTAGAGGGTAGTCTCTCAAAACTGGGGTTGGAGTCATGACTAGCCTGCTTTTGACCTGTTGATATATTAATCCTCATGTTCCATTCTCCTCAACAAGATGTTTCTCTAGTATACTAATTAAGGTTGTAAAACATGCATTTTTAAAACTGCTTTTTGATTTTTCATGTATGTTCTTTCAGAAATATGCACTGCTATGTGTTTCTGTGTTTTCCAAATTTCTGGTAATTAATAAAAATGTTTTACATGTATGGCTTATATAGTATATTTTCCTGGGAAATATCCTTTCAGAGTTAATAGGCCTAAGAATAAAGATAGTCTTTTAAATAATTTAACTTATTACAATCGAAATATTTCCCCAGAGTGGTAAAAAATACATCCTAAATACACACACACACTCACAGATACACAAACACACCTACACATGTACCCATTCATATGTAGCTCCTAGATTTATTACATCATATAAAGAGAAGTCAGTGAGTATAATTAGAAATACATATTTTTAAAAAGTACCCCCTCAAATGCCAATGTTGTGAATTACAGAGAGGCAAATATATGCTTTATTTTAAAAATCTGGTCAATCCAGACAAGAAATGTCATTGCTAAAAAAAAAAAAAAAAAAGTGTTATTGAACACCAAGCACATATGCTAAATTAAGTAGGATCTATAGAGAACCAAATGCCACTCAAAACAGTTGCAAGCTTCTCTTCTTAAATAATGCAGTCATTGCTGAACTTCAGAGACGGAGTTGGAGGTTTGAGTCTCTACCAGGTGTTTTTAATATTTAGGAAATCCTTATCAGTAGTGTGTCCTCTCTATTTGCAGACTGAAAACATATTTCTCTGAATGACTGATAACCTAAAATTGAGAAAACTTGTCAAAAATTCCCAACATTCCCTCAGAAAGGAAAAAAAAGAAGGAAAATGATACCTAGGAAAACATGCAAGCCTGTTTCATTTATTTGTATCCTAAGCAGCAGTGTCATAGAACAGACAGTTTGTTTCAGCCAACCAGACTGGAGCAGCTGCGAGTGCTACATCTTGGCTGTCTGAAGCGATTGGCTCCTCTCTGGGGAGTGGAGGGTGTTCAGTTATTAATGACCGCTGAGCAGGCAGCACCATGTCAGTGTGACAACTGATCGGGTGAACGATGCACCACTAACCACCATGGAAACAAGGAAAAATAAAGCCAGCTCACAGGATCTCTCTTCACTGGATTGAGAGCCTCAGCCTGCCGACTGAGAAAAAGAGTTCCAGGAAAAAGAAGGAATCCCGGCTGCAGCCTCCTGCCTTCCTTTATATTTTAAAATAGAGAGATAAGATTGCGTGCATGTGTGCATATCTATAGTATATATTTTGTACACTTTGTTACACAGACACACAAATGCACCTATTTATACCGGGCAAGAACACAACCATGTGATTATCTCAACCAAGGAACTGAGGAATCCAGCACGCAAGGACATCGGAGGTGGGCTAGCACTGAAACTGCTTTTCAAGGTAAGTTTAAAATACACATATATTTTAAAATACGTTCTATTTCTTGTCTCTTCGATGATCATGTTTTTACACCTAAATCCTCCTTTGATGTCTTCTTCTTGTCTGAATTCTAAGAGCATTTTTCTTTTATTGCACTTTTGAGAAGAAATTCACATGCAAAACCCAGCTGGCTCTGTGTGTGCCTAGCTGTGTTTGTGAGATTCTCCAACATGCATTTTACTAGCTTGAATGCCCATTAGAGGATGTGAGTGGGAGAGAAAAAGCAGTGTTGGGGGGAGGAGAAAAAGGAGGGAGACAGAAGAGAAGGGAACAGTGGGGGAGAAGAGAGGAGGAGAGGGAGAGAGAAGGAGATGGGGAAGAGAGAAGACAGAGAGGAGACAGAGAGGAGAGGAGAGTCACGGGTGATGGGGTGCAATTTTCCTTTTTCTTCACATTATTTGTAGTGAAAAGCAGATCACACATTATTCTCTGTTTTGAAATCAACCCACCAAATGGGGCATTTTTATTTTGTCTCATCCAGTGGATGCAAATTAAGGCAAATGCTGTTGTATGTTAAGAGCTAAACCACTAAGCAGAGTAGCAGAATGAGCATATCACAAACAGTTATTGAATTTCTGCCAGGCTACATCTTACGGACTGGGGTAAATGACTTCCCTTTAATAACATCCCCTCGCTGGTCTGAAGGGACAGTGCAAATGTCTGATTGCTAATGCAGCTGGAACTGCCACACACTAGGTGAAAGGATCCCATGAACCAGAAGAGTTCTAATCTTTGGTAATTAACAGGATCACAGCAGGATGGCTTTAAAGTACATTTCCTATTTAAGAAAATTGTTTGTTCTAACCAACTGCTATATTCCCTTTGCTGTTGTTGAGCTGGATGGCTTAATTCGGCTCTAATTTATTCATTTTTAACAATATGTCCTTGTTTCTCTGCCTCTAATTTCAGTGAAAGCAGGCTATGAATATGAGTAGAACCGTCCTAATTTAGTGAAAAGGGGATAATGTGAAAACAAAAATAGAAGTAAAGGTTCAAAATATCTACCTAGAAAATAGTGTGCTCTGGTACCATAAATATTACTGATATATTTCTCATCTTTAGTTTCAGAAGCAATGCCTTTGAGACAGAATTACTCTCAGTAAACTCTATGAGCATCCATGTATTGATGATTCATGGAATTCAGTGTGGGTTAATTTTTACTTCCAATCTTGTAAAGGGAAGCCAGCTACTTAGAATATGCTTTCAAACAGACAACACCAATTGAGGATATTCATGGAAACATTCACTGCCCTCTTTACTGGGTCCTGGAAAGACAGTAAAAGAAACCTAGCATTTGTATTTCATCTTCTGGAGCTCTCTCCTGCCTTCTTTTAGTTCAACTAACCACACAGTTAACAGAGTCAGCTTCTTTGAAACTGTGGGTTATTTTTTTCCACAACTGTGATTTCAGAGCTATTATTGGTTTCCTAGTTTGTAATATAAGCCAAAGCAAAAAGACAATAACCAGCCACTTAGATCCTGCCACTTTCCCATAAATGTGTCAAAAAAATGAGTCAGTTTACAACATGTAATATAAGAAGTCAATTAATTCCAGTGACCTTTGTAAATGATGACAATAAAGCAGCTCTGACAATATGCCAGTGGCTTCGATTTTCTCTCTGTAAGATGAACAAGTTTAAGAAGAGGGTTCCTGCTCAGAGAAAAATGAAAGGTGCTGAAGCATCAGCTTGCAATATTGGCAGCTTTGCTCGCTCTGCCTCAAATGCCACATGCAATCTATAAAAAAAACCAAAATGATTTATTACAAAAAGGAAAAAGTGTTTTATTTGCTTTTCTGCTATTTATTAAAAGTGCTGCTTTTGAAACAGACCAGATCTGATATTTTGAGGTACCTCCTAAGTTCCTAACCAAGAGGAAAAGACTTGAAGTAGATACTCAACCCTCTGATTTCAAACTCCTATATAATGTAGCATTGCAGTATTTAATTCAGTTTTTCTTAGACCTTTTCCAGGGAAAGTTTGCATGCCAGACACACATTCTTAAATCTAACCCGCCTTATTTTAAAATTGCAATAGATGACACCTAAGAACAGTGGATTCACTCTTTAACCTTAGTAAAGCTCACATACATATTTTGTGGATTACAGAGATCAGTAATGTGCCCACTTCAGTCTGAGAAATACCAACACTCCAGGCCCCCGGTGTTGCCACTCAGTGTGTGCCAGTGAGTTTGGTGATTTGATCAGCACCTACGAATGCCAGATGATGGACATTTGTGTATGACTGGAAGATTTACCCATAGTCTCCCCAAATCATGTAACTATACCAGAAATAGCACCTTCCTGGCAAGACAATTCAAAGGACCATTTTTTTCAGGGTGTCGCTTGTCACAGGCAACATGCTGAGTTAGAATGCTGATGAGTAGGTGGAATTTTTTATTTGGAGGTGGTGGTTGTTGTTGTTAATGGCTTAATAAACGGTGCTACCAGCCTTCCAGGCCAGCAATTTAGTGACCTACAAAAAAGGTGATCAACTTATGATGCACTAACTATATTTCACTGTTTCTTTGTTCTTTCCTTTTTTGTAACATCTTTTGCTTTCGCCATGTGATGGGTTTGATGTTTCACTCCTCCCCCCGAATCTGAATTTTTTTGGGGTGTAACATTCCTGTGTAACATGGCACTATGGTATTTATTACAATCTAAGTTGATCAGAAAGCTCTATAACCGGAGTTTCGTTTTAAAAAAACACTTATGTAAGTTAAATGTTATTACTTAATTAGCAGCCCCTGAAAATGGGCAGAGGTGAGGTATCTGTTGGTGAATCTGAAGGAGATCATTAAAAGAAAGCTAATAGTAGACTAAAAAATGAGTTCCTACTTCTAGCCTCAGTAAGGATGCTCCTCTAAAATGATTTAAAATAATGTGGCTCCAGCCAGTCTGAAGAAACACTAGACATGTGTACAGCACACTAAAATGTTCCATGTAGACCTGGTTCTGAGAGTTTAGCTACTTATGTATCACTCTTTGGTACATGAAACTAAATAAAGCAGGTAAACTCTAGGCAAAACATCAGTACATCTTGTCAGTGCTGTCAAAGATAAAGCTCTCTGATATTGGCTATGCAATGAGTACTTAGGAAAGCTTCACTGTATAACAACTGAACATAGCTCCTGCACAGAGCTCAGGGAATTCCTCTCCTCTCCTTCTGATAAAGTGATGTATTGTTAGACATCTACGAAGTCACTAGTAAAACATGATAACAATTATTTCTTTAGCCACAATGTGAAAGGAAAGGAAGTCAAATTCTAATATAAAGACAGTAGCTGGTGCCAGAGGATGGGAAAAAGGAACAGGGATAAATCGGAACGTTTTTCTAACTTGTTGAAAGGAATGGAAGGTCTCAATAGATGCTATTTAGAGGTCATTAAATACAGGATTAACAAGGAAGACTTAATGTCCATCTCAAATCTTTCTGAAGAAGTACAGTACCTACAGGGCCATTTACTATATTTGCATAATTGTCAAGTTTGTATACACCTGCTTGCTATTATGTTAATTCATCTTTAGGCCATAATAAGGGAAGAATTTTCTATGGTGCCATTAATAAAAACACATGACACAGCTTCAGGAGACGGGGAATAAAGAGGGGAGACATGCTTTCATAGAATAAAATTTTTGAACTGAAAGAGACATTAGTAGCTAGTCTAATATGTTCATTTGATAGGTGAAAAACACTGAGGCTGAAAGGGTTTGAAATCGTTATAATGTAATACATTATACTTTGTATTCACCCAGCTATTTATTGGAGAGGCCTAGGTTAGAACCCCTTACAATACTTCCTCCAGAATTCCATTAAAATTCTGCCTCCTTGGTCTTTCAAAAATAATGTTTTCTCAAAAACCTCCTATGTGCAAAAAATCCCCCCAAATTCACAGATATGTACAAAAAAGAGAAATATTTATTCAGATAATCAAATATTCTAAAAGGAAAAGCCAATATTCAATAATAGAAGCAACGATTTATTAAGTATATAACACCCAAATATTTCAAACCCATAATTCATCATTTGAATATAGTTTACCATATTCTGTAAAGTCATAAAAATTAGAGTTTTGCCCTGTTTTTAAAACATGTTAATAATAATACTGCTATCCTTCACCTACAGAGACTCAGCTATTGATCATCCACTATAAGTTTTAAGGTTTTCCAAGAATTCTGAAGAGGCTTTCCACATCTGTTTTTACTTGGTTTCACTGTAAATAATTTAAGGCACTTAACATGTGCCCTTTTTTTATATACAGTGTCCACTCTCAGGATCCATGCTTTGCTTATACATCTCACTGGAAAACAATAAATATATTATCAGGACAGCAATCCCTCTCCCTCTCTCCCTCCCCTACCCCATCCCAACTTACTTTTTGATTTCTAGAGTCAGACTGAGAGCTCCAGTAGGCAATGATATCTCCTTAATATCACAATCCTATTCTTTTCTTTTGGGCAAATTTCTCTGTTTTTAAATGTGCTCTCCAAATTTTGCTTAACATAATAGTAATTAATTGACTCAACTTGTAAGAAGGATACAAAATATAAACACAATAATTGTGAATATTTGTTTAAAGCTCTACCATTTACAGAGCAATTTTTCAACAATTACTTTGCTCCTCACAACAATCTGGTGAAGTAGGGTAGATATGATGATGATTAACATCTTTAAGACAGGAGAATGAGGTTCTGTGAGGTTAGAGACTTGCTAGCATGTTGAGGTGCAAGGGTCTCTGACTCCAGAGAGTAGAAGAAAATATGGGTGCAGCACTGGTCCCTGGCATTTCTGAAGTTAGTAATAAATGTTAGTTCCCTTTTTATGGAACTTCCACTCTAGATCTTACCCTTCCAACAACTATGTCCTTTGTACCATACCACACTATATCTGGATAGATTCTTGCAAATTAAAATCTTTATTTCTTAATTTAAATCACAGCTATTGCTATGCCTGAGTTAAATTTAAAAAAAAAAAAACAAAACAAAACCCACAACCAACATCTATTCTTGGAGAAAAAGACTGTATGTTGTTCTACCTACTCATCCATATGTTTGTCTGACAGCATTAGCACTTTGATAAACAGACACTTGGCAAAGGTCTCAAAAACTGGAAAAAATGAGATGAGTAAATTATTTAGGGATTTTCCAGGTTACTAAAAATTATGAACAAAGTCTCCAAAGTCACTTAAGAACCCCCAATGGATCAAGTGTCAACATAAAAGCAACTTCCTTAGCATCTCCTTTCTGGTTTGTCTTGGGTTGAAAATGACACACTAAATAAGATAAAAATACTAGTTAATTTGAAAGTAAACTGGTATATTTGTAAACTACTAAAGTCAAAATGCCAGTAAACTTACATACATTATTCTGTGAGCCCTTTCTAGGGGAGATTGTGTCTGTCAAAAGTAATATAGACCTTAAAATGAATAAAAATCCCTTTAAAAAATCTTCTAAAGTTTGTCATTTCACGCTTTACTTCCAGGAGGTGAAGCATTCCACAGATAATCAGCTACTCTATTCAGGGAAGGAGTGTAAACATCACCACTTTTTGCATGTTTGCATAAAAAAGGCCCACTGAATCAGTTAAAGGTTAGTATCAATAGGCAACATTCTCTATTTCCAAAGGCCTGAAGCTCCTGGGATCTAATTCCCTGAGGAACAATGGAAGAGGCACTGTTTCCCAACTGGTACAAAACAGGACTTCAGGAACAGCAGAATGTGTTCTCCAGGGATTAAGCCCCCTAACGTGAAGCTTGGGACTCACAACACTTACAAGTGACATGAATAATAGTAGATATTTTAACTATAGAAGACATTTAAGAGACTTCGTTTTCACTGTGATAAACAGGTTTGATTTGGACTTATAACTTTTTTCTAAAATTATCAAATTAATAACGACTATAATGAAATAGAGGCAAATATTTTAGAGGATTCATTCCTTGGGGTAACATTTGTTCTATAATTTATAGTCTCATAATGTTGAGAGATTAAAGCATTTAAATAACATTGTCAACTAACTTTCAGCTTACCTTTCTTAAGGAAAAAAAACAAAAAAATGTTAAAAATAGACATGTATTTTTCAAACATACAATTCATGTTTTTATGTCATTAGACTGTTTACTGTATCGCTATATTTATATGCCTCTGAAATATGGAGTGTTAATGGGGTCTAAATTTAATTCTATTTTTATCAAAACTCAGTCACTCAGAAATACCAAACACTGAACATGTTCTACAAAAAGTATTCAACATCTGTAGAATACATGGAACCACAATGACCTTTACTGAAATTTCAATAGTTGCAGGAAATAATTTCAATATATATCTACACAGATTATATTTTGATTTCTACAAAGGCCAAGGGGTTAATGACCTTAAACTGCAGGTGCCCAAGGCATTGAGAACAAAAAAGATAGAGCAAGCGAAAAGAGAATTGTGTCTAGGTCACAATGCTGTAGCATTGAAAAGAAAGTGCAACAGAACAGAATGGAAAGAGCAAAACAAGGTGACTGCCATATATGAAAGATAAACATACTCTAAGAACATATAAACTTTGAAAGCTCTATTCACAGTCATTCTTGAATGAAAAATATATAAAATGCCATTATAAGATATAAACATCATCCAAGTCAATTTGTTGTGTGACTAGCTGAACTGACTCACTTACCAAACACATAGTTTATATTTGTTCCTCTTATTGTCATTTATTACTCACGTATTTTTTACACAAACACCACAGTTGTTGAAAGAGTTTCATAAGGTGATGTTCAGCTAACTTTTTAAAATCAGTGAGGCATTTTCCAAACCATTTCCTCAATCAATTACTTTTTAATGAGGAAGCAAAATTTATGTAAATATCAAAGTCTCATTTTTATATTTAGGCTATAAATTATACCATAATATGCTGCTGTTGGGCAAAATAATCAAAGTAATGATGAATTAAAACAAATGTTCTGACATAAATTAATGTAAGCAGAGCCCTTATACGTTCAAACCACATCATCTCTCTTAGACAATCCTTTACTGGCTAAAGGAATGGTAATAATACTGGCAGATCTCATTTACAACATACAAGCATTTTCTGTGCCAAACATTATGCTAAGCACTTAACATACATTTTCTCATTTAATCTTCATAACGACCGTACTAAGTAAGCGCTATGTTTAACCCATTTTACCAACGTGAAAAATAAGGCTTAGAGAAGAAAAGTAACTTGCCATAACTAATGAAGAACACGAAAAGGAACCTAGGTTAGTTAGCTCGAAAGAACAAGCCTTTGTGCATGAGGCAACACTGCCTCCCGTTGGTACTGCCTAAATATAGCTAGTTGATATCGCCTTCCAAGAGTCAGATTCTCTATCAAAATACAGTAACTCTGTTTCTAGTTTCATATCATGCATTCTGCTCATACTAGAATATTATACCTTTGTAGGATTCTTCTTTTCTTTCTGAGAAAGGAGTGATGCTTTAATTATTTATATCTGAGTTTTGCTATCCACTAGATTAACTAAAATGATTTTTTGTAGTTCAATTCACAGCTAGACCTGTGAACTGGCAGCTTATAACTTCCTCTATCATCATTTTTCCATCGAGTGGAAGTCAACATACTTCTTCACCTGAGGTCATGCAGTATAATAAGTGACACAAAAGAAAAATGCAAAACTTAGCTCATTGGTCTCAAATTTCATTATTTATAATAAGCTTTCCTTGTATCTAGTTCCAAATTTTAGACACTTTTTTCCCCTCATGCATTCTCTTTTAAATGATGAAGATGAAAATAGTCTGAATACAATTTCATTGCTACTATGAGCATCAATTTTCAATGAAATTCATCAATCTTCTTCAGTATGAATAAGCTGCTAGCCCTGCAAAGTTAATTGATGAAAGCTGTAATTTGCTTTTCAAACTGAGGATGCTGAGCCAAACCTAAAACTTTAGTAGAAGCGTTCTATATTAGCTGTTTGTAAAACTTCAGCATTTCTTGCTATGTCACCTCCTGAAAGGGCTATCAGGGGAGTCCTTCAACTTGACTGTCCTACAAAACAAAATCTGAATGTAAAATTAAAGCAAAAATGTTGCTGAGGATTCCTCCAGTGATTAAAAATGGAGTTTAGAGAGCTCACATCAACATACATTTTCTATTCAAAATGAAGTTTTTTTTTTGAAAGTTATAAGCAATTAGACAACTAAAAAAAGAAATTCAATTTTGAGGTGATAAAAGGTTAAAGTATTGTGAATCATGAATAACCTAACATGTAAGAAATAAAGAAGGACATGTATAATTTAAAATTAAACTTTTGGGGTTTTTTTCCTGCTACTTCTTACATACAACAAAGACGAGGAAGAGGAGGAGAAAGAGAAAGAAGAGGAAGATGTTGGGCAACATTTATTTAACATGCTCCACAGCCCGGACCCTGGGTAAGCTCTTTGTACAACTCACCTCATTTCACTTTGATTCCATGAGGGAACTGAGGCTTGAAATGGAGAAGCATTTGCCCAACTTCACTCATTGGAAAGGTCCTGATTTGAACCCTGAATGTCTGACTCTGAAGCCCATGTTATGGTGTCTTCCTTAGCATGTATTTCTTTTTTTTAAATTTCAATAGCTTTTTGGGAAACAGATGGTGTCTGGTTACATGAATAAATTATTTAGAGGTGATTTCTGAGATTTTGGTGCACCCATCACCCAAGCAGTGTACACTGTACCCAATGCCTTATCACATATTTCTTAGAATAAGCATAATATATTTATCCTTAGAGAAGCATTTGACTTTTTATGCAGAAGCATCTAACAACAGGCTCTTTCTACAGTTTTAAACTTCTCAGCCAAGATCAGGAGTATATATATATAATAATATGCTTAAACTTTATATATAATAAAATATATGTAATGAAAATATATATTAAAATATTTATAACATATACAGATTTAAAATAAATACAATAAGTGCATCAAACTTTACAGTTTTACCACATGGTACAACCTGATTAGTATAATATTATTTAATAAATAATATAATGATAATGAACACTTAATATAATTCAACTAATCTAAAAGTATTACTTGTGGATTTTCTACTTAAACATTCTTATTAATCTGTTGAAAATGCATAGAGCCAAAAGATAAAAATTTAGGCTCTGGCTGAACTGGATTAAGGTTTTTTTGTTTTTGTAATTTTAGAAGTGTAATGTATGTAAAAATATCATGGTTGAATTCCAGGAGGATTTATGAACATCTAAGATCTTTATCATTTCTTAGGGAATGGAAATCAGTAATGAAATAAGGAAAGTTTTATTGACCATAAATATCTTGCAAATTGAACAAGTAGAACAATGTTTTAACCTTATTCTTTCAGCCCTGAATGTTGCTCACCAGTTTTGAAAATATTTGAAAACTTTTAAATATCTTTCTATATTTTGTAAAGATGATGAACATTTATAAGTTTAAAATTCCCCCATAAAGAATTTTTCCTGTCCAGAATGGTAACTCCTCCTCCTTGATCACCACATTCTGCCTCCACACCTGCTAGCAGTATATCGAATTCTCAACCCCATTTAAGCATGGTGCTTTCTTTTCACATCATCATATTTAGTTTTTAAGCAATCTGCTGCTCTGGATTTTACTTGATATAGACTTTTATGTCTTTGAAAGAAGAAATATTCTAAGATAATATCTTACCACTTATTCATTTAGACATTTCATCTCATGGTCATTTAATCAATGACCATGATATAGATACATCCCTAGTCATTGAACAGAACCTTGGCATACTGATAAGCGATAATGTCTATAAGATACAACAAGCAGAATCATATATTCGTGTCTGTGATGATGTACTACCAAACTCACTTGGGTACTTTTAATGTATGATCTCAGAATCTGTGAGAGTAACACCTAAGAATCCATACTTATTTTCTGCACAAAGTTACAGAATTATTGGGTTAAGATTCAAGTCTTTTTCTTTTGTCCACTGTCTACCATTTTTGTTGTAGATTTAGTAAAAAAAAAAATTACTTGAGACAATCGTTCGAATTAATACAGAATATACATAGGTACAACAGGTACAATAGGTATACTGTCTTGTATATTTCCTGTGAAATATACAAGAAAAATAAAGGTTCAATAGGTATATTGTCTTGTGTCTTCCCTGAGAAGACTGAGAAGAGGGTATAGCTAAATGAGTTAGGGGTTTGATTTTAAGGGACCTGACTGGGACATTCAAAGTAAATAGTCTCAGTTAATATGTAATAATGTAAGGCTGTGGTAAACATAGTTCCTATCTCTACTGCCCCCAATCTAAAAAGGTATACCATCCACAGTCATTTCTTGGCAGTCAGGTGATATCTGTAGAGTACTAGGTTATGTATCCTTAGGAGAAACATCTACCAAAAATGGACAAAACTCTTCTGCCCACATGTTCATGAACTCTAATTTTCATACACTATATCTCACTCCATATGGAACTCAAATGAGGGCCATGCAGAAACTGCCGCCAATATGATTAATGAGTGAACTCTACACTGCCTGTCAATTTCTTTAAAAAAAAAAAATGAGTCAGAATATAACAAAATCCCTATATTGGGATAGATTTTACAGATTTTAGGTCACTTGTTCAAAGTGACTTACAGACATAATTAGAACCAAAACCAGGTGATTCAATCCTTACCCAGTGGGTATTTCATAGCACATTGACTATGATTATAGTTTTAAAAAGTTTGGACCATATGCTCCTGTCAAATCATTCTTTTTTTTAATGCATCATGATGACCAAAACTTCCCAAACTCAACCCTATAGAGAAACTCAGCAGTGCCTTATCTGTGAAGGGCCCATATTTGTGGAACCTCTTAGCTGCTGGAGTTTAGCAGAAGCACAATTCACTGTCATCCAGTCAGTTTTCAAGATGTCTCTTTAGATTGTCATTTTATTGACAGTAATGTGTTGCTGCTGCTTTACATCAAACATGTTAATTACTTGAGTCTGGAGTTTTGAATTTTTGCCCTAAAGTGATTTTAGCTGAAGCATTATTTTGTTTTGTTTAAATCAGTCAAATAAAAGAGAGAGAGAAAAATTACTAAATGGAAGCCCACAAGTATAATAAAAGAATGGAAACCACAGAAATAGCAAGTTTGAAGTTTCATACCTATCTAAAAAATAAATAGAATAATCCAGCTTCTTCGTGCTATTCTATTAGAAACTTCCACTACTCTGGGACATTCCATCTCAAATTTAAAAAGCTCCGAAACCATTCTTCACTAATCCTCTTTGCTAGGGTCATAAAAGACTTCATAATATGTATAAAATAATTACAATCTTTGAAATTATAAATCTCATTGTAAACTTATTTTTTTAAACGTTAATTAAAACCCCAATGTCCCAATTTCCCCTTAAAAGACCATATAGTATAGGACAATGAGCACTCAAGCCCTTGAGTTGCTAAAATTTAAAAATTGCTGACAATAACATGGTCTTTTTTAAGACTACAGTGTCCATTGATCATAGTGACTTCACAGTTTTCATTTCTCTCTTATTTGTACTCTAATTAGCATTTTGCGTGAGTACTAATGAATGTTGTTAAATTTTAACAATATCTATTAGACTTTGTTTCCTGCAAAATGTAACTATATCTCAAGAAATAACAACTGCATTACTCCATCATCTCAAAAAACCTGTATTAGCATTTCTGCAGATTTATGGTTAATAATTGTACTTCTTTATCTCTATCTATTCCGTTGCCAACAAGCATACACGTATACATTTACACTTTCACACACAGACCAATATTGGATTTTTTCAAATATTTGCCAACTGCTAATAGTTTTTACCAGTTTATAAATATTTAACTAAGTCTAGCCACACTGATTTGCACCTGCTTTCCAAGGATTTTTTCTTCTTCTAAGACATGTCATATAACTAACATGGTAAATAGCGTGATACATTTTTAGAATTATTTTCACAGAAATAACCAGAAAAATATCGATTAGGCAAGTAAAATTCTACAACCTTTTATGATAATCAGAGCCAAATGACATTTAAGTAGTTCTATTTTGTTCTGTCATTTCTCCTGTTCCAATATTTTCACCTGTAAGTTTAAGTTACAGCAAATTCTAATGAGTTCTTATCCGTATGATGACTTCTTAATATGATAGTGATTAACATTTAGTAACCACTCTGTATGTGTCGGGTGCAGAAGAACTTTTTTATACTATGAACTTTTAACGCATTATTTTATTTAATTTTCACAACATTCCTTTCAAGTAGGTACCATTATCACTCACCTTTCAGTAGATGAGGAAACAATGACATGGCAGCAGCACAGAAAGAACGAGAGTCCATGCCTGATCCCTTAATGACTAGGCTGCTTCTATTGAACACCATTTTGAGAGTACCAGAGAGCAAAATAAGGCATTTGTATTGGCAATTCAAGAAATTTTAGGGTTAAATGTGGAACAAAATGGGAACACTGAAAAGTGGTACTCCTGTAATATGTGTGTGAAATGAAAAGTTACATTTTCATTTTCACTTCCCCAGCATAACAACTCTTCATATCTCTGAGTTTGGGCCTATATTCAGGCAACTTTTTTGAAAGGCAAATTTGCTGGAGGATACCTTCCTTCATTCATGCATGCACATACCTGCCTTTACTATTCGCATCTTGAGCCAATTTTGCAGAGTTGGAAATGATGAAACTCCAGGTAGGGGAGAGACAAAAGTCATATGATTTTCCTTCTCCCACTCCCTCTGTGTCCCAATTTCCTGTAAATGTTTACTTCTGTAATCCACAGTTCAAATTTATTGTAGAGAATGAAACAATTTCTTTTGTTATCTGCTTTAGATTTACCAAACTCTACATTTTGTTCTAGAAATTGTTCTCACTTCTGTTGATAATGCTCCATGTTTATATATTTTGATATGATGTCACTTTAGTAACTAATACCATCACTTCTATTGAAGCTGATATCAATTTTTTAAAAGGCTGAGGGGACATTATATGTGAAACTACTTAGTATGGTTGCCAGCAATAGTTGTAAATCATGCTAAATAACAGAAAAGTCTCATCATTAATCCCCCTATCTAGTCTTTTTGATTCGGGGAGCAAATGCTAAAGAAAAATTTTTAAATGTGGAGAAAAGGAAAATTAATAGCAGGGATGAAAAGTGTGAAGGACTTGTCACAAGCGATGAGATGTTAATGTATTCACAATAAGCTGTAAGCTACACTTCCTATCAAATTAAAAATATGCATAGAAATACCCAGCCTCGCATCTCATTGGAAGCAGGGCAAAATCTATTTAGAACGAGAGGGTCATGGCTTCTAGAACAGTGGGGAAGACAGAAAAAGAAAGCAGAGAGAAGGGGACAGTCTCTCACACAAAAGAGGAAGAAAAACAAAAAGAAGAGATGGGGAGTTCCAAATATAATGGCTGTTACAAGTGATTTGAGTCTAAAATGTGAATCTACTTGCCAGAATGCAAAGAGCAGAGAGGCATGACCATAGAATTCCAGAAGCTCCCAGTCCAGAGCTATTTCCTATTTCCTTACTAAAGGTCTCATTGAGACAAAAATATATTCTTAACTCTGTAGACTGTAAATATGTGTTTTCAAATAAAATAACCACAAAACCTTTGAAGTGCCCTTTAAAAATTAATTTGATTCTTCTTCATGAAATAAAGAATTCTTATGTCAATAGGCTGAAAAATTACAAAACAGATGTCAAATAACCTTCATTTTGCAACAACCTTCTATGAATCTGACATCTAGTTATTTCAGTTAACATCATGTATAAAACTCAGAAACTCCGAAATTATGCATCCAAAGAATGGAATACTAATTCATGACAGCATGTTGAAAAGAGCAGATAGAACAATACACCACAACAGTACATAAATTGACCAAATGAGACTGCATACGTTACCATCTTCCATGACAACAGAAACTTACTGACGGACAATTTACATCTGGTTTGCTCCCTTATTCTGCAAATCACAAAAATGGGTTGCTGTAGCAACTGCCACATGCAATTTAGCTGGCTGGGGGGAAAACACCCTTAGAGTACTTTCTAAGAAACAAATACAACATGTATTTTTGTTGTTCCTCCTATCCTAAATTGAACAAATCTCCTGACAGGTCTATTTTCCCATAGCTTTAAAAATGGGCTTGCTCTCTGTTGTTTGCATTTGTATTATGTGTACTAACAATTTATGCAAAAGGTGAAAAGAAAAAAAAATCCATAAAAATATAAAAGAAATAGATAGAGATGCCTATATCTAGTCACATGAATGTGATAGGGCCATTGTCTTTTATAGCATCCCCACTTTTTATCACTGACAGCTCTTTTAGCCAGTTTAACTCCACTGATGTATGTATCAAATCTACGCATGACACTCCCAGGAATACACAACATCTCAATTCCTAATGCACCAGCAAGGGCAAGCTTATTTTTCTGAATCAGAAACAAGAGCAAGTACAAATAATAGGCAGTTAATTTTCTTAGAAACATATTTGTAATATCACAGTAACACATAACATAGTCTTTTTCCAAGGATACAGCAGAGGACCTTAGAACATATAATACCAACATTGGTGCACATTGGAGCAGACAAATTAGCACCTACATGCTAAATAAAATGGGAGGAATACTCATCCTTTACCTACTTACTTCTCAATTGGGAACTAAGAGAAGAAGCAAAGTACCTGGAACACTCAAAGCCCTGAATGTGGAACAATTGAAGCACAAGTCATTGTTCTCCTTATTTAATGGCAAGTTTGACAACTTTTCAAACTCTACAGACATTGGTCTGATGTGGGAAGGTCAACTTTTTTGAAGGATCTTAACTATCAGCCCTTGAAATAATAGAAATCTCTTCTCTCTGGAAACTCACTGGTTTTGAGAAACTCTCTAAGAAAAACAGTCCAATTAAAAACAAACAAATAAAATGAAAAACAGATATGTCTTCTACCATCACCATTTTTGCCATGTGGAAACTTCTCATGAACTTCTCACTGCCCCAGGCTTGAGTGAAAGGCTTGCTATTTTGAGGTGGAGACTCAAATAGGGCAAGAGTTGGTGAAGTATGGCTGCTAAGAGATGTGAGGGACTTATAAATAATATTAAGATAACAGGAATTAAAGTCTCGGTGTGTGAAAATACTGTATATCTAGGATGCACATAAAAACTGCCCTTACAGATCTTGCAGGGAAAAGTACCTGACTATACTGTATAAGACTTCTGCTGTACCATTTAATCATACCAAAAAAAATGGAATCAACACACAAATAGATTTCTTTTCCACTGTTCTCAATTTAAAAATAATTGGAGAAATGTGTGCTTTGTTTAGAAGAGTAAAGGAAAACATTCATTCAATAGTACCATGCAGAATGATTTGCTTAATAGCATTTCTAATATGTTATGCATGTATTCAATCTACTTCTTTCTATATTAAAATGCAAAAACAATTACTCTGGATGTAAATCCTAGAAAACAATCAAAGTTTCTATTAAATCAGAGAAGAGACAGTTAAGCTGCAATGTGATTTGCAGATGCTCATGAATAGACAATACTTAGAATCTCTCTCACTAGAATGTGAAAAAGATAGGTGGGAGAGATTCAGAAACTTCCTTCTTTCCCCTTTCCCTCTCTCTCCTTCCCTCCCTTCTTCCTTCTCTCTTTCCTCTCCCATTTTTACTTTCTTTTTAGACAGACTTTGAAGAAAAGTTTTTATATAAAGTCTAATAATTTAAATTATATGGGCATGTAAAATTGCCTTATATTACAACGCCAGCCCTACAGCAGGTAGAAAATTCCTTTCAACATTCTGTTGTAAACAGTTTAGATTCAACTGATCAGTCACAGGGGAATATGGGCAGTTTCAACCTCTTACCACCTTTGTCTCTAAAAAGAAATTCTGGATAGTTCTTTGTATACTTATATTAAAGCCATTTCTGTTCATTAAAAACTCAATATAAGCATGTTGAAGAAGGGGCAATGGAACATGAAGCAATGAATAAAAAGATTCTGTGCATGTATAACAAGCATTCTGTATTTTACTTTATCTGAATAGAATTTTAGAATCTACATGCTTTAATTGGGGCACTAGTAAAGTAATAATCTCAAATATGAAATACAATAGATGCGTTTCATGCTCTGATTAAATGTCAAGGCCACAGATTTGTTATTTCAGATCTAGTGAGTAATAATTTTGTTGGCTAATAATGAACTCCCAAAGATTTATTTGCAACATTTGGCTGTTGCAACATTTCAAAGCTCTTGGTCAAGCTGTAGTATTTCCAATTCTGCAGATAATATTATAGACTCTAGCATGCAAAGCTTAAACTTTTAAGTAAATTTTACTAGTTTCATGTGTGCTGCATAGATTTAGAGTTCTGCTGAAATTTTGCACCAAAAATATTTCCCAGTCTCAACTTACAGCAGATATTGTCTTGATTTGCATCAACTTTTTCTTAACCGAGTATATATGGCTTTCTTTACAATACTGTTTTTGTTTTTATTGTTGTTGTTGTTGTTTTCTCCTAAAGTACAGTGTCTTCTGTAAGTGTCACTTTCTAGTGCAGATTCTTAACCCCAGTCTGGGTTTGGAGACAAAAACCTCACAGATTGTTGATGTATTCCATTTGATCACTATCAGCTGGCAACAAGCATGGTCTGGCCTGCAGCCACATCAAACCAATTTTCTAGAGGACTTTTCTCAGTACTTAACACTCAATTATATTAATGTTTATTATTGCTCTTTTTGTTGTTGATACAGCTTTTTACATTAATTCTGAAAGTCTGTGGCACTTTCAATCATTAAGAATACATTTTAACCTAAATTACATGGTTTTCTATGTTCTCCAAATACAAATGTCACAAATTTTAAGAAACTAATCTGTATATATTATACCCCCACTACACTGTGCTATTACTAGAGATATAATATATAAAAATCAATTGAAAACTATATCTCAAGTAAAAAAGATATACGAACAAAACATACATATCTCCATTAGTTTCCTCACAACAGATTTATTCGAGATATAATGAGAGTAGACATTGGCTTAGAAGAAATTTATGATTCTTTTTAAACAATCACAGATTTAATTATACCCTTCTAAAGTGGGTATTGTTACACTTTTGTAATCTCCTGAATTTAAAAAAAACATATTTATTTCTGTTTGCCAAGCTTACATCATCACTCAATAGTTCATGCATACAAACCACATGAGTCAATTCAGCATTCACCAACAAAACAAAGGTCACAAATGAGTACCTCGTACAGCAAATTTTTTTAAATGTATAATAAGATGGAAATTTATAATTAAAAGCAACTGATATTCATTCATTCATTCAGTAGATATTTATTGAACAACAATAGCAGGCAATATTCTAGCTAGGCATTGGAGATCCATAGCTCTGAATAAAACGGAAACAACTTTAATAAAGCTAACATTCTAGTGGAGATGATGGGAAGTAAGCAATAAACAAAAAGCAAATAATTTCTAGCAGTCTTAAATGATCTATAAAGAAAACAACATGGTGAGAATAAGAATGACTTTAGGGGATATTTTAAGTAAGGTGGTCCGTAAATAAGGTATTATCAAGAAGAATTAAAGACCAAATTAAAGAACAAACATCTAGAATGTGTAAAACATTTTCAGTACAATTTAACATGTTCATTGCCAGCTACATGATAAACCATTAACTTTCCTTCCATAATTAAGTTTTTTTTTTCAAGTCAGGTTTCCAAGGTATGACGGAGGCACATCTCATACAAGAGCAAGAAAACCCAATCATCATGCTTACGAACTACAAAAGCATCTTAATTAAGTTTTAAAAGAAAGTATCATTTAATTTCACTGTGCAAAGAAGACAAGTCAGCACACAAGTATAGGCTTACTCAGTGAGTAAGACATAGGTCTAGACATGAAGGTGTTTCATTAACAACTAGTAAGGGGGCAATCAAGTACATATATATCTGCGACACAAAGCTTTATTACACAGAGCTCACAGGAAGAGACCTGAAAATGGAGTCAAGGACCTGGAATAGAGTTCAGGAGCCATCACTGATAATGCCCCTTCAACTTTCACCACCTCATGAAATCTCTCTGAGTTATCACCTGTAAAGTGGGTATAACTGCACATGCTGACAGGATTATTAGGGGAATCAGATAAGGTCATATATGAAAATTGAACTGAATTTGTACATTGTAGCACAATATGACTGTGACTACTATCGCTGTTTTCATTGTTTGTTGCTATTGTTATATGATGGAAAACTGAAGTTAATGGAAAGGGCCCTTAAAAAGTCTTCAGGGGCTGGGCGCGGTGGCTCATGCCTGTAATTCCAGCACTTTGGGAGGCCAAGGTGGGCGGATCACAAGGTCAGGAGTTCAAGACCGGCCTGATCAATATGGTGAAACACTGTGTCTATTAAAATTACAAAAGTTAGCCAGGCATGATGGATGAACACCTGTAGTCCAAGCTACTCAGGAGGCTGAGGCAGGAGAATCGCTTGAACCCAGGAGGTGGAGGTTGCAGTAAGCTGAGATCACGCCACTGCACTCCAGCCTAGGCAACACAGTGAGACTCTGTCTCAAAAAATAAAGTCTTTAGGATCTGAACTATACTAAAATATGCAAAGATAAGTAAAGCATCAAAGATCCTATCTGTTCATGGATATTAGACATGAAGACATCATTAGGGAAAATGATATTCTTTTTCAAATCTTTGTTTCTCCACACAATTGATAGGAATCAGTCATTAAAGAAAACCTCAAAACTAATATTTTTCAAGTCCATATTCATTATTATGACAAAGTTTAATTATGCTTCTCATATATTTAGAATAGCTTTTATTCACTGAAATAATATCTTATCTTCCAAGAAAACATAAACAATACCAGGAATGATCACAAATATAGATTATATCTTACTAACCAGTGTCATGAATTAGAATTAACAGAAATCATGAAAAAGTTTTATTCGTTTTTCAGTTTGGATGTTGAGCTCCAAGCCCAAAATGGTTTAGCATAAACTTTACTACATAACTGTCTTGAAGAATATATATAAAAACATAAGTATAAATATCAAACATATAAGTATAGAATACAAATAACTTAAAGTTCAAAGAATGTTTCTACATATATGAAATTAATGTTGAGTAATTCTTGACTGAGCAATGTGAACTATTTCTGCAGTAGACATTACTGATATTAATTTAATACCAGTTATTTAATTATAAATTTCCTTCACAAAATAATTTTGTCTTGGCATATTGGAACAGTAAAGTTAGGTGAATGTCCCAGATCAAATTTAAGGGATTCCAGATCTTAAATCATGTGACTGTGAAGGGAAAATTTCTTCTCCTAACTCAGATCCAATAATCTAACACTATTCATTTTATCCATAAAAATGTATTAAATCCTAACCTGTGAAGCTGCTATAACATAATATAAAACCATTTGCTTTTCTGAGCCTAAACTGATAGTCTGAAACATAATCCTAAATTATCTGGAAAGAGTTTATCTACTAAGAAATTTTCCCAAACAGGTGATTTGTCACTTAGCTTTCACCTAATCCACATATGAGATGAATACCAGGCTTCTAAGAGTGAAATGAATGCAAATTTATAACCCTGTTTTGAAAGAACTCTTTTTCTCCATTAAGATTTAGAACTCCCTTTGGTGCTCTAGTCATGTACAACCTTGCAAAAAGACGCTTATGTGGGCATATCGCCCATGCTCTTCATGGGTAGCAGTTGTAAAAAAAAAAAAAAAAAAAAAAAGTTAATGTTAGCAAGGGCCTACATTGCCCATTAACAAAAATTAAAATTTGGTAGGCATCACAAATTACACTGCTTTCCATCCCCCCCCAAAAAAAAATGGCCCGTTAGTATTTTTACTTCCCCCGCCCTTAATTTTAGCCCTCTCTATTCAACACATAAGGCAAAATGTATTTCATTTACTATGCCACTCTTTTGGGGGATCTCATATTTCCCAAATGTTCATAACCTGATATAGACTAGTCCTTAAATGGTATAGTAGTCAAATATTATAAACACATTAAAGTAGAATTCACCATAAAGCTCTTACGAACAGAAATAATGTGAATCAACTAATGTCCCCCCCTGCGTCAATAGTAATTTTAAATGAATTCAAGGGGGTTGTAGGCAACCAAATTTTGCAAAGTCATCTACATAAAGTAGTCCTACATAATTAGCTTCAAGTAAAGAGTTATTGTGAGGCTTCTATAAAGTTAAGTGACTGAACTCCATCCTGGGCGACAAAAGGAGACCTTGTCTCTGAAAAAGAAAAAATACATGCCTTTAAGTTAAGTTAGGTGACAGGAAAAAGGAAATGCAAAACTTTATTTATATATTTTATTTATATATATATATATAGTTTGTTTTTTTTTTTTTTTTTTTTTTTGAGATGGAGTCTTGCTCTGTCTCCCAGGCTGGAGTGCAGTGGTGCGATCTCGGCTCACTGCAACCTCTGCCTCCTGGGTTCCGGTGATTCTCCTGTCTCAGCCTCCCGAGTAGCTGGGTTTACAGGCGCATGCCACCACACCCGGCTAATTTTTGTATTTTTAGTAGAGACGGAGTATTTTTAGCAGAGACTGGGTTTCGCCATGTTGGCTGGTCTTGAACTCCTGACCTCAGGTATATCCGCCTGACTTCGCCTCCCAAAGTGCTGGGATTACAGGCATGAGCCACCACTCCTGGCCCTGAAAATGAAAAACTTTAACCTGCATATAGTGCCTTTAATTTCCACACAGGAACTAAATGACAAAGCTTCACTGACCTAGCATACATCAAGAACTTTAACTCTGTCTGTCACTTCGTACTTCAGAGTGCCACCAAGTCATCTCATATTAACCATTTAACACGAGTGTTAGGGAAAGAGCTCATGTCCTGTACAGTAATGAATTTCCACTCACAAAAAGATGCACAAACATGCACACAGCCATAAATATGGCCTCCATGTCTTGGTTGAAACTCAAAGCCATAATTCAGGAAGTTTTTTCAAAGCTTACAGTGGAATGTATGTTGTTCTATTTTTAAAACTTTTTTGTATCCTCTGGACACAAATATAGCAATGTTGTTTAAAGCAGATTGTCAGGAATTTAAGCAGGAAACAAACCACAGAGCATGAGGGAAATCTGACACACTTTTGAAAAGAAAATAGACAAACAATCCCATGCTTATTATAGGGAACTAAAAATACAGCCCACATCGCTATTATCGTCTTCCTTAGGTATAGTAACAGAAAAGCACCATCCAACTCTGAACTCATGGCAGGCATCAGCTAACCCCAGCACACCCGAAAATGTGGTGCTATAATTTAGTCTCTTGTTTATTGCATTTGAAAAAATTCTTTCAAACTGAAGGAGCTAATTTTATTTCCTTTCTTTCAACGTATGTTTTATCTTCTCAATTCTTAGTAAAAACGTAAAACACTGATATTAGTGTTGTTTTATTTAATAGCAATGAGAACCATATTTTATTATATGCAGAACAGAAAGTGAACTACCCAGAAACCTTCTACTCTGAGTTCCTTCAGAGTAATGTTCCCCTCCAAAATATAATTTTAAGATTTCTGTAATAATATTGTAACTAAAATGTTCTTCATTCTCTATCTATACTAGGTCATTGGACTCTTGTCCACAGGCTTCCTTACCTTCTTTACAAACCAGTGACTTTCTATTCTGTCAAACTGAGTTAATCAAGGAATACAAATGAGTTGAAAACCTTTTTGCTGCCATCCTTTTACAGCATATCTATGCTTCAAAACCATCCCTCCTGAGATTGATAAAAGCATTTACTTATGGCAATCAATATAGAATAGTCTTTTTTTTTTGTATACATGTCTATCATGTCCTCCCATGTATAAGGCCCTAGAGAGTAGTGCTTGCAAGATCAGAAAGCATAAGGCAGCATACTTGTGCCTGTTCATAAAATCAACTCAAGCTGCAATCACTTCATTTATTTTTTTCTTTTAACTATACCAGGGAGATGGACAGTCTTCATGTGACATAAAGAATGGAGACTTCAAAGACAGGATATTTGGCTATCTTCCAATAAAAAAATGACTTAAAAATTGTTTAAATTATCTGGATAATTACCCCAAATGTTTTCATCTGAAATGCAGGATAATTGAAAGAGGGTCTACATGAGACACACATTTCCCAAACCATTGTACTGCAAGGCACAATGTAAGTCTGTCTCCTGTCATTCAAGCAGGGGAATTTCCAAATCTAGTTGGAAATTCCTTTGAAGATAAAAGGATGACATCATTTACCAGTCATACTACCACACTAACTTCTCAAATAAACTGGAACTAAATCATAAGAATGAGCTTTTAGAGACCAAAACTTACGAGAGAATAAGGAAAGCATATTTGGGCAGACTTTTCCTCTCAATTTATGTGAAATGTGTAAAATACAAATTAAGGCCTAATTAAATCCCTCTAAATATCTATTGATAGAAATAAAGAGTGGACAAAATGGGAAATTTTAATGCATAAATTTAGTCAGTCACATTCAAAATTTTCTGAACAGAACTGAAGTCTCTCAACATACACATACACATAAATCTACACACACACACACACACACACACACACATTTTTGCCAGGAAAACAATGATTTCTCTTACAAGTGTATATAAATTACTCCTGACATACAAATGTTTAAAATTCTTCAAATTTTTCATGAATTTGTACAGCTCCTAAGGATCTTTTTATAGACTACTTCTGATGTAAATGAAATTAGCACCTTGTCTATCTCTATGCCACTGTTTGACAGACACATAAAACGTGAATAAGCATGAAAAACTAAAAATATCATAAAATCTCTGAGTAAATCCTATCGGTATCCATCCAAGTACATTGTATTAAGTTTGCACAAAGAAATATATTGGCTGGGCACAGTGACCCACACCTGTAATCCCAGCACTTTGTGAGTTCAAGGAGGGCAGATCATTAGGTCAGGAGTTTGAGACCAGCCTGGCCAACATGGTGAAACCCCATCTGTACTAAAAATACAAACATTCGCTGGGTGTGGTGGCAGGTGCCTGTAATCCCAGCCACTTGGGAGGCTGAGGCAGGAGAATTGTTTGAACCCAGGAGGTGGAGGGTGCAGTGAGTGAGCCGAGATCGCACCACTGCCCTCTAGCCTGGGCAACAGGCGAGACTCCATCTCAAAAAAAAAAAAAAAGAAAGAAAGAAAAAAAAAGAAATACATTGAAACCATTTTGAGAATATTTAAGGGTTACTACAAAAATTATATAATAATAGAATTTGAAGGTGATTTTTATTTTAGAAATGAAGTCACTAAAGGTCACGAGGTCTCCTCCTAACTCCCGGGTCTGCATACTTACACAATAGCCTACTGTTAAAGTGCTGGTAATTTTACAGACAGGCATCACCCAAATAGAGATCTCTAGTTTAATTATAACCTGAAGCAAATTTTCCATCACTATGGAAAACAAGATGATTATACTTCAATCTAAGATGAGTGAATATTAAGGATAATGAATAAATGAGTGTTTTTCCCAGAGAGACCTACATTTGGGACCATATAAATGCTAAATAACAAGGTAAATAAAAGAGAGGTTAAAAAGGCAAATCAGGCAATCAAACTCCATTGGCTCTCAAACAATATTGAATAATGTACTGTTATGACATATTGTAAATTAGAATTCCCCAGTATATGGTGTGATGCTTATAGGAAAAAATATAAGCATCAAGAGACAAGTTATGACTTAAAATTATCATTTGTTTTACTAATCATGTACAAAAGTCAACTTCACAAATAATGCTATTAATGAAGTGCTCAGTTGAGCAAAATCAATAATTAAATATAACTACAAATCAGAATTTTCATAAAAAATGACAGTATCATGACAAGCTGGTAATTTATGAGTATACAGAAATGACTACCCCAATATGAAATGTGCCTGTGATTAAGATTTCATCCCCCCCTCTGTAAAAGAAAATTATAAAGAGAGATTTCTGTACTGTAAACTACCCTTTCTAAATTATAGCTGTACTATAACTAGATTCCACAAATTGGACGTATTAGGGTGAGACATTTGCAATTATTTTTTATTTTTATTATTTATTTTTATATATTTATATATATTTCTTAGACAGACTCACACTCTGTCGCTCAGGCTAGAGTGCAGCTGGCACCATCTGGGCTCACTGCAGCCACCGCCTCCCAGGTTCCAGCGATTCTCGTGCCTCAGCCTCCCGAGTAGCTGGGACTAGAGATGTGCACCACCAACTCTAGCACACCTGGCTAATTTTTGTATTTTTACTAGAGACTGGGTTTCACTATGTTGACCAGGCTGGTCTCAAACTCCTGGCCTTAGGTGATCCACCCAACTCAGCCTCCCAAAGGGCTGGGATTACAGGCATGAGCCACCACATCCGGCCGGAATTATTGTTTAAAGAAAACTATCCCCATGTAGCACAAGCCTCAATTCTAAAAACAAGAGAAGAAAAAAGATAAAACATCCAAGATTCTCTCAAATCTGCCCAAAGCATATCTTGAGACTCAGGAGAGAGAATTGTGCTATTTAAGTTACTACTGGTTTCTCTGAGAGAACTTTATTACAAGGCCTATATTGTCATCTAAAGGACTCATCTGAGCCCTATATCCAGAGGAATGGAAACAGCACATGATTTGTTTATGATCTGCATTAATGCTTGCTGGGTAAAAATAAAAGTTCTTAAACATGACAAGGACATAAAATAAAATTGCCCCTCCTTTTAAAAAAATCTATAGTTATTTCTATAATGATAATAAGAGGATTTTTGCCAGTTTGAAAATCTCAAAATATCAGATTTGAGAATCTGAAAATATCAGAATCCACTCTAAAACCACTCTAAAAGACAGCATCCATTAAATATATGGGTATACATGACATACATTTTACTATATAAATTTTGAACAATAACAAAAATAATTTTTCTCTAATAAACAAATTTCTTTATAATGGCAATCCCACACAAAATCTCTACAATTTCACAGGACATTAACAATCAACTTGAAAACAAGAGTAAAAATTTAGTGCATATTTTGTGAGAAACTAAGATTCAGAGAGCGATGTGATTACTCTCACATAGCAAAACTAGGCCTAGAAAACAGTTTTTATTTTATTCCTTCCACAATACTCAACTGCCTTATAATTTCATCTGAGTGAAACTTTATTATCAAAGGAAGAGAAACACCCAACAATAATAACAAAAAAGGCAGTGCACCTATACAGTTGGAGGAAACACCTTTCTGAGAAGATACCAAGGTGTGTGGTGCTGTTTTAAAAATAAACATTTGAGAGAAAGTAGAACTTAGTGGTTAAGACTGAGCTTTAGAGGCAAAATGAAGGAATTTGAATTCACATCTGAATTTAGATGAAGTGCTCTAATCGAGGCAATTTACTTCCTACTGGTTAGTCTGCCTTAATTTAATGATTAAAGTAACTCTCTAGTTTGTTTACTACTGTGTAGATAAAAAGATAAAATAGAAATAATGGCAGGTAACTAATTTGATAGTCTTTAAAAGCCCCATAATGACTAAAATTCACTGATCCTAAATTTGTTAATGGCATGGGACTAGAGTATTGAATATAAACTTGTAATCAATTAAAAAACACAAAGGTTAAAATCAGATAAGTGAGTTTACACACATTCAATTGTTAGACACCTTTGGAAAAAATCTTTGATGTTCACAGAATAGTATCATGTAAGTTTGGGATGTGAAAGAATCTTACAACTCATGCAACCAAATTTCTAAATTATAGAGATCAATAATCTGAGGTACAAGAAAGTGAGGTATCCTGTCCCCAGTTACAAAATCATCCAGTAAACCTGGCCCATGTTTCTTAATGCAAAACAAATTTTCTTTCGGTGTATCAATTTCTCATTGACATCAGTTTTTAAGGATAGCATTCATTAAGCTATTCTAAATAATTACCATTATCCATTTCCTGAGAGTTGTCATATAAATTCAAATAATTTGTTTTGAAAAACTGGAAAAGAAATATTTCCCAAGGAAAATAGAACAGTCTTTTACAAGGATGCATTTAGTATAATTCAACAATACCTCTGGGATATGGAACCTTCAATTAGAACTAAAGAAAGATCAAGTCTTACAACAAGGGAATATGAAGTTAGATAGTGGGAGAATAGAATTTAAGTTCTTTATACAAATGAACTTAGCCAGCAATTTGCTATAGAAGAAAAGGAAAAACTGGGTTTTAATGTACCCATGGCAATTTTTTTCTTCACCAATTTTTCAACTTAAGTATCAAAATGTTTCTTTTCCTCACACTCTGTAGTCTTTATAATACACATAATAAAGTGCAAAGAAGAAGGCACACTTTGTTCTTAAGCTTTAGCATTGCAAAAACTCATCTAAAAGACAGTGGATTTTAAATCTTCTTACTCACATGTCCTCACTATACCCCAGCTGATTTTTCATAAGTATCACAAAAGACCACAGAACATTCATGTTGCTCCTTTTGGAGGAACAGAATTAAGCATTCTCTCCTTTGTGCATCCACAGAGCATTGCACACATTTTTATTGTAAATCAAATCTACTGTGCATCATTGTCCTCAGCTATTTACTCCTTTGATAACTGAAAACTTGGTGAGCAGATATTTTATCTTATTTATTGCTGACTTTCCAGTGTCTATGATAATGCCTGCCAAAAAGTAGGTGTTGGATCAATATTTCATAAATGATGAAAAACAGATAAAGAAGCTAAAGAATAAAGATCTCTTTACTAAGGAAAAGTAGCTTTATCCATAAAAGCTTCTACATATAATTATACCAAGAAACAATCTGTATTTTCACATAAAGAAATCTCAAATTATAAGTGTCCACAGGAATTGGATATATAAGATATGAGAATTCTTACAATTGTTTGATTTTAACGGCCTAAACTAGGTTTTAATCCCACCCCACCATTTATTTGTTGTGTGGTATCAGGCAGATGGGTCTCAATAACCTTACATTAAAAAGTGGAGATTAATGTACCTCACCAACCTATCTCACAAGTTCATTAATATTAAATTAATAATGAATAAGAAAAGGCTTTGAAAACTATAAAGCACTAAGAAGATACTATTATTACTTACTTATTATCCTGCAAATAGCCCATACTAAATAGCATATTAATGAAATATCATAATCATTTCCACAGACTTAAGAAAAAGTCAATATTATGCTAAAGAAACGATAAATTTCTATATTCTCTATTGTGTTTCCCATACTATTGCTTCCTACAGACCAGGAGAAACAACATTTGAATATGCTCACCACTATAAACACTCTCATTTGCAAAAGCTTTCAGAAGAAATCTAATTCAAAATGTGGTTGTTTCTAGCATATGGCTATGTAAATGATGAAATAAGAAAACATTTTCTAATTAAACACAAATATAAATTTTAAGACACCCACCAGGATAATTTCAAAAAGTGGCATTATATTAAGACTCCCCCAGAAAGAATGCCTCATCTTTAATATTTCCAAACCTCTAGTTAACTTAAAGAAGGATATAGGTACCTCTCTGCTCTGCTGGAGAAAGCAGACCTAACGAATTAATTGACAGAAGTAATGGTTTCTCCATTCTCAGCTAAGTGATTTATGGAAACATACAGAAATGCAATTGGACTTTGTACCTAGGTTTTTCCTTCATTCTGGACATACAGGGGCAATAGATTTCTATTTTCATTTTATTCGGAGGGGTATATGCTCCCAAATGAGCATGCATACGGAATTGTAACCATCTGTTTACTTCTGTTTCCCCTCCAGACTGAAATTTTACTAAAGAAATCAACCATATCTAAGTCATCTGTTTTCCCTCTAGCTATTAACCCAGTAATTGGCATGTAGAAAGTGCTCAATAAATGTTGACTGGATAAATTGAAGAATAAAGCACAGATATAATAGATTAACTTTTCTCTTAAAGTCTAACATTCCTTTGTATTAGCCTGAATTTTAATCTCTGGATTTTAGTAATATATGTAACACAAATTTGATGTTAGTAAATACTTATACACATTAAAACAGATTTACTGAAATTAGAAATTAAGCAGATAGAATTACTTAAGTAACATGTAAAAGGATGCATACAGGATTCTACTAATACAATTCATTTATCAGTTCATTCAAAACATTTCTTGAGCACATACTACATTATAATGATAATGCCCAGAAGATAGGATGCAAAGCCAGGCAGGCCTCACGCTCTCAAGGAGGTTAGTGCCTGGTGAAGGAAAGGATCAAGGAAATGCCTGACAGAAACAAGTGCTGGAGCCATGGGACCACTGTGAAGGGGCAGCTAAGTACATGTGGAGGGAGGGGTTATATGAAAGTCTTGTATGAAAGACTTCCCAGAGGGGAGATTCTTGAACTGAGGTTTGAAAAGACAGTAAAACATAATTTAAAACAAAGAAAGAAGTATTCCAGGCAGAGTGATGCAACCATAGCTCTACCAATAGGGAGAAGGTTGCCTGCAGGAAAATGGCAGACGGTGAGGTAAACATAGAAGGATCTCCATATATCAAATTTGCAACTTGGTGTTGGAAATGATTATATTTCAAAGACACTGGTATAGATTTAAAAGAAAAATATCTAGGTCTTTGTGTTACTGATTGCATTAATCCGTTCTCATGCTGCTAATAGAGACATATCCAAGACTGAGTAATTTACAAAGAAAAAGAGATTTAATGGACTCACAGCTCCACATGGCTGGAAAGGCCTCACAATCATGGCAGATGGCAAAAGGCACATCTTACATTTAGGCAGGCAAGAGAGAATGAGACTCAAGCAAAAGACATTTCCCCTATAAAAACATCAGATCTCCTGAGACTTATTTCACTACCATGAGCATGGGGGAAACTGCCCCCATGATTTAATTATCTCCCACCAGGTCCCTCCCACAACACATGGGAATTATCGGAGCTACAATTCAAGATGAGATTTGGGCGGGGACACAGCCAAACCATATCAGTGATGTAATAAAATTGTTTTTTCATTGTTAGTAATGGAAGGTAAGTTATTCTCAGGGAAAAATAAAACAGCCAAATGTTAATCTTGTGAACTTTAGTTACGAATGATAACACACAGGTACATCTACAGCAAGTTAAACTTAATCTTCTCTGAATACTGCAAAACTCAAGTCACTTTATGCAAAGGAGACTATGGAGAGAAGTATGAATGAAAATGGGAAACAGCTAATACCACTACATCTAGCTTACTTAACATTTTATAATTTTTGTCTCTAAATCCTGTCTCCTGGGAACCTGTTGAATCGCAATCTAACTCATTTGGTTGTAAGTGAACAGTATTATTCATTTATTGGCCTTTTATGTTGCCTCTCTAACAGGCAAAAAAAAAAAGCCATGAACAGTTGAAAGATTTAAAAGTTGTTTTCCTTTTTTCCCTATAACTAAATTTCAAAGCTAATGAAAATATAACAAATAAAATTACAAGGTATAAACAAGCAAAGATTTGAAATAACAGAAAACTTCTGGAAACACATTCATTAAAATAATAAATGTTTAACCTTTTAACGATTAAATTTCTCAGCCTGCCCAATGCCTAGGCCAAGAATTATCAAGGACATATCCTTCGCCCACTTTTTGATGGGGTTGTTTGTTTTTTTCTTGTAAATTTGTTTGAGTTCATTGTAGATTCTGGATATTAGCTGTCTGTCAGATGAGTAGATTGCAAAAATTTTCTCCCATTCTGTAGGTTGCCTGTTCGCTCTGATGGTAGTTTCTTTTGCTGTGCAGAAGCTCTTTAGTTTAATTAGATCCCATTTGTCAATTTTGGCTTTTGTTGCCATTGCTTTTGGTGTTTTAGACATGGATATGAACAGACAATTCTCAAAAGAAGACATTTATGCAGCCAAAAGACACATGAAAAAATGATCATCATCACTGGCCATCAGAGAAATGCAAATCAAAACCACAATGAGATACCATCTCACACCAGTTAGAATGGCAATCATTAAAAAGTCAGGAAACAACAGCTGCTAGAGAGGATGTGGAGAAATAGGAACACTTTTACACTGTTGGTGGGGCTGTAAACTAGTTCAACCATTGTAGAAGACAGTGTGGCGATTCCTCGGGGATCTAGAACTAGAAATACCATTTGACCCAGCCAACCCATTACTGGGTATATACCCAAAGGACTAAAACATGCTGATATAAAGACACATGCACACGTATGTTTATTGCAGCAGTATTCACAATAGCAAAGACTTGGAACCAACCCAAATGTCCAACAATGATAAACTGGATTAAGAAAATGTGGCAAATATACACCATGGAATACTATGCAGCCATAAAAAATGATGAGTTCATGTCCTTTGTAGGGACATGGATGAAGCTGGAAATCATCATTCTCAGCAAACTATCGCAAGGACAAAAAAACCAAACACCACATGTTCTCACTCATAGTTGGGAACTGAACAATGAGAACACATGGACACAGGAAGGGGAACATCACACACCGGGGCCTGTTGTGGGGTGGGGGGAGGGATAGCATTAGGAGATATACCTAATGTTAAATGACGAGTTAATGGGTGCAGCACACCAACATGGCACATGTATACATATGTAACAAACCTGCACGTTGTGCACATGTACCCTAAAACTTAAAGTATAATAAAAAAAAAGAATTATCAAGGACAGTCATGAAAAAGATAAAGTCACCAAACATACTGAAGTACTTAAACTCTAAGAATATAATTTATACATGAAATAATTATAATTAGGTAATGAATATCAATTATGGTATTTTTCATTTGTACTAATTATTGTTCTCTTTTTTCTTTCATATTTCATTTTATTACATTTAGCATCATGCTGCTATTCCTGCAAATACTGAAGAAGCATGGGATTTAAATATTTTACTTCTAAATAAATGAATTACTCAATCTCCTATGACCATCTATACATACTCCACCTTCAAAAAGTACATCAATATTATATCATTAAGGAAATAGTAACCTTCTCTTCTCCAATATGCATGACATTTTTGGACAATGCAATTGTGGCACTGGCACTTATTTCAGTGAAGAAAAACTTTGTGGTTCTATGGCATTCATCATTTGACAAATGCAAGCATCTTCCTTATCAATCAGCTCCTATTGAACTTACTAGCACTGACTGTGGAATCCTTAAGGGCCCATTACATTTCTGAAGAAGAAAGCTAAGATGAAGGACATGCCACTCCGAATTCATGTGCTACTTGGCCTAGCTATCACTACACTAGTACAAGCTGTAGATAAAAAAGTGGATTGTCCACGGTTATGTACGTGTGAAATCAGGCCTTGGTTTACACCCAGATCCATTTATATGGAAGCATCTACAGTGGATTGTAATGATTTAGGTCTTTTAACTTTCCCAGCCAGATTGCCAGCTAACACACAGATTCTTCTCCTACAGACTAACAATATTGCAAAAATTGAATACTCCACAGACTTTCCAGTAAACCTTACTGGCCTGGATTTATCTCAAAACAATTTATCTTCAGTCACCAATATTAATGTAAAAAAGATGCCTCAGCTCCTTTCTGTGTACCTAGAGGAAAACAAACTTACTGAACTGCCTGAAAAATGTCTGTCCGAACTGAGCAACTTACAAGAACTCTATATTAATCACAACTTGCTTTCTACAATTTCACCTGGAGCCTTTATTGGCCTACATAATCTTCTTCGACTTCATCTCAATTCAAATAGATTGCAGATGATCAACAGTAAGTGGTTTGATGCTCTTCCAAATCTAGAGATTCTGATGATTGGGGAAAATCCAATTATCAGAATCAAAGACATGAACTTTAAGCCTCTTATCAATCTTCGCAGCCTGGTTATAGCTGGTATAAACCTCACAGAAATACCAGATAACGCCTTGGTTGGACTGGAAAACTTAGAAAGCATCTCTTTTTACGATAACAGGCTTATTAAAGTACCCCATGTTGCTCTTCAAAAAGTTGTAAATCTCAAATTTTTGGATCTAAATAAAAATCCTATTAATAGAATACGAAGGGGTGATTTTAGCAATATGCTACACTTAAAAGAGTTGGGGATAAATAATATGCCTGAGCTGATTTCCATCGATAGTCTTGCTGTGGATAACCTGCCAGATTTAAGAAAAATAGAAGCTACTAACAACCCTAGATTGTCTTACATTCACCCCAATGCATTTTTCAGACTCCCCAAGCTGGAATCACTCATGCTGAACAGCAATGCTCTCAGTGCCCTGTACCATGGTACCATTGAGTCTCTGCCAAACCTCAAGGAAATCAGCATACACAGTAACCCCATCAGGTGTGACTGTGTCATCCGTTGGATGAACATGAACAAAACCAACATTCGATTCATGGAGCCAGATTCACTGTTTTGCGTGGACCCACCTGAATTCCAAGGTCAGAATGTTCGGCAAGTGCATTTCAGGGACATGATGGAAATTTGTCTCCCTCTTATAGCTCCTGAGAGCTTTCCTTCTAATCTAAATGTAGAAGCTGGGAGCTATGTTTCCTTTCACTGTAGAGCTACTGCAGAACCACAGCCTGAAATCTACTGGATAACACCTTCTGGTCAAAAACTCTTGCCTAATACCCTGACAGACAAGTTCTATGTCCATTCTGAGGGAACACTAGATATAAATGGCGTAACTCCCAAAGAAGGGGGTTTATATACTTGTATAGCAACTAACCTAGTTGGCGCTGACTTGAAGTCTGTTATGATCAAAGTGGATGGATCTTTTCCACAAGATAACAATGGCTCTTTGAATATTAAAATAAGAGATATTCAGGCCAATTCAGTTTTGGTGTCCTGGAAAGCAAGTTCTAAAATTCTCAAATCTAGTGTTAAATGGACAGCCTTTGTCAAGACTGAAAATTCTCATGCTGCGCAAAGTGCTCGAATACCATCTGATGTCAAGGTATATAATCTTACTCATCTGAATCCATCAACTGAGTATAAAATTTGTATTGATATTCCCACCATCTATCAGAAAAACAGAAAAAAATGTGTAAATGTCACCACCAAAGGTTTGCACCCTGATCAAAAAGAGTATGAAAAGAATAATACCACAACACTTATGGCCTGTCTTGGAGGCCTTCTGGGGATTATTGGTGTGATATGTCTTATCAGCTGCCTCTCTCCAGAAATGAACTGTGATGGTGGACACAGCTATGTGAGGAATTACTTACAGAAACCAACCTTTGCATTAGGTGAGCTTTATCCTCCTCTGATAAATCTCTGGGAAGCAGGAAAAGAAAAAAGTACATCACTGAAAGTAAAAGCAACTGTTATAGGTTTACCAACAAATATGTCCTAAAAACCACCAAGGAAACCTACTCCAAAAATGAACAAAAAAAAAAAAAGCGAAAGACTGCAGTTGTGCTAAAAACAAAACAAAACAAACAAACAAACAAAAAAGTAAAAAAAGATTACTTTCGAGAGAGAAGTTTAAGCTTCACCAATGCTGCTCCTGACCAATGGAAATATGTACAACTTCAGCATTTTAAGTAACTGGCTTCAAGGGGTACTGTGGCAACCAAATAAAATAACTCCATTTTCTAAAACTTTCATGTAACTTTTATGTCTGGACTACAGTTCAAGTGGACAAAAACATTTCTGTATTTTTTTTAAGTAAATAAGAGTAGTTGAACTGAGCAATACCTCCTCCTGTGTTGTATTACACATATTAGCCACGAGTTTTTGCAGTGACCAGATAAACTTGAATTGACACGTGGTGTAATAAAATGGACAAATTCTGTAGAGTAGACACAGTGAGTATGTGGACCTCTTTTATAAGGAAAAATACATTTTGGATTAAAATCAATTGCTTCTGTCTTGTTTTGTTTCTAAATAAAGAATAATTTCTGGGAAATATCATCTGATCAGATATCATTTAAATGATAAAGTTTTTAAAAGGTGTTTTTCTATAATGAAATTTGGAATGCTAAGAGTAAGACACTTTTCTTGGGTGATGGGACTACCTACATTTTTATAAAGCCTCAAATATGGATTTCAGAAAGCATTTAATCAATATTAAATAGCAATCATAATTTGTATTTAACCCTTTAACTATTGACAGAAACTCTAGGAAATTATGTATTCACTTAAGGATTTTTTTAACAAGTAGCTTTTGGAGTAGATTAAATTATTAGGTTGAGATAATATAAATTCAGTATCTGGGCAACATAAAGTCTTATTTTAATAATTAGCAGTAGCTTAGTTTTAGGCCGCTTGCTTTTTTTTTTTTTTTTTTTTTTTGAGATGGAGTCTCCCTCTGTTGCTCAGGCAGGAGTGCAGTGGCAAAACCTAGGCTCACTGCAGACTCCGCTTCCCAGGTTCAAGCAATTCTCCTGCCTCAACCTCCAGAGTAGCTGGGATTACAGGCAGGTGACTACATCTCCGGCTAATTTTTGTATTTTTAGTAGAGAAAAAGTTTTGCCATATTGGCCAGGCTGCTCTCGAACTCCTGGCCTCATATGATCTGCCCACCTCGGTGCCCCAAAGTATTGGGATTACAGGCATGAGCCACCACGCCAGGTCTAGGCTGCTTGCTTTGCAGAAACTATTGCCAAATTTCATTATGACTTATGCTCTAGGTATAATTTTCAAATCTCTCTCTGATTCAAAACAGTTAAGGAGCTTCACTGAAGTAACAAGCAAATAACTTAATAATTTACTATATTGAAACATGGCAAGGAAACAACATGTTTCAGTCCAACACTAAGATTTTAAAATTACACCATAAAACATATAGCATTAGTAGTAGAAGTTTAACAGGTTCGACTTTCTGAAATTTCTTTTATTTAGCTCACTCCAATATAAAAATGACACAATTCAGATACTTTCAGAGTTTGACACAAATTTAAGAGGAATGATGTTAACTAAAGGAAAAGCTTCTGAAACTATTTTAAAGTAAAAGAAACAATTAAGAATTTAATTTTTTAGTCCAGTCCTCTAAAAATATATTTAAGGCACTGGAAACCCACAGCTTAAAAGATTACAAATCATTGAATTGAAGTGCCAAGTACATTAGTAGTCATTTAAAAATCTTATATAGGGAATATACGGATTTCACTTAAAAAAAAAGAGAATTAAGATTTTTGAGGATTTCAGTCATTTTTACAAACAAACCCCCACAGTCCTGCAAAAATAGAAGTATTTTTGTACAAAGCAAACATTCTGAGACAATAAAATACCACAGTTTTTATAGGCAAATTGTTTATCTCTCAAAGTTACAAAGCTTTCATGTTAATTGCTACTGTGTCTGCTCATAAGCAACTTTTAACTTTTCTTACAATAGCTTTCTGCATAATATCAACATCTCACTGGCCTATAAACATTTCCAGCACTGTAGTCATATCAATTTATTTGTTAATATTAGACATTTATTTTGTGATAGCATGGACAGTTTCCAGTTAAATCCTAGCTGTTTTTGACAATGTGGAAGGCAATTGTTAAGAATTTCTTAAAACAAGAGGGTAAATTGAGTTGATTTTAACACAACCAAAATATGAAACTTGCTAATTCAACGTGTTTCTCAAACACAAATTTTACAACCCGATGAATCACTATCACACAGAGGCTGACGTTAGAATTTATCAGCCAGACATGCTCATACATCATGAGAGGTTTCAGCACCACAAACAGAGCTTTACAGAGCTCAGCTATTTGTCAAAAACATAGGAGCCAAAATACAACCTATTAGGAGGCAGGCATAGTATAGGTCAGTAACAACTTGAGCATGTACCTTGTATGTTTCTTTGAAACCTATCTGCCTGAAGAAGTATTACAAACATATCATAGCACTGGGAATTCATTTTAATCTACATATTTCTTTTAAAGTTTGTTAAGAAATATGCATTCTGAATAGACATCTAGTAGTGAGCATTAAAATGAAGTATTTCTGTTACAACCAAAAATATACAGATGCTCAAGGCAAATCATGAACCTACTGATTTGCTTAAATTTTAATATAAATTTCCAGTGAGAGAGAAAAGACATCTGCTTCAATGAGAATGGTGTTTCATACTCTCTCTGTTACCTCTTAATCCTCACATAAAACTAAGCATTGGTCAAAGTACTCAAACCATTTAACTTACAATTTTGTGATATGATATGGATGTTCTTGTTGCAAAACACAACTTTACCTATAACAAATAAAACGCTAAAGTTTATAGCTGTATGAATGCTACCTAATCTGCTCACCTTGTATGGAGAAAAACACCTTGGCACAAAAATAATTTTTGAAGAATTACATATTTTATAATTGATACTACAAAATAAAATTAAGATTTTCTAACAATAAGCATACCCAATTGAATACAAAAATATATAAAAACAGTGCAAAACAAAATATGTATTTTATAATGTATATAATTGTCAGTAAAGCTAAGCAGCAACAGGTTGGCAGACATATGCTAACCATTTCACCAAGAAAGAAATGAAACAGATTTATGGTACATATACTAGTCATTTAATACTTATTTTAGTGTTAAAGTTTTTATTCTAATTAGACAAAAAGTTTTTAAGTAAAACTACACACAAACATAAGTTTAAAACAATTCCTTAGTTTATTCATTTAATTATCTTTTGTTTATATTCAATAAACATTTATTGTATGGCTATTAGTCACAGGAAAAAGAGAAATAAATAGGACAAATTTTCGACCATCTAAAACTTATATTCTACTAGATTATATTCTGGTTTATTTTCTTTATCAGTGTTTTCACAAATACATGTTAACTGTGTAATTTGGTAAAGTCCCAGCCTTAATCATTCATACTTTCACAAAATGATAATGCTCAGAAAAAATACAAGGTTTTTTTCTTGGTCTAAAATGTTTTACTCATCACAATTTTGATGTAAAAGCTTGCTTCAAATGTAATATTGATTTTATTCACTATATCTGCAGAAACTAGCCTAATAGTATTCTTTAGACTGGCTAAATTAAGAGGCATATTTAGGCTGAGTGTGATGGCTCAAGCCGGTAATCCCAACACTATGGGAGGCTTAGGTGAGTGGATCACAAGGTCAAGAGATCAAGACCATCCTGGCCAACATGGTGAAACTCCGTCTCTACTAAAAATACAAAAATTAGCTGGGTGTGGTGGTGAATGCCTGTAGTCCCAGCTACTCGGGGGCCTGAGGCAGGAGAATCGCTTGAATCTGGGAGGCGGAGGTTGCAGTGAGCCAAGATCACACCACTGCATGCCACGCTGGCAACAGAGTGAGACTCCGTCTCAAAAAAAAGAGGCATATTTAGTTACCATAAATTATTTCTATGCATAAAACATGGATACCTGTTATGTGACCCCTATTTCAAACTCAAAGAGAAAATGAGAAGTGAATTTCAAAAAGGTTTATCTAGCATAGACAAAATGTCTACATATCTTTACAAGGAGGAGAACCAACTTACTCTATCCACATTAACCCTTACAAGATGTTCCAATAACTACAAAGCATAGTCTTAAAATTTCAGAGATTAACATTTTAGATGAAAAATCCAAAATGTGTCAGAAGCTACTAAAGCAAACAATAAAAACAACTAAAAAGTTTAAAAGTATGCATGTATTAAGGAGTGAAAAAATCTCAATAACATATCTCACAGCCATCAAAAATATGAGGAAATAATTCTAATTATATATGTCACCATTCACAGTATCTTGGGCTTCATCACAATGCTGATTTTCTAGGAGATAGGGAGTAATTAATAGTAACTAAATTGTGGCTATATTTTCTTTGATCCAACCTTTTTCCTCAAGTTTCCCACGACATTATAGCAAATAAGTAAAAATTTTTGTGAAGAATATAGTTGTCACCATTATATTTACTATATTATATGTTATATATATTATTACCATTATATATTACTATATTTAAGGGTCCCAAAAGGATATTTTGCAATCAATTAAACAGAAAAGACTACAATGATCTTCTCTTTCAGATGCTAATATTTTCACTACAGCTTTGCTTCTATATATCATTTTACCCTAACGAATGCATTGCTAACTAGGTCGTTGCTTGGGAGAACTACAGCGTTGTACTGGAATGCCACATCTAGAAACAGCTACAATCAGTATCATGGAGTTTTGGGAAAAGACAGAACTGACTCCAGTTTTCACACAATAGTGACTACTTTTATCTGTTCATTTGAAAAGTAAGGACTTGAGTGTTAAGAGTGACCATGGCCTAGATTTACGTTATTCTTCTAAAGGAAAATGAAAATATTATTTTTACAGAGGAGCAAAGTGCAAAATCAGAGTTAATATTAACAGTCATAAAACATATATCCAATTATAAGAAAAATTATTAAGAGAAAAAACTTTTAAAAAGAATATTACAGCAGAATATAGATTATTTCCAAAATTTGGCCTAAACATTTCATTTACAATATACACAGAAGGCTCATGAATTGAGTAGTATGCATTTAGTATTCTCAAGTGAGAAGACATCATATGAAACAGAACATGATTCCTTTTTGTTCATACTAAAAAGAGACAAGCCTACAGAGATTTGAATTTACCTATTCTAGTTCACTGTATATACATCTCAGAAGGCTCCTAGCTCATCTTTGAAATAAGCCATAGAGCATATACCAACGAAGGGTGTAAATAACTCACAGATATGTCAATACGACTTTTTCTTAGGAGCAAACTGAAGAATTCAAATAAGTGATAAATTCAAAGCTAGTATCATACACAATTTCAAAATTATTGAGAAGTGGCCCAGAGTAACAGCATAGCAAAAAGAATTGTGGTTGACCTTAGTAAGCCTTTTAGAAGGATGAGCTACAACGACATTTGGAGACCTCACAGTACTTTGTGTGTTTATATTTACCTTTTCTAACTCTACTACATCACCAAGAAACTAATAGTATGATGTGACCATTGTAAAGAAAATCCAGCTTCTCATTAAAATATATGGTTCAGTGTCTGAAGTTATTGATTCAAAATCCAACTGTGATACTCCTTAGTAATGTTTACCAGACTCTGGAACAAATAATGGAGTGAGCTTGGAACATAAATTAACCCTCTTAATCCTCACATTGAGAGAATCAGGCTGTAATAAAATAACCTCCCTGTCATTTGTGGTACTAGACTCAAGGCTGGTAAAGACAGAAATAGTTCTTAAACCAACAGAGGTATCATTATTAAAGCAATATAGCTAAACACACCCAAATGGTCTTTCAAAAGAATACGATATAAAATTGAAATTCATTATCAGAACTGGGATTAAGGTCAGATACCTCTAGTAAACATCTCTTTAATAATGGTTTCAGAGAAGAGTCACCTATTCAATAAAAAACAAGAAATCATGTCTCCAAAACAACTTTAAAGCTCTTACCTTCCTATCCCTATTTCCTAGTAAATTAATCAATGAAACAAAATTCTAGTACAGAACTTTCATATTAAATCACTTATTTTTTCAAGATTTTAAAAAAAATTACATATAAAATGCATGAATTCATATAAGTATATGATGCTAACAAGTCAATTCAAACCTTTGAGTGTAAAAAAATTTCTTCTAACCACGGATATGGCATATATAAAATGCATTTTAAAAGTAGAAAAAAAAAGATTCATTTCTTTCTACAAACAATATATTTTCCACACAAATCAATAGGAATTAAGTGATTGCAGTGAAAAAAAAAATGAACCACAACAAAAATAACTGTGTGAGGCTAAAGGGAATTAGGTTTTCCTTCCAGTGGATTATGTGTGCCACAGTCCAGGCTCAGTCCTAAAGTGACAGTGCAACGCTTGAGATATTCTGTTGACGCATGCATAGAAAATAATAAATATATTATTAACATATTATGTTTGGATAAACATGCATTTATATTTACTTGAGTAGAAAGATTACAAATTAAGAAGGAAGGAAAAAGGAAAGGAAGAAAAGAAGGAAACATTCACTAAATTGTGAATATGTGCCAGATTAACAATTTGCTGTGCTCTTAGGAAATCCACTTCAGATCTAAAGAAGAGGTGTGGGAAAATGAACATTTGCCATCTTACAATATGACAGGCATGCTGATAGACAGGCCTGCACATCTCTTTCTGTACATGTATAATGTAATATATATTACATATAAATGTGTATAATACATTACATAATTACAACCCAATTTATGTGATCCTCATGAAATTTCTTTGAGTTCAGCATTAACATTCCAATTTATATATCAGTCTCAGAGAAGTATTTAAGTATTTTTCCCCAAGAAAACATACGAACTATATATTCATATAGTTAATATGAATGCATATTAACTGTAACAAAAATAATAACATAGAGCAAAAAAATAAAAAACCAAATGACTCAACACCAAGAGAAATAATAACAGGAACTTTATAAGCATGCCATAACTCACAACAATAACTAATAGGTGATTTTTTGGAGAGGGAACAATCCATCAATAGTACATTAGATTCATTAATTGTTCCTATTATCTTCTAACTCTCCCCATCAGTATGTTCTTTTATAATATTCCTATCTCAGTTTCGCATCAGAAAATGGGGATAAAGAGTCTTTATTTGTCAAATTGCAGTTACTACTTATTTGCCAAACACAAAGAACACTAGTTTATCAAGAAAGGAAAACCTATGCATATTCTTATAAATAAAACCTTTAAAATAGGAATATACATGAAGTTCCAAGTAGATGGAAGGCTAGGGACTTTTAAAAGAATTTTTCTGCAATTATTTCCATGCATCTACTTCACATTCCCAATCTATAAAGCTCTTCTCTTTCTCAGTCCATTACAGGAAAATACAGAATGGTCAATTATGTTTAACCTGCTTGCCAACTCTCCGATTACACTTATCATGCACAATAACTCAATCTTAGAAGGTACATCCTGCATAAAAAGTGAAGTTTGAGAAGACAGAAACTTCTCTTCAACATTTTCATCCTTGTGAGTACTGACACTATAGGCATGGGAAACTCAGAACACCACATCAACACCAACAGCTTAGAGAGTCAGATGTCATTGTGAGCTGATAATGCTTAGCTTTGTTGACTGACGTGTAATCTATTGCAAATCTTGGGTTCTTAGGAGTTCTACTTTATAAATTGTATAATGTAGTTCAAGAGAACAAAATTATTTATTATAGTTTAGATGACAGGGATTGCATATTGATAAAAGAGGTAGCAAAAAGTTTAAATAAAAACTGGACACCATCAAACTTATCTGTGTGATTAAAATCTATAGCTACCCATAGAGGAAGGTGATCATCTATATGTCTGAGTGAAAGAAAGAAGGTGGTTCTTTAAAAGACTTTCTTAGGTTAATGAGATTCTATGGAATTAAATTGACATGCAGAAATATTTTCATGTATAAAGAAGCTCCTCAGTATTCAACGAGTACTAAAGTCACTATGTTGACCTATGTTCTCATCCCAAATGATATGGCCAAGCTTAGTTGTTGTTACTGTTGTTATTTTAATGAGTCATTTGTGTGTTAGTGCTCCTTCCAAGGATCAGGTCTAATAGTAGCAAGGTTTCTAAGCAGGGAAGCAAGGAGTGGCCCATGCTTTATTCACACACCATTTATTGAAGATCTACTGTGTACCAGACAAAATATTAGCTACTAGAGATTCAACATTGACTGCAATAGACAAATCTCCTGACATCCTAAAACTGAGAGTGAAAAGGTAAATACCAACAAATGAATCTGGCAATTGCAATTCAGGGAAACAAAAGTATGATAGGCAGAGGGACGATTACACATATTTGGGGGGAGTACAACATTCTCAGTTACTGTAACGTAGTCCAGAGAGGCTTCTAATTCAGAGCTAAGACAATCTTTATACAATATCCCAATTAGAGGGCAGAGAAATGTTAAGGTAGATTAGGGATGGCATGAAGATACTAATAGGCTGAAAATTTTTAGTAATGACAGAGTGCTAGGCAACTGGGAGAAAGTTCTGAAGGACAAAGCAGGAGCTGGCTTCAGAAAGAAAAATCAGGAGGTGGGTAAAAATCAAACTTCATTTTGTGCTAACCATGTTAGAAACCAATATCCTAGGAAAAAAATGACTATGCCAAATTTAAAAGACCAGAATTAATTTATAAGGGTACAAAGATTCGTTTGTCATATTTCAATCCTAACTCCCTATGTAGTCTAGCACCCAGCTTCCTCCAGAGGTAGAAATATGAGAAGACGTGGGAAATAAAAGACAAAAGAAAATAGACATAGGCACACTCTATACTCCACCCTCTTAAACCTTCCCTAATCTGAAATCACACATACTCAAAAGCCTCATAAGCGTACTCTCAGAAACAAACACCCTTTATCTTCAGTTATTATAGTCCAGTATTTGATTGATATCTAATTTCAGATATTTTAAAAATACATCTCCTATGAAATTCGTAGATGGCCAAAATGTCACTCCAGCTTTCTACTGTCTCCCCAAAGGACAAATAAAGGAAAGAGAGCCTAAGTATTCTGGGTAATTTTGTATATAGAAGCCCAAATGTAATGTAAAATTGTGATTGATGTCTTTGATTTTAAGATTGACCTAGTTCTGTTTCCACTGTCAATTGTATTTCTTTTTCAGAAATTTCACAAATATGTTACATAGAGTTTAATGAGTATATAAACAGATATAGGAAAAACCAAAAAAAGTACTGTGTCTAATTTCCTTAGACTATATTTTGTATAATACCAGACATACTTCTAACTACCTAGATTTTTATATCACTTTCTTCAGATAATATTTTTAAAATCTTCTCTATTATGTTTCCAATTGGAACGTTGAACTCAAAACTTAAAGAAAGAGTATTTGTAGATGTACTGATCCACATAAATCAGGTATCCATTCTATATTTTCTATAGTTTCTTATCATTGTGCCCTCCTAAGAAGCAAAGTTTTATTAATATTATCTAAGATAAGGTAGTCTAATTTGGATTATTAAGAGTAAAAAGTGCATTATGTCACAGCATTTTTGAAAGCTCAGTTTTGAGGATGCATTTTTATAGTATTAACTTATCTCTTCTGTTATGAAAAACATAAAATTTGGAGATATTTTTGCTATGAAATTTTATCAGAAGTGTTTTGGGGAACTCTGATACATGCATTATGAAAATAGTTATTTTTCAATTCTTCAATAATGTTTTGTTTGAAAAAAACTTTCGGAGATTTTCGCCTGAAACCAAAGAGAAAATTCTAAACAAAAAATAAATAGGATAAAAGCACATCACATCCACCTTCCTGTGACATTTAAAATACTCATACCTGAATATACTCTAAAAAGACCTCTTTAATATCCTGATGCTAGCTCCTAATTTAGTGGAGAGGACTCCATCTCACCACAGCAGATGTGTCCGTTCCATTTCACTATGGTATCAATAATAGAAAAGGGCCAGGTAGCCTCTTAAACAAAATATTTACTAAATATATTTAACAGAGTAATTTTCATTTTATTGATAAGGAAATTCTACCCCAATACTAGGCTATACTACTCAGGCCAATTGTTTCAGTGTGAATACTCAGAATATCAGGTAGAACATGTAAGTAATTCGGCACAAACTGTCATCTCATTCTGGAAAAAAATGAATCCAGTTTTAGCTTTACTGAAACCAGAAGATATAAAACACCATAATATCTATGAGACCAATGGCCCCTGATTTTGAAACTAAAATCAAATATGAGGATATTATAACACTCTACTGATTACATATCTATAAAGTACTTTTTAAGATATAAGACATACTCATACATATTATGCCTGGGATTTAATTTATTATCCATGCTAACCTACCTTGATGAATTATTGGTCATAAGGAAGGAGAAACTGAATAAAAATATTTTCAGACAAATCTGCAATCCCACTGAGTCTTTCCATTCCTCCAAAGTGAGCACTGTGACAGAGCTGTGTCTTTCTTAGAAGTGATGGGCCTTATCAATAAAGATTTTTACTGTATTGGGAAAAGCTAACCCTGTGATCTTTAAATACTCTGGCTTCAGAAAATAATTTTAATATTAAACCTCTTCCAAAGTTCTTGACTTGAAATCCCAACATTACCATCATGATGCCACATTATTATTTTAAAATACACCATTTCAAATATGAAATAATTTTTACATGTTAATAACTTAGTATATTTTATTGCAGAATTAACATATGCTTATTATACAAAATCAAGAACATACAAAAAAGAAGGCCTCATATTCTCCCTGTCTCCCAAATACACTATTACAAAAGCCTGTCATTCTGCCTTTGACAAACTTTATAATATTATCTCTTGACTCCACTATTTCACTCTTAATCCAGACTAGAGCTGCCCACACTTTCAAGGTATCATCAAAGACCTCTTATCTCAGAATAAAAGATGGCTTCAGTGCCCATCCTGTTATCCTCCTACAGCCCTCAAACCTCCCAATGATGTGACTGACAGACATTACCATTATATAGTAAATAGTAGGTCAGTTGCTTATATGTCACCCTACAATTTTTTTTTTTTTTGAGACGGAGTCTTGCTCTGTTGCCCAGGCTGGAGTGCAGTGGCATGATCTCAGCTCACTGCAACCTCGGCCTCCTGGGTTCATGCAATTCTCTGCCTCAGCCTCCCAAGTAGCTGGGATTACAGGCACCCGCCACCATGCCCGGCTAATTTTTGTATTTTTAGTAGAGACAGGGTTTCACCATCTTGGCCAGGCTAGTCTTGAACTTCTGACCTCATGATCCACCCGCCTTGGCCTCCCAAAGTGTTGGGATTGCAGGCGTGAGCCACTGCGCCCAGCCACCCTATTACATTTTTTAAAAGTCCTAGGAGTAAATAGATTTTTCCATCTCATGGTAGCCTGAGATATTTGTTTCTTTCTAATCTTAACCAATTCTATTTTAGAAATAAAAAAAAATGAATCTAATCTACATCCCATAGGGCAGCCCTGCAAGTTATTGATTATGCTAGCCTTTCTCTAAGTTTTGTTTGTTCCATACTGAAGAAACCCATGTCCTTAAAGCAATTCAGGTCACTCTTCTCTGGATATGATTCAAGTCATTAAAGTCTCTCTTAAAATATAGTACCAGAAATTGGATGCAGTCCTCCAGGTGTGCTAATCTCTAATCTCTGGAGTAGTATTAACCAAATTCCTGCACTATTTTCAAATGGAAGCAAAGCCAGCTGTAAACGGACAAAGATAATTCTACTTGATCCCAAATGATGTGGCTAACAGCATCATCAATATCATCATCACCAGCACTTAGGAAATGCTAAGCATGAACAGACATATAAACTCATTTAACCTCTATGAGAAAGATTCTTTCAGCAACCATATTTTATATTATCAGTAAGAAATTTCAGGTAACGAACTTTAAGGAACATCACTAGCAAGTTTTTACAGGTGGTAGTGACAGGGATTTGTTCTCCATGTTAAACAAATTGAAAGGTTGAAAGGTGGTTAGCTTGCTGTTGAAAGGTGGTTAGCTTGCTGTTATTATCATAACAGCACAGAATTAAGAATCTCACTACAAACAAACAGAAATGCATAAATCTAGAGGCTAACGATATATAGTCTTCGTCATGTTGAAATGCTGCAAAAATATGGTGGGTTAGTTCACTTTCTAGTGGCAATAAGGTTTGGTGGAAATGTGGTAAATTTCCTCCACCTCAGCTATTTGATAGCATTTATAGTGGTATAACAGAAATAAAGTACGCTTTATTTACGAGAAGACTCATTCTATATTCAATTTATAATAATAAGCATGCTGGAAGAGCCATCTGGATACCTTATAAAAATGGTATTTTCCATTGGAAGTAAAGAATTTTAATCAGTGTTAGTTGGTAATTATTCATTTCACCATTTCCTAATCATGTCAAAAAAAATACGTTAAGCCAGAATTCACAATTTTTCCATTATGCAAAAACACCACCATATTGTTTTATCTACTTAGTAAGATCATTTTTTTCTATTTCATACACTCAGACCACATTGCTCAAAATAAGAAAAGGCAAATATAATAATCAAGCTTGATAAGCCAAGAAGCAGAGCAAAGATAGGAAAAAAATAATTTGATTTGAGGAATAAAAATATTAAATTACTACTTCAATGCTCTGAATGATAAAAGCACAGTCAGAAGCAGTCCATTTCTAAAAACTAAGTGGTATTTCAACAGCTCTAACAAAGGAGAACAGAAACTAGTCTTGGATTTTTATGAGAACTTTAATATGAATGATTTAAGAAATTATACTTTAAAAATCTCATTCAGTTAAAGTACAGATGTATATGCTACAACTTTTGGTTTTGGTTTTTTGTTTTTAGACAGGGTCTCACTCTGTTTCCCAGCCTGGAGTACAGTGACATGATCTCAGCTCCCTGCAACCTCTGCTTCCCAGGCTCAAGTGATCCTCCAGCCTCAGCTTCCTGAGGAGCTGGGATTACTGGCATGAGCCACCACACCCAGCTAATTTTTGTGGGGTTTTTTTTGTACAAATGGGGTTTCCCCATGTTGCGCAGGCTGGTCTCGAGCTCCTGAGCTCAAAGCTATCTGCTCCCCTAGGCCTCCCAAAAGGCTGGGATTACAGGCCTGAGCCACCGTGACCAGCCTTGTGCTACACCTTTGTATAAACCTACTTTAAAATACAAAAAGGTACTCCATTCATTCTTTTCAAAAGATTTAGTGAATGTGAATAATGTCATATTGCCTAGAGTAATCTTGATGTTTTTGTTCCACTGGAAAAAAACAAGGTCCCTTTAGCTAAAGCTTTTCTTCTGCTATTGTCACTTCAGCACTAGCAAAACTAGGGTGACAGCTCATAAAGAAAATAACCAAAAGCTCTCACTTTGTCCAATGACGTGGCAGCCCTCCAGCACTGGCATTTCCTGCCCCAAATTAACTCCAGGGGCCATAAGATCAAAGTAAGAAGGAAGTAGCTTGTCTTTCTCTTTAGTTGTGGTAGCTACTTTGTATTACATAGGCAATATAATTCATTGTTTCTTATATAACCGCTTATGCTATTTTACATTGTACTAGGCATCTGCAAACAAACAAATGTTATTTCTTGTTCCAAGTTAGGTAAAACTTGTAAATAAAACCCTGCAAAATGGCTCACAATAAATCAAAATAGTCCTACAAGAAAACAGAAAGCTAGAAAAAGATTAGAGATAAGGTCCTGCCAATAGATAATTCTATTTTAAAAGAAAAAAAATCAGCTGAAGTCCTATTTGGTTCTCATGAACCTGAAAAGATAGTTAGTTGTTTTGCCAGAAAAAGAGTCCCAGACATTATTTGGTCACTTGCCTGGAATAGCTTGGCATTTCTGCACCCTCAAGTAATAAAACTTACTTGTAAAACCCTTTAAGGCAACAGAGATTGCCTGTATTTATTTTCTAGGAAGGGAAAATATTGAAAATTATGATGTATTCAAAGACCACAACTATAGGAGAAAATGCCATACTGCTAAATGTTTTTCAGTTGACATGATCTTTTAAATCATCTCTATTGATCCCTTTATTTAAGATTCGATTTGGCTATTGTGAGAATAATGAACAAATAAATGAATGTGATATCCATTTGATATCTAGTATTTCACCAAAAAAAAGGAATAAGCCTGGATTTTTTTATCTTTGCCCTATTTACATTGTACAATGAGGAAGAAATTTTGGAACGGAGCTAACAAAAGATCTAAATTAAGACACCATTTTAAAGCTCTGGGAATTACAGTGGCACTATTACCCAGAAGCAAAAATCCTAAATGATTCTATGAACAGGTAACAAACTACAAAAAACAGGTAACAAGGGCCAGAGACTGGACTAGGTTGGTATTTCTTTTTGTTCAACAAGTATTTACTGCCAGAGACTGGACTAGATTGGTATTTCTTTTTGTTCAACAAGTATTTACTAAGAAACTAAAATGTTAGAAGCTTCAGGGGATACAAAGATAGGCAACTTCCCTGAAATAATTGAGAATTATCTATGGTGGGAAAAACTATGAGAAAGGAAAGAGATTTTTTAAAAATGCTATAGCAATTAAGCAGCTTCCAGATATATTTTGGGAAAATTACAGATAGTAGTAATTAGCCTAACCCTGATATGCAAGTTAATCATCTCTCCCATCTAGAAAGTTGTTCTTTTTGTAACAGAAGACACATAAAATAGTGTCTATTCACTTTATAAAAATAGCAATAAACCTCAAATTCCTCAAGTAGAAACAAAATACATTTTCCTCTAAATAAAAAAAACTATTTTGAGCTAGGAAAAGAGAATACCTATTAAAATGTATTTTGCTTGCTGGAAATCTGGTTCAACTCACAATTTCCCAGCAAAAGGAAAAACTAGGATAATTCTTTCTCTGACAAGATTGCCTGTGCTGTTGGCAACACTCTTCAAAAACTGAAACTCTAATTTTTAATTCTACAGTTACCTCCTAGCCTTCCATGGTCTCATCTACTAAACCACAGTTAGAATTACATTTCCTACATATGTTATTTTCTTGGAGTTCAATGAACAGGACTGAAAATAAAGATCAGAAAAGAAAGAAGAGAGACTCAAATTAAGGAAACCAACTAAAAACAGTGAGACATAAGAACTAAAAGGCAAGGGAAGAAAAAAGAGACAGAGAAAAGACAGAGTTGGGGCAAGAAGGAAAGAGGGAGACCAAGACTCAGGGGGGATTTCAGAGGACAAAGCCTTCTGTCTACTTTAAGTATTAGCTTACTTGACTTCATTAAATGTTGGCTTGTGTCTATTATCAGCTGCTCTTTACTGCCCTGTAAAACAACAATAACAACAAAAAACTGGTTGGCAAAGGCAGATATGACATGAAGTAGCAATGACCTGGCTAATATGAACCTTTGGACAAGATCATGTCTTCCTGAGCCCAGGTGCATCAATACTGGATATTTTCTGCATGCCCATTCAATCTACAGGGTTCTGAAACCTAAATAAAATTCAATGTAATAGCTGGGTGCCTTTCAAAACACTATGCATCATTTACTATCATATTCACTGTTGAATAAACTTTGTAAAAACTGAGAACGTAAGACATGAGAAAGCTAAGAAATGTAATTGGGAAGGGCTAAATAAGTTAACAGGGCCAAGCCATTTTGGCCAGATGGCTTTTTGCAATTTTGGAAATATCTGAACTTCTCACAAATGTCACAGGATGTAGAACTGAAAATATTTCCATCTGCCCCAACCAAAGAAACTATTGCTCTTCATTCATGCAAATGTAATTCCATGCTATCCCCCAAGTTATTAAGACTGTTCGGCCATTTAAGAAGAAAAATAGTCTATTCTTCCACTGAAAGAGTAATTCTAAAGCCACTTAGGTAAATGACTGAGTGACAAAGCAAATAAGAAATTAATACATTTGAGAGAGCTGCTGGAAATAGTTTCTTCTTACATACTCTGCTTATAATAGAGGAAAATATCTATGAGACATAGTACAGAACTTGGGTGATGAAGTGGTTTAAGAATTATGAAATAATATGACTTTTTAAATTGAAAAATGAATGGCTAGTTGGTGAAAGAGTCAGGACTAGCACTCAGATCTTCCAGCTGCAATCGTCTCTACCCTATGCATTAGTGTCTGTAGGCTCTGGGGTGACTGGGGATGGAGAAAGCAAAAGAGAATCAATAAAATTAACTCAGATTTTTTTTTTCTGGTGTTACCACCAAATTCCATACTTATAATACTAATGTTTACTTTTAAAGTCTTTGATACAATTTAATTCCTTTGAAATAATACTACAAAGAATGTGAATTTAGCTCCCTTAAACCCCTCCACATTTCCCCTCCCAATCTTTCCTCAAATTATAATTTTATCACAATTTTTTGTTAAATCAACATTAATATATACATTATTATAAATTATTAGACCTGAGCCACATAGTATGCCAGGGTTACATTTCTTTCTTTTTTTTTTGTATAATTTTGTATTCCCTACAGATAATCACTGCCTTAGCTTTATCTTTTTTTAGGTTGCTTAATTTTCTATCTACCTACAATAATTTATTCCCAAACTGTCTATAGAATTATAAATCTGCAAACATCTCTGGTCTACTATAGTATCCTTCCCATCCTCTGTATCATTGTGGGTTTATGGGGGTTTTTATTCCTCATTGGCATTTTAGTGACATTTCAATGAGGACAGATGAACACACGTGCTCAATCAATCATATTTAACCAGGAGCTAGAGATGTTCATTCGTTTGTTTGTTTGTTTAAGAAATGGTCTCACTATGTAGTCCAGGCTGGTCTCAAAATGCTGGGCTAAAGTGATCCTCCTGCCTCAGGCTCCCAAAAAGCTAGGGCTACAGGTGTGCACCACCATGCCTGGCTAATTTTTAATTTTGTTTTTGTAGAGACAGGGTCTCACTATGTTGCCCAGGCTGGTATCGAACTCTTGGCCTCAAGAGATCCTCCTGTCTTAGCCTCCCAAAGTGCTAGGATTGCAGGCATGAGCCACTGTGCCTAAAGATCAGTATTCAATTTTGCATACATGAAAATCTGAACACAGGGTCAGGCACGGTGGCTCATGCCTCTAATACCACCACTTTAGGAGGCCAAGGTAGGCAGATGACCTGAGATCGGGAGTGCGAGACCAGCCTGGCCAACATGGTGAAACCTCATCTCTACTAAAAACACAAAAATTAGCTGGGTGTGGTGGCACATGCCTGTAATCCCAGCTACTCAGGAGGCTGAGGCACAAGAATAGCTTGAACCCAGGTGGTAGAGGTTGCAGTGAGCCAAGATCGCGCCACTGTGCTCCAGCCTGGGCAACAGGGTGAGACTCTGTCTCAAAAAAAAAAAAAAAAAAGAAAGAAAGAAAGAAAGAAAGAAAGAATAGAAAAGAGCTTAATTTGAAGTAAGAAACCCATGTATTATATATAATATCATAATATCAGAAGTATTACAAAGCTGCCTGCATAACTTTCATAAATAGTATCATTTTATACACATATTGAAGTAATCAGAAAAAGTGCAACAAGTAGGGTTCATTTTGATATTTTTCTTTCCTGAACAGGACAAGCAGATCACTACAATTAACACCTATCGTGAATTTACAGGGATTCAGGTAGAAAATAATTCATGTTAAACAGAGGTTCCAAACATCATTAACAGAGACTGAGAAATTGGGCCAGTATGCATGAGAGCACATATCATAAAGGTCATGTGTGTTAATGAGAAAAAGACTATTTATTAGCTTGCAATTTAAATACAAAGCCCTTCTCCCTCAATGGCTTAAAATGGAGCAATATCCTATACCTGAGGACAAGAAAAGGCAGTGCCCTCAATTAGATGAACAACTCTCACGGTCCCAAAACTTTTATTGTTGTCACTGAAATTCATCATTCTGATTTTATTTTTAGATAGTGATATCTTTTACGTTACAGACAGAAAGCTTGTGAATAGAACCCATCCTGTACTATTGTATACTTTTTTGGAAGTTTAAGAGACTATATATTTACTTTTACTCAGTTGCCAAGCAGCATATTTCCTAACTTTTGTGTGTGCTCCAATCAATGCTTTACATTTGTTCTGAGGTCAAAAAAGACAAAAATATTTGCAGATATCATGAAAAAAATCAACATGTCATTTAAAAACTAAAGACATCCATCTTTGGAAACTGCCATTTTATTACACAATGAGAAGAAAACAAAAGCATGGATTTCAAAAAGAGGTGACAGATAATTATGATACTGTATAAATATTAAATGCAATTGTGATGTTATAACTACTAAGAAGTAATTTAATTTTCTGAATACATATCTGAGGAATCCTACCCCCAACCCCCAACCTCTGCGCCAGGCTAAATAAGCGAGGTAAACACTCATGACACAAGGCTATGCAGCATTCACACTTGAGGTCAAAAATTCCAAAAATAAATCCATAACAACAGGTGTTATCCTAAAAGCACTGAGATGTTCCCCGTGAAAGACCAACAATTTTGGATTTTTAAGAAAATAAAGTAGAAATGCTCTATCCAAACACATTTTTTAAAACTCACCTTGGGTCATTTCACAAATATTTATTTCTTAGCAATCCATTTTCCTTTGCTTATAAATTCCTGTTTCACTGATTTCAAATGAAAGAATTCTTTTACAGGCACCTCTTACTAAAGCCAAGAAATGGAATAATACCTTTAAAAAAGATAACTGTAACTGTGGAAAGGCACAGAAAGTAAATATAAACCACAGTCAGTGACTGATCCTCCATGAGGGCCATATGAATCTCAGGATATTTATTGTGCTATCTACGTGAGAAAATGCATTCTCATTTTAAATAATAACACTAGTAATCTCTTTGTCCATTAGAAATAAACCAGTGCAGATACTGTATATTCAAAGTAGCCCATATGCACTAATCAATCATCTAACCAAAGCTTTAAAATGGTTAGTTTTCTATTTCCCTTATTCATTCATTACCCTACCCTGTTTGGAAAACTTTAAAAAATTATTATTTCCATCTCAGTGTCACAGATACACTGCAACATTGTCAAATAAAATGATTGTTTCTGGACTAACAAAATCTCTATTTTTCTTACAAGGCAAACCCATCATGTTGTGACAAAACCTACTACATTTACTAGAGAAAAGAAGAGCCAAAACTATGAGCACAAATAATACTTCTCTATGTCTCCCCAGTATTTGACATTAGTAACATAATGTGCCAGAGTTTCCCTGAATAACTGCAAGTTCCTCTTCCTACAATACTTCTGTAAATACACAATATGGCCACATTCAATTTAAACTTCCAGTTAGACAATATCTAGTCAATGTCTACCTCACAGGAATAGTCGTAAATTCTAGGAACATAGCAGTGAGCAAGATAGATCATAATTTCTGCCCTTGTGGATCTTAGAGTTCGAAAGTCACATAAGCTGGGAGTCACATATATTTGGAGAGTTTAAGGGAGAAATTATACCTTCCATAGAGAAGCTGATCATAATGCTCATTGGTACAGTAGCTCAAATACAGTGTGTCTATCTCAGAAGTGACAGGATCATCCTTTGTGTTCCTACAGTTTTCACTTCTTTTTCCCCTTTCTTACTATCCAAAATACTTACGCTTATTTAAGAGTTGCTGAGTTAAAACATATTAAATCCACGGGGGACAGAAATTCTAGGAGACTGGCCATATAAAAAACAGTAGACAAGAAATAAGTGAATGGATTACAATGAAAGAGATACCTCCCACAAGCAAATGAGGATTCTTGAGCATTTATTCAATAGATGTTTCTTAACTATTTATGTGCCAGTACTGAGTAAACAATGTCGAGCAACACACAGGCCCTAATGTTACTAACAGTCTTGCAAAGGAGAAAGACATTAAGCAAATGATCATTAAATATATAAATACAAACTGTGATAAATGTTATGAAAGCAAAACATGAATATTGTCTTAAAGGGGCCTGATCTGAACTGTAGGTTCAGGGAGGATTTCTCTGAGAAGATATTGTCTAACCTGGGAGAGTTGAGCTAAATAGGTGCAAAGAAGGAGGAAGAACCTTCAGGGTAGAAATGTGCATATGTTGTGTAGAGTTTGGGAAAAGCAAGGTAGGATCTACAACAAAAGAATATGTCTAGGTACAGTGTGGCTGGAGGAGAGGAAACTAGAGAATATGCTGAGAAATACAACTGAAGACATATACTCATGCAAGTATATGAAATATACTAAGGATTTGGATCTTCATCTAGCAAGAAGCAGCTTTGTGAACATATGCACATAAGTCAAAAGGGAATATGTGTAGTTGCCTCTGTAGAGAGGAACCATGGCTGGAGGACAGAAGCAGGAAGGAGACTTACTTGTCACTGTATAGGCTGTTGTGCCTTTTCAATTTTATCTTTGTATGTCTATTACCTATTTAAATGAAAACAATGTCATCTAGATATTTAACTCACTGGCTCTATTAGGAAGAATTAATTATCGGAGACCAAACAAAAGGCCATTGCTCTGGTCTGGGTAGGCCAAGCAGCAGCAGAGATAGTAAGAAGTTCAGAATGATAATGGATTTGATAATAAAATCAACAATTTGTTCCAATGGACTGCCAAGTAAGTAAGAAGATACAATAGGAACAGCATGTACCCTAGATGAGGCATTAGGTGAACTCTTCCCACTTGCTCTCAAGTGTCAACTGAGCATCGCGTCAGGGTGAATGCTGAGTCTGGTGGTTGCAAAGACTTAAGTAATACTAAGGGACTATTAGAATCATGAGCCACTTCTTACTAAGAAGCACAATTCTATGAAGCAAAAACTTGGGAGAAAAACAATGTGTATAACTCAGAGCAGTTAAAAATAAATAAACAAATAAAAACACTATTCCAAAGGATGCATTTGGCAAATTGTGCTGTTAAAGGCAAATGCTAAAAGTCAGCTATTCTCTGGATATGTTGGCTCCATTCATCATTCAACGCCCATTCAGAGTAATTATTGAAAAGTATGGAAGCTAGAATGCACATATACTGACTTAGGAGAGATTAAAGGAATACCAACAAAAACTAAATTTTGTCTGAAGGTTAAAAATGAATTCAGAGGAATATAAAAATAAGTGAAGAGAAGTTGTAATGTAATATACCCACAAATGAGTGCAATAGCTAAAATATCTTTCAGGGAACTACAAATGCTAATTAAAAACTTATAATTCAAAATAGATGGATCTGTGCTGTTCTTGTCAATATAACATGGTTTTTTATGAGGAAGGAAAGAGGTGGGGGAGGGAGGGGAGGAAAGGGAGGAAGGGAGGGAGGGAGGGAAGATTATCTTGTTTCTCTGATTTCTTGCTAGCTTTAAAAAGAGCTAAATATTATTTTTCTTTTAATATTAAATTCCCTTTCACTTATCTGGATCAAGAATGTCTTCTCAAATCCTCTCTCTAATCCAAGAAAAACACTAAAGAAAAATAAGCATACTTATAGGGAGTACAGAAATTGCCACTAGAACCCAAATGACAGCCTGTTTGTTTAGCTTAGAACCAGACCTCAAAAACTAATAGGAGAACAGTCAAACATCTTAGAAGTGCATTTCCAGCAGCCTAGGCAGAGTTAATATTAAATGTTGCACAGAAAGCAAGAGCCCCTACATCCTGCTCTATCATCTAAATTGTAAACTCCACGAGGGCAAGAACCAAGTCTGCTCTATGCCCCGGGTCAACACAGTAACAGGAATGTAAAAAGATGTTAAAAAAATATTTATTAAGTTAATGGATGAAAAAGGGAATTAAGAAAGAAACGTTTTGAAAAAAACAAATCGATATTGTTCTATCTGCAATTGAATTAGATGTGTTCTGGAGGCAGAAGCCTTAACTGGGTGCCAGAGGTAACACTGAGTTCGACAGATGCTGCTACTACTAAATGTATCCTCCATCTCCTAACATTTCTTTCATTGGCTCCATCTTTGTGTCATACGTTTCTTGGCTAAGGTCTTGGCTTTATATTCAAAATAATTAATTTGTTCTTCCTGTGGCTCCATTTTATTTCAGAGCTCTTCTATTTAGTTTTCTACTTTCACATTCACACTTTAATTTTAAAAGCTATTTCTTATTATCTGTTCCTTTTTCTTAGATGCTAATCTTGTTTTAGAGACTCAATATTCTCTCAAATTATTTGGAAGAATTTATAATTTCTATAAGTTTTCCATTATTCCCTAACTAAATTTTGTTTCCTCTCAGGTCAGGGGGCTGTTGTTGCTGCCGTTGTTGTTGCTGTTGTTGTTGTTGTTTTAAATTCAGTCCTATACATTCACTGTTTTGAATCTTCCTCAAATATCTTGTGATTGATGGTTCACATAAATCAATAAGAAATTGGTTTAATTAATATAAAGGTCTTGCATGGGACTTTTCTGAAATTCTTTATCTTTCCCAACGGTTTCCCTCCAAAATGAGAGCATTGACTGAAAGTTGTCTGTAGGCAACAGAGACTTGTAAACTGGAAGGGTTACATCAACATGCATGGAAAAATATGAGAACACCTGTTGGCAATATCTCTAAGCAGCCACATAAAAAGTGATTTATCCAGTAGGTCACTTTAGTGCACTCTTCTCTGAGACATAGCTCCTTTCTCCTCTCATTACTTTTCCACCATGGAGATTCAGACTCCTTAGGCTGAGTCCTCTGCTTCACTCTGGGCCTGAAAGCACATTAGTGGCTCTAGCCCTCCATAGACAGACTGTTTTAATTTTAGTGGTTGCGAGGCAGGAGCGACCACTTCTGGAATGGTAAAGTAAGGACCTCCAAAAATCTACTCCTCCATAAAAGCAACCAAAACACAAACAATTGTCAAAATAAACTTTTTCAGAATTCCAAAAGTTAAACAAATGCTTGCAATGTTCCAAGAAGAATTTATTCAAGAAAAATAGCTGAATCTTGCTAAGAACAGTGAGCTTTCTATGCTTTTAAATTGCTGCTTTGGGAAACAGTTTGGTAGTTCCTGAAAATGTTAAAAATACAGTTACCATATGACCCAGCATTTCAACTCCTAGGTATACACCCCAAGAGTACCGAAAACATATGTCTATGCTAAACCCTCTACACCAGTGTTCATAGTAACATTATTCATATCAGGCAAAAAATAGAAGCAGCCCAAGTTTTCATCATCTGTTGAATGGATAATAAAACGTGGTACATCTATACAATGGAATTTTATTTGGCAATAAAAATAAATGAAGTTCTGATACATGCTAAAATATTGTGGAATCTTGAAAACATTATGCTAACTGAAAGAATCCACTCACAATAAGTTAAATATTGTATGATTCCAATTACATGAAATAGTGAAAACAGGCAAATCTATAGAAACAGAAAGTAGAAGTAGACAGTGCTTGCTAGCCCTAGGGTAGAGGAAGGAATAGGGAATGATTGCTAGAGTGTGTGCGTTTCTTTTGGGGATAAGGACAAATGTTCTGAAATTCCATAGTGGTAATAATGTACAACTCTGTAAATATATTAACATTCATGGAATTACGTACATTAAAAGTGTGAAACCTACAGTATATGAATTATATCTCAATAAAGTTGTTGTAAAAACATTTCAGTAGATGACAGTTTTTACCTGGGGCAAAAATACTATTTAAAAAAGACATATTAAGGTGAGATTATTGCAATAATTTCTGTCTTTTAAGCTTCACAGAGGACACTTCACAGATTTATTTGCTTCTACCTTTATTCATTCTAAAATTACTTCTGGGAGTATAATCTCACAATTGCAAACAGTGGATGACATACGTGTATGTGTGTGTGTGTGTGTGGGTCTGTGTGTGTTACCAAATGAGTATATTAGTTTATTTATTGTCAAATGATTATACTTTGTTATGAAACACTTGAATACTAATAGTTCCTCTAAGTGCTTCATGTGGAATAACTCACTGAATGTTCAAAGCTATTCTATGAGGTTGGGACTATCATTAACCATAGGAAAAAAACTAAAACAGAGATAACTTAATGAGGCCAAGATCACAGATAGAGTAAATAAAATTTGAATCTAGACAGGCTGGCTCCAGAGTCTGTGCTTTTATCCACTTGCTGTGCTGCTGCTGTAATAAAAAATTTTAAAGAGTACGTTAAAAGTAATACAGTAAGTAGTTATGTTGAAGACATCACAAATATACAACACAGAGAAGATAAAATAAAACAGAACTAAAACCAATCCCTTCATGTTTTATAATAAGTTATTACAGCTTGGGATATAATTTCAGTGATAACAAGTTAGAAGTCAAAAGAAAGAAGATGTGGTCTGAAACTGTTGAGTGACTCAAAAAGTGGATCTAATAATGAAAAACACTGATATTGAAGATGCATGTAAAACACTGAAAGATTCTTCATGAAATATAAGAGCAGAAAAAAGTAATATGGTTGGCCCTTGAACAACGTGGGGTTTAGGGGTGTCAACCCCCATGCAGTTGAAAATCTGCATTTAACATTTGACTCCCTCAAAAATTAACTACTAATAGCCTACTGTTGACTGGAAGTCTTACAGATAACAGAAACAGTCAATTAACACATAAATAAACTAGTACTTACATATATTTTATACATTCATGACATACCTAACTTTTCTTAACTTTTTTGATATTGCTAGACTAATTGGTTCATCTGAGTTTATTCAAATTGTTGCAAATGTCCAAAAAATTTTCCAACATATATAGGAAAAAATCCACGTACAGACGGACCCCACAGTTCAAATCCACACTGTTCAAGTATCAACTGTTTATTTAAATAAGTATATGTGATTTATATAACCTACATAACAAAATTAATAAAATAAAATGTTAAATAGCTATTTGAGTCATCTACAATGATGTATATGAAAAAGTGGGAGAATCACTTTATGTTCAAGATTACCTTTCTTTGAAGAAAGAAGCAACTCATCAAATTTTTATTTAAAACATCCAAAAAACAACTGCTGGCTATTCTTATACCCCGTGAAGTAATACACTGACAGTTCACCAACAAATTTGGATATGTCAGGGAGCCAAACCTTAACAAAATTCCATTTTACTTTTTATTTTATTTCCAGTACTACTTCGTTTTATTTGACTTTGTCATGTCTGCCTTTATTATGCAGTGACTTGCAAGAAAACGTAAAATCTCAACCATGACATGAAAACCAAATAGAATATTATGATCTCTTTGTAGGTTTGACAATGTATTGCAATTTGACATAGGGGTTGACATAACCCACCAAAGATACATGCTCTCTATTTTTAATTTTTAAATAAGTCTTGTCATCGTATGTTCAAATCTTTATTCCTCAAGCATCTCCAAGACACAGGGTTTACTCTCATTCCTAGGCTGTCAGTCAAGGGGGTCCTGGTTCTGCCTCCCTGACAAACTTCCCTCAATAGCTGCTCCCTTTCCACTACAGGCAAATGAACTTCCTGGTATTAAAGAGTACATTACCTGCTATTACATTAAAGATCGTGAAAAAACCACTCATCTTGACAGTACAAACTTGCACCAAACCTCCAACTGAGTCCCTGGGACAGAGTCTGACAGACATTTGCTATAATTGGCTCTGCCACTGAGCTGGCTTCACAATTCAAACATGAAACAAAGCTAACTAAGGAGAAGCAAGGTTGAAGTGTGTTTTGTCCTTTGTTTTTCCTCCAAGCACTCAAAATACTCATTACTATAGAATTTTACGCTCTCGAAGTAAAAACAATTCTTATATAAATATGTAAGTGTGTCTACAGATATACATATGTATATATTCACTTTATGGCGGAAAATGCAAGCCTTATTGGCTATTCTTTTCTCAGAGAAATAAGCATGCCCTACTAATCTTTTTTGAGATTAATTTTCTCTTTGGTCTCCTAGCAGATTACTTCAGGTTACCTGCTTTTCTGCATGGCTTCCATATAACCAACTGTGCCATTTCATTAGCCACAGTCCATTCCTGATGCCTGGAGAGATTACAAGCACTGGTGGCTTTTATTCCATAGGAAAAGCTGTTTCCCACCAGAGAACTGCTCTGTCTGCCTGTGTTAGGGTCAGAATGTTCTAGAGAATACTGTCCTGGGATTCTTGAGCAAGCTGGCCAGTGTGACTCCTGTGTAACAGTGAACTATTATAAGCACTTGAAAACAGACTTTGAATTTTACTGATCTGTATAACATCTAGGCCACCTGCCAGTGTACCTGAGCATAAAGAAAGTTCAATCAGCATTTGTTGAACTTAAATAGTAATTGAGAAAGGGAAGGCCTCAGTTCTACTGATAGCCATTTGGGATCATACAGTTTATTTTTCATTCTTTTTCCACATCTTTAAAATGTCTAGAAAGATCTAACAACCAGCTTACGTGAAATATAGGGCACAGAGAAACAGGTTCAATGAAAATACAGGGATATAATCACCAAAATTCAACATGTGGGAAACTACAGCAAAATTAACCTGGTTTCTTCAACAAATAAATTGTAATGAGAGAGGGGGAGGAAGAGAGAAAGAGACAGAGACAGAACGAGACAGAGACATAAACTGACCTATGGAATTGAAACTATATTTAAGGGACATAACCAAATGTAAAATGTGGACCTCCTAATTTTACCAAAACGTAACATGTGGACCTCCTCTTTTGAAAAAACCAAATGTAAAAAATAAACATAACATTTATGAGTCAATCACGGAAATCTGAACACAGGGCCAGATGCGGTGGCTCACGCCTCTAACACCACCATGTTAGGAGGCCGAGGTGGGCAGATGACCTGAGATCAGGAGTTTGGGACCAGCCTGGCAAACATGGTGAAACCCCATCTCTACTAAAAGCACAAAAGTTAGCTGGGCGTGGTGCATGCCTGTAATCCCAGCTACTCAGGAGGCTGAGGCACAAGAATCGTTTGAACCTGGGAGGCGGAGGTTGCAGTGAGCCAAGATCGCGCCATTGCACTCCAGCCTGGGTGACAGAGTTTCACTCTGTCTCAAACAAACGAACAAAATCTGAAAACAATATTTGAGATTAAGAGAGTACTGTCGAAGTTTTAGAAGTGATAATAGTATAATAACTCTGTATGAATGACCTTATCCATAGATATTGATGGAAATACTTACAGATAAAAATACTATGGTGTTAGGGATTTGCTTTAAAATAATCGTGGAAGGGAGAAAATCGGTGAGGTTATTGAAGCTGGAAGATGCATACATGGTATTTTACTAGACTCTTCACTATAATTTAGTATATGTTCAAAGTTTTAATATGTAATATTAATTGCTATTAATTACATAATCATAATGAATTTGAAGTTTTCAATGCTTAAAATCCATACATTCCCCTCCCTTTGAGCACTTAATGTTACCACTGCATTACCGTTATTTAAACCACCTTGCCTCTTATGTATAACTTTTCCTTAGGCTCTTCCTCAATTCACCAACAGTATAGTACTCCCTTTTCCCACTGAATCCTGAAAACATCTCTGTTACTGCACACATCACATTTTAGCACTGCATTTGTTTATTTCTCACACTAGCAACTTCTTAGTAGAACAAATTTTGAGAAAGAAAATCTTAATTTATTAAGCATAGTATAATAGAAAAATAGTTACATATACCCAAAGTTATTCCTTTGTCATCCTCCCTAATAAATGAGATTACTTGTTTAAGCTTCAGCTCAGTCCATAAAACTCTACCAGAACAAAAGCAGATGCTAGCAAGATGTAGTATCTACTCTATCCCCAACTCAGCTCCTCCTCATTAATAGACAAAAAGGCCATTATTTCATCTTCTCCGAAGTTTTACTACAAAAATAATGTCTATTTACTTTCTTCTAATCCCATCTTCTCACTTTCTCTTTTTAAATTATTATCTATCTCTACTGAATTATGAGCTAACAAGAAGTAAATGCCATTCTTCTTAGTATTCCAGAACTTAGGACAGTGCCAGGTAAATAGTGGATAGCTGTATATAAATATATATAGATGAATGATGAATGGATAGCTGGATAAATATCAAGACTCAATGTAATATTTTTGTTGATTTTTCTGGTTAAATATAAATGCAAAAACCTGCAGTTTTACTGTAAAGAATTCTAAAGGCCTTTAGGTAGGCCAAAATAGAATATATCATACATGAGGGGAAAGGAAGCATATATCTCTAAAATAGCATTTTGTATGTTTAGGAGTACTGCCTTATGGCAAATAGCTAGTTACTCAATTTTTCTTTTTTAAAAAAAGTTCTTAACAGAAGAGTATTTAAAAGTCATCATGACTTTGGGAATTTTAAAGAAGATTTATAGGTATTCAAACTTCACTGTCAATAAAATGTCAAAGCAAGGCCTTATACCTACTAAAGTTAATTTTTTGTTTTATATATTGAGACATACTCTAACAATAAACACTATGCTACCACATAGAATCAGAACAGTGCAGTAGTTTGTCTTACAACATAATCAGTAAATAGTATAACTTTCTGTTAGTTAATAGGGGTAATCTTAACTTTGCAGCCTTCTGGATTGTTAAAGGATGTTTTGATTTACAATATAAACTAAACTGGGCCTATCTTTTCATGGTAAGGAAATTGACCAGTTTATGTATAAACCTACTCTTGACTAACAGAAATCAGTAAACTATGAGGCCATGCTATTTTTCTTTACTTATACTGTACTTGGAAACATAGTAAAAGTATCTAAAATTGCAAATGAAAAATGATTAAACTCTTAACAAACATATATACAACACAGGAAAAAAGGTACTCACCTTTTAATGAGAACTATATATTTTCTTTATGGTAGTAGTACAATAAGCACACAAATCTCCAAAAGTTACCAAGTCTGGGACACTATAAAAATCAATTTTTCATTCAATGACTGCTCATATCCATTCAGCATGAATTATTGCCTTATTAAGTACCAGAGACTTTTTCTCCCTAACTGCACACCCCATTGTACCAAATCTAGTTAGATGAAGCAGAAACAAATTCATATTTCCTAACACTTATTCAAATTCCTTGGACTAGAAACTGCACTGCTGAGAGTCTTCACATTTCATCAAATTATTCTCCCAGTAAGTTTTTTACTAACAAGGCTCTCCTGTATCATTGCTTTTTTCTTTTTATGAAAAATGAAAGGATCCCCACTAATTTCACAGTACAATGTTTCATTTATTACTCAATCTTGTTTCTTAGTTTATTAAAATTAAAGAAGTATATGCTCTATTATACCACACTATTATATTTAATAGTTAGCTTAAAATGTTAAAAATAAAATTAAAACTACTTTAAAGTACCTTTAATAGATATTTCTAAAACCCAACTGCTTTATCTTTACTAACTGGCTAGCTACTTATTTCTTAGATTTCTAAAGTCCTGCTAGAAACATAATAAGGGTAGATAGGCATTAGCATTATTATCTACCATATACATACATATTTTTAGGATCTTCCCAGTGAGAATTATAAGCATCACATCAGCAAATAGAATGTGATTTTTTAAATACAATAAGAAAAATAGCACCAAGAAAACCCAAACTTCACCATGAAAAGAACATCCCTTTTTACCACTACAATTGTTATATTAGACTTTCAAATTAATTTCAGTAAAAAGAAAATAGTGACGGAAAACCAATACTGGTTAAACTAACTACAAGAAGGAATTTTACTTGGAATGTAAGAGCCTCATTGCTCCAAATCTTACTTGCTGTGAACTAGGGATAATCAATAAACTCTTAATAACAGTTCGAGTTTACATTTAACACAAGAGATGGCTGCGATCTAAAAATCATTGTACATTAGTTCGGTTTCCTTTCTTTGTTGTTATTGTTGTTTTTTGACACAAGGTCTCACTCTGTCAGTCACCCAAGCCGGAGTACAGTGGTGTGACCATGGTTCATTGCAGCCTTGACTTCCCAGGTTGAAGTGATCCTCTTGCATCAGCCTCCCAACTAGCTGGGACTACAGCCCTGCCCCACTATGCTCAGGTAATTTTTTAATTTTTTGTAGAGACAGGGTCCCACTATGTTGCCCAGGTTGGTCTCGAACTCCTGGACTCATGTGATCTCCTACACCTTGGCTTCCCAAAGACTGACATTACAGGCATGAGCTACCACATCCAGATCATTAGTTATTATTAAAATTCTGCTGGGGAGGAGAGATATATTCAAAGACGTATGGGTAATAATTTTGCCTTCTTCCCTAGGATCAAGATGAATATGGCTTTTCTGTTTCTGAATTTGTTGTAAGAAACAGAAGAACCTAAAGTTTCCAAAACTTCCTTAAGTGGAATGCAGATATCATTGCAGTAGTGTGTGTCGTTACTTTGGGGCTGGTAATGCAAGCCTTGAGAATACCAGAGCAGCAACAAAGCTGGATAATAACATTCAACTCTGGCTGCCTCTGCTTCTGGGGAGAATGTCACTGGCAACTGCTTATCCACTAGGAAAGAGAGAAACGAAGAAATATTCACTCTAAATATACTATTTAGATCTTCTCTGGGTAGGCATTTTCCTTCTTGGAATAAATAAATTGGAACATTAGAATAGGTGAACTAAGCTCTCTTCTAACCAATCTCTAAGCCATTTGAAATGCCAATGTGGTCAATAAAAATTTTTTCACTAGAAAGCCTTGCATTTATATTCCTCTGTCTCTCTGTCTGTGTATATATATAATTGCACATAAATTTCCATGAAAATGGAAACTTGTGTGCATTGTCATGGAAATTTATATGCAATTATATATATATATATACACACACACAGACAGTCATGTTTTCTACTGAACAAAAATAATATATACTTTTAAAAACTTTTCATTGTTGCATAACATAGATATTGTAAAGTGTAAAAATTTTAGGCATAGCTTCGATGTATTTTCATGAAATGAACTCATTTATGTCCACCATTCCAGGAAGCTTCCCTTACACCCCATCCCAGTGATTTTGCCTCTTTAAAAGTAACAAAAATTTTAAACTCTGCCATTTTAACTTTGCCTGTCTTGGAACTCATAGAGATGAAAATATATAATACATACTATTTTGTGTTTGACTTATTTGCTCCAGATTATACCTGTGAGATTTATCCATGTTCTTTGTGTTGTCATAGTTTGTGCCTTTTCATTGCTCTATAGAATTTAATTTTATATCTACAAGATTTTTATTATTTCTATTCTTGACAGACATTTCCATTGTTCACAGTTGATTTAAAATAATACTGTTGTAGACACTCTTGTATAGATTTTTTGGTATAATTACACACATTTTTTGGTTTGGACTGTATTTAGGATTAGAATAGGTGGGTCATAGGAGATGCTTAAGTTCAGCTTTAGACTAGGCTGTCAACAGTTTTTCAGAGTGGTTATACCAACTTACATTGCCATCAGCACCTTAAAAGTTCTAGTTGCTCCACATCTTCCCTTTCCAATACTTAGTATTTTAAGTTACTTTACTTTCTAAATATTAAATTTTAATATTCAGGCATTTTGTTATCTGCTAATGTTAGTCCTCCAACTTTATTCTTCTTTTTCAAGACTGACCTGGTTACTCTTGGGCGTTTGCATTTCTCCCACAAAATCCTGTTGAATATTTAATTGGGATTACATTAAATCTATACTCAGTTTGCTAAGTCGACATTGACACAATTCATAAACACATGATATATCTTTCCATTTATTTAGGTTTCTTTTAGCTTTGAAATGTGTGCACAGGTTTTACAAAACTTTTATTCTTCCTTAGGTATTTGATGACTTTGATGCTAATATTAATGTCGTCTTTTAAAATTTTCATTTTCTAAGTCTTTCAAGCTAGCACAGAGAAATACAACTGACTTTGTGTGCAGACCTTGTATCTAGTATTTCCTACATGCTTGGAACACCAGACTGGTGAAGTCTTCTAGGCCTGAGATTTTTTTTCTGTGAGGAGGTTTTTATTTATAGAGTTTATTTTCTTAATAGATATGACTATTCAAATTTTCTACTACTCCATGTGTCAGTGATGAGAAGACGTGATTTTCAAGAAGTCTGTCAAGTTCACTTAAAAGGTGTTCAATATCACTGATCAACAGAGAAATGCAAATCAAAACCACAATGAGATAACATCACACTCTAGTTCAAATGGCTTTCATATAAAACATAAGGCATTAACAAATGCTAGTAAGGATGTGGAGAAAACAGAATCCCTGTGCACTGTTGGTGGGAATGTAAATTAGTACCGCCACTACAGCGAACAGTTTGGAGGCTCCTCATAAAACTAAAAATAGAACTACCATATGATCCAGTACTCCCACTGCTGGGTATATAGCCACAGGAAGGAAATCAATACACCAAAGAGATATCTGTATTCCCATGTTTGTTGCAGCATTATTCACAATAGCCAAGATTTGGAAGCAACCTAAGTGTCCATCAATTGATGAATGAATAAAGAAAATGTGGTACCTATACACAGTGGAGTACTCTTCAGCCATAAAAAATAATAAGATCTTGTCATTTGCAACCACATGGATGGTTCTGGAGGTCATTATGTTAAGTGAAATAAACTAGGCACGAAAAGACAAACTTCACATGTTCTTACTTATTTGTGAGAACTAAAAAAACAATGCAACTCATAGAGGTAGAGAGTAGAATGATGGTTACCAGAGGCTAGGAAGCATATTGGAGAAGGAGTGGGGATGGTTGGTTAATGGACACAAAAATATGGTTTGATAGAATGAATAAGATTTAGTATTTGATGATAGTACAACACTGTGTCTACAGTCAACAATAATTTATTGTACATTTAAAAACTAAAAGAGTGTAATTGGAGCATTTGTAACACAGAAAGAATAAATGCTTGAGGTAATCGATATCCCATTTACCCTGATGTGATTATTACACATTGTATACCCATATCAAACTATCTCATGTGCCCCCTAAATATATATACCTACTATAAAGCACAATTTAAAAAATAAAATAAAATAATAAATATTAAAAGAGAAAACCATAATTAAACAGTGAACACATTTTCTGGATATTATTGGTGATTACACGACATTAACTTACTGTAGTTGTCTGCACAAGCAGCACAAATCTGGCCCCGATGACATCATTAAAATATATTACTATTAGCACTACATTTCTGTCAGAATTTTTATTACAGTTTCCTAGCTTGTGAGCTAGAAACTCTCATCCCATACTCTATATACAAAAATAATACTTTATTATATTTTTATTATTCCAGAAGCAAAAACACATTTTGTTAAAAACTCAGAAAAATGTAAAATAAGATTACAGTATTGTTTACATGTCAAAGAAAATATATTCCAATATTTTCAACTCTTCAAAGTACTCTGATTATAGGTAGATATAGGTAGATAGATATAGATACACATATAGAGAGAATCATCAAAGACTGTTGCATACCAAATAAACTCAACACTAATGACAGTAAAAACATAATTCATAAGGGTGAGATTTTTAAATTGTATAATATAATCCATTATAGCACTTGCAACTAAACACTGTTCACTACATACAGAAAGTAGTGACAATTATGCCTTGAGGTAATGATGTGCTCTTACAATTGCTAAGAGTAATTTCTAAACGAAAAACTGTTATAAGATGCAAATTTAACTTTCATCCAAAACTCTAGTTTTTCGAATCACGGTTTTCAGTTCTTTTAGGACATTCCCATACTCATGGGTGCTATACAACTGTCTATGATACTGTTTCTAAACAGGTTAAGAAGTTATATTGCATATACGTTTTTTCAAAGATCCACAAATACATATTGTGTTGAATAATGTAGATAACAAATGGGGTTATTTATTCCAGTTTTCTTGAATTATCAAACTGAAGAACAAATAATTTGTTCTGTGAGTAATATCTAAGTTTCCATTCCAAACTATTCAGCCCAAGCTTAATATAAAATCTAACTGGAAATCAAGGACTAGTCTAACCTTTCTCCAATAGATGCTTTATGATTAGAGTATCGATGAAATAAACATAACCAAAATTAAATGGAGAGTCTTCTCTTCTTTTATAAGCATATGCTTAATATCCACATACTTATTCCACCAAATGTCATAATGTACCTTTAGAAGTTCTAAACTAGGTCACATAAAATTATAAGTGTTTTGAAATTTAAAATGTTTCTGGCAGCATTCTACTAAGAAAGGGTATTTTCGGTTCAAGTTGATGCTGATGATTTTATTTATTTATTTAGAGACGGAGTCTCGCTCTGTTACCCAGGTTGGAGTGCAGTAGCATGATGTCGACTCACTGCAACCTCCGCCTCCCAGATTCAAGTGATTCTCCTGCCTCAGGCTCCCAAGTAGCTGGGACTACAGGCATCTGCCACCACGCCCAGCTAATTTTTGTATTTTTAGTAGAGATGGGGTTTCACCATGTTGGTCAGGCTGATTTCGAACTCCTGACCTCATGATCCACCCACCTCGGCCTCCCAAAGTGCTGGGATTACAAGTGTGAGCTCCCACGCCTGTCCTCAGGTCGATGCTGATGATGTTTATACTTTAAAACATTTATCTGGTTGATGTGTTTTGCTTGAAAAAACAATAACCTTTTCTGTAATATTTTTAACTTCTCCAAATTAAGAAAACACTCAGCCAGCAAAAATAAATTCACTAAACAAAAGGAAGGAAACAAAATAAATTAATTTTGAAATAAGCTAACTGCCTTAAATGGGGAATAGAAGGCCTGTGTTTTGTTTCTAAATTTTTTACCAATTTGTCATGAAGGCTTACATGAAGAAATGAACTCTTAGACAAGCACTGTCCAACAGAAACATCAGGTGAGTCATATATGTAATATTAAGTTTTCTAACAGACACATTTAAAAAGGAAAAAAAGTGAACTTTTGATAATATATTTTACTTAATATACCTCAAATATTATTACTTAAACATGTAATCAACATAAAAAGTATTAATGGGGTATCTTACATTCTTTTTTTTATTACTATGTCTTCAAAATACAATTTGTATTCTATCCTAGGGCACATCTCAATTCAGACTAGCTGCATTTCAAGTGCTCCAAAGCTAATGGTATCAACTTGCACAGTGCAGCTTCACACTTTTGGTTCTTCACTTACTAAATCATATGATTCTTAAGGGTATTTTAGTACTAGTTTTGTAAAATTCTAATCGTGGTTAAAACTGATCAGTGATGAGAGATGCTAAATTCTTCTTCATCCCATAAATATGAGCAAACACAATAAATCAGTATTAAATATATCCAAAAAAATGCAATAGCAAAATACAGGCAAATTTCATTTATGTAATTTATGAAAGTATGCCATAAGTATGTTTGTATTATTATAAATAAGTTATCCAAAAATATTATAACGCTATAATAAAATGCTTCAGAGAACTGCTATACATAGGAAAAAGGATAAATCCCACTAACAAACCTTTGAGCAGTGTTTTTGCTTAGGTTTATACATATTAGAGTAGTCTACTGCAATTTCTATAGATCACATATGCAGTTTACAAGAAGCCTGTATGGACACTAAAATTTAAATCATACATGTTTTAAGGCTGGTATGGTGAGTAAGTCATTTTGCATATAAGTGAGTAAATTAATTAACATCTATGACTCAACTGGCTCTTTACTCTTTATCACATATATGTTGAGTACTCTCTGTTAAAAGTTTAATGACTTAAATTTTTATTAAGATAGAAGGCTATAAATTCATGAGCTAAGTATGTCATTTAGGAAGTTAGACAATGAGAAATAAAGTAAAAATAAAGGTAATTGAAAATAATAACAAAGATATGAATAAAAATTAAAGAAATATAAAGTAAAAGTAAAATTAAAAAATATAAAATAAATATAAAAATGAAGAAATATAAAATATAAGATAAGATTAAACAGGAATCACAAAACAAAAAGTTAATTCTTTGAAAAAACAAAGAATTCAGATAAACTTCTGACGAGTTTGAAAAATTAATAAGAGAGCCAAATAAATATTAGAAATTGAAAAGGTAACATAATCAGAGATTTAACAGAATTAAAAGATATAAAAGAATTCTGTGAATAATTATCTGCCAATAAGTTGAAAAAATGTCATTAAATAGAAATATCTTTATAAAATATAGTCGATCTCAACAAAGAATAAAAATACAAATAAATATACAACTTTTAAATAAATGGAATTATTTCCTTAAAATCTTTCCATAAATACAACAGACTCCGAGATTTTTAAATGCAAGTTTTATCAGACTTTCAATATCCAAAGCATTTCAATCTTATACTTTTCTAGAGAATGAGGGAGAAGGGCATGGAAGGGAGGAGTGATTTATTTCCCAACTCTATGAAGTCAATATAGCTTTGACGACAAAACAGAAAATGACAATAGAACAAAAAATAATATGCCCTCTTACTCATGTATGTATATGTAAATATCCCGAACAAAATGCTATAAAAATAAAATCCAGTGATACATAAAAACATTTCTACTGTTTGACTAAGCTAACTTTTAGGACTACAAGGGGATTATAATTAAAGGAACTATAAATGTCATTTACTATATCAACATTCTATAAGAAAAAATTATAATTATCTCAATAGATATAGAAAAAAGTATCTGATAAAACTGATTACTCAGTTATGGTTAAAAAAATAGCAAATCAGGAAACGAAAAAGATACCCAAAATAACCTTCAGTAATGATGAATGTTTTAGGTATCCTATCATGGTATATTCAAATTTCACAAATGCTTCAGAGCACATTCCTCAAAATTCAAGGATGTGAATAATAAGTATGCTAAACAAGTGTATTGTATGGAGTAACAGTATTAAATACCAATTTGCTCAAAATAGTAGCGAACAGACTTCAGGACATTCATTATCTACAAGGTTTTTGATCCTAATGAATGAAATGTCTACTGCAAAGAAGCAATTTATTCATTTCATTATAAATAATTTTATTGACAGGACAATTTTTAAGACAACCTGACAAACTAAAATGTCTCCACTTCAAATAAAGTATCCAACATTTAAAAAAAATTATATTACGATATGCTTTAAATAGAATTCTGATGCTGAACTCCGTAATATGTGAGTATGTGTGAGTTACCACTTGTGTTTAATAACTGTTAGATGGCTAATGTTAGTCCAAATGACGGTCTGCTCTGGTTAACACACTAAAATTGTTTATATCAAAATCAGAAAATCAATGATTGCAAACCAAACCAAAAGTAAGGTCATACCAGTAGTTTTTATATTTATTGATAAATAAATTATTGATCGCTAATATGTTGTTAAAAATTATGTCTTTTACATCTCCCTAAATGCATTACATGTATGTATTTCCAATGAGTTTTTAAAATGTCCAAGACATGAAATTTAAAAGAATCTTGAAGAAATTTATTAAACACTGAAATTTGATTATAATTTTACGAATTTATTCCTGAACTCATCTCAAGGAGCAATGACCTCAGGTAAACACGCGCTCTTAGAGTCATATGGGATAAAGAAGTCTGGCAAGATTAAAAAGGGAAAATGTGACTTTTTAAATGACAATAAGTATAACACAAATATACTAAAGTTCATAAAAATATATACTACAGTCATCAAATGTAGTCACCTACTCAGTTCAGGGAGGGCATATCCTCCACAGGGATTCATCCATTCTCCATTTTAAAATTGATTTTAACTTTACAGAAGGCATGTTTGTGAATCAAGGAGGATTCCAGATTTTGAGCGAGTAGTTTTTTTTTTTTTGCCCCATTGTGTTTGCCAAGCCCCATTGTTAGATAAAATTTCCAGCTAGAAGGTATGCTCTTGCCAATGACTTTCTCCTGACCAAACTCTTGTCAGAATCCTCTGATCTCCGCTTGACTAAGCCTCAAACTTGGTGGATAAAAACTGCAACCTCTTCCCACAAATGATTTTGTCTAGACACCCCCGCCCTCACCAACATAAACACTAAGAGACTTGAACAAACACTAACATAGTTTCTAACTGCTCAAGGCCACAGCCCTAGGATGACCCCATCCCACCTTAGAGCGCCTGCCTGAAAAAAGCTCAACACTGCCAGGAGAACTTGCTGTTTGTTTCAGCCCCAAACCAGATAGGCCCCTGAACCCTGCTCTTATAGAGCAGTTGCTTTAGAAAGCTTGCAATTATAAATGCTTTTTTGCCCTTTGGGACAATCTGCTACCCCAAACTGTTTCCTCAAGGACCTGAGCGCTCTATGAGATGCAAACATTCTGGGAGACAACTGTCACTCTCACTCCCAGACCCTGTGGGAGTTAAGGCCCAACTTCGAGTGGGCACCTTGCTCTAATACCATTGCCTCCTGTCATAAAGATAGATTGCTTCTCCTCTGGAGAGGCGTCAATTAACAAACCCACGTGGCTTCATCACATAGACCAACCCCTTAACACCCCTCAGTGCCAGTCCCTGGCCTCTAAAAAGTCTCCAGCTTTTTGTTTTGGTGAAGTTGAGTTCAATTCATGCTGGACTCACTTCCCTACTGCAACTATTTATTACCGAATCAAATCTCTCCTCAGTGCTTTAACTAGTGTCTAGCTTTGTTTATCCTTGACACTCTGAAAAAAAGTTGATAATCCCCTAACTGTCAATATTCTGGAAGTTAGTCTCAATTCTGTCATCTGTATGTCTCTGCCTTGTCATAGAACATTAAATTAAACCCTAAGTGGCTTGTGTGGATTGGTATCAGTTGGAAACTTAGCTGGTGGAGTTTCATGAGCTTTAGATGAGGGTAGGAAGGGATAAGGGGCTTGATAGATTTTCTATAGGTTTTGTGTGCAGCGCAGCCAGCTAGACTTGAGATGCAGTGGATGATGCCCCAACCCAGGGACTCTCCAAGGGAAGGTTTTTTAGGGAATTCGGTCTATAATCCAATAGTCTGATATCTCTTATTGAGAATGTCTTTGTTCTAAAGTAACTCAGCTTTGCTATATCTCAGGGGAGACTAGGCTGTTGTTACCTTAACTACAGATGTAAAGACTAGAATAGATGGGGAGGAGACCAAGAAGGAGCTTTTCCTACTATACTGGAACAAGCTATAGCACAAAAGATCTGAAATAGCTGTAAGAAGAAAGTACTATGCAGTAAGCAGAACATAACATTTAGAGGATTAAAAACAGAACACTGGTAAAGGCATAGTATGACAATAGTTATAAAAAGGGAAGGAAAGTAGGAGAGGGGGAGGGAGAAGGGGAGGGAGGGGAGGGAGGAGAGGGAGAGAGGAAGGAAGGAAGGAAGGAAGGCAGGAAGGCAGAAAGGCAGGAAGGCAGGCAGGCAGGCAGGCAAGAAGACAGGCCAATTGGCCAACTTCAGACATAGTATTAGGTCGGCGCAATTACTTTTGCACCAACCTATTGCAGGGAGTGCTGACAACAAGGTAGAGCTCTGGGAAATCAAAAAGTGACAGAAAGCCAGCTAGAAAGACAAGTAAGCAGCAGAGGGAGTCCTGTCACTAAGTGGATGGGACCCATTCACAGGACATGTTGTGAGGAAGCACTGGGTCACTAGGACCCATTCACAGGACATGTTGTGAGGAAGCACTGGGTCACTAGGGAAGTCACCATAAGCTCAGAGATTGACACCAGATGGATTTACCAGGAATGGGATGAAAGAGTGGAGTGATCCCACAGCAAGACATAAAGAGCCCAGTTATCAAGAACAGGGTAGTGATACAACAGTACACAGTGACCTAATAACGCTGAGGCCCAGAAAACTGGATCCAGTTTAAATCTATGAACTTTACTATCAGATGAGTCAGAAAAGCAAAGGAAGGGCATAATTAATTATAGGAATCAGGCCAGGCTCACAAACATAGCATCTGTCAAGTTTTGAAGTCACTTAATTCAAACAAAGATCTTGGAAGGGACATGCCATTTTGTCATTTTGTTGTGAGCTGATTAAAAAAAATTTTTTTTGCTAGGTTATTTATTGTTTTGGGTGTGGTTTTTGTAGCTTTCTTTTTTTCTAATTATTTTTTACTGTAGAGAAATACACATAGCATAATATTTACTATCTTAATTATATTTAAGTGTAGCATTCAGTGGTATCAAGTACATTCACATTGTTCTGTTACCATCACCACCATTCATATCCAGAACTTTTTTCATCATATAAAACAGAAACTCTGTACCCATTAAACAGTAATTCCACATTCCACACTCCCCACATCCGGGGCCCCTGGCAACCTCCATTCTTTCTGTCTTTAAGGTTTTGACTATTCTAGGTACCTCATACAAGTAAAATCATACTGTATCTCTCTTTCTGTGACTGGCTCATTTCACTTGGCATAATGGCCTGAGGGTCCATCTATACAGTAGCATATGTCCGAACTTTCTTCTTTTTTAAAGCTGAATGACAGTCAATTGTACATATACACCACACTTTGCTTATTAATTCATCTGTCAATGGATATTTGGGTTGCTTCTGCATTTTGGCGATTCTGAATAACATGCTATAAATGTGAGTATATAAATATATCTTCAAGACCCTGCTTTCAATTCTTTTGGATAAATTACCAGAAGTGGAATTGCTGGATCACAGGGTAATTTTATGTTTAACTTTTTGAGGAAATGCCATACTATTTTCCACAGTGGCTATTTATTTTTTAATGCATTTAAGCTATTTTACTATTTTAACTGATTTCATTAGTGTTTTGCTTATTTTTATCTACTTATTTTATTTAAAAGTTCAGTTTTAAAAATCGTGATTTACTTGTTTCAAGTGATAACAAGGAACAATCAGGATAAGGATAATAGACTTGTGATAAGCCCTTGACTGAAGCTGGGGTTAACTCTACAAACACCTTCACAGCACCAAAACAAATCTCCCATACTCATTCTGGGTCATCTCTTGGCTCCTAGGAAAAAGACTGACAGCATCTTGAGATCAAATTGCAGCTCTGCCTTCTACCATTTGAAGGCCAAGCCCCCGGCAAGTTATCAGGATTATAGTGCATTCTCAATTAATATAGGTTTTGATTAATATTAATGATTGCTCTCAGCCAATCAGCAGAGACTAAGACTGAAATTTCTCTCATAAGTGAGTGATATATTCATCCTCAAAGAGAGCTCAATAACCTAACTAGGATTGTGTCATATCATTTCGAAGAATATTTAGTCCTTAATTATAATCTTAAAATGACAAGAAAAAAGTAGCAATTCATATTTTAAAATTATTTCATTTAAACCCCATGAGTGAGGTTAATAATAATGGAAGGATTATTATCTCCATTTCATAGATTAAGAAATTGATGCTTAGATGGGTATCTTGCCTAGTTAATTAGTGACAAAACCTGACTCTAACCCAGGAACTTCAATAAATGAAATCTATAGTCTCTACATAGATTTAAATTCTAGACAATCAAAATCTAGTCCTTAAACTGTCTATGAAGTTCTTATCCAGAAGTATAATTATTTCACTAAGAAACTAGGATTCCTCCCACCCTGGCCTGCTTGAAAGTAAACTTTATTATTTATTATATTATACTCTCTCCTATCCTTTTAAATAATGTCTTAAGTTACATAAAAAGAGAAGCAAATATACTTTAACAATCAAGGAGCACCTGGGATTTCAGAGCTTCCTTCCCACAAGTGGCCTCCATTACCCTAAGGTAGTGCCAACTGCAGAACATTAGAGTTGGTTAATTCGTGCCCCACACATACTGTATTAGTTTCCTAGGGCTGCGAAAACAAAGCACTACAAACTGGGCGGCTTCCAAGAGAAATTTACTCTCTCACAGTTATGGAGGCCAAAGGTCTGAAATCAAGGTGTCATCGGGCTACATTTCCTCCAAAGTCTCTGGGGAAGAATTCTTCCTTATTTTGTCTAATTTCTGGTGGTTCCAGTCATTCCATGGTTTGAGGCTGCATCACTTCAACCTTTGCCTTTATTTTGCCTATCCACTGCTTTCACCTCTTCTCTGTGTGTCTCTTCTGTGTCTCCTTCATAAAGATACCTGTCATTTGATTTAGAGCCCACCTGGATAATCCAGGATAATCTCATCTTGAGGTCCTTTAAATTGCATCTGCAAAGATTCCTTTTCCAAGTAGGATGAAATTCACAGGTTCTGAGAAATGGACACATCATTCGGAGGGGGGGCAGGTCACCATTCAACCCACTACACCACAGAAAAACCCAACACTATCACAAGCCCATGTGAAGCTGTTATGATGCATATCACTTGGCAATGTTCTACCATTTAGTCTGATCTCTTATTTACCACTTTACAATTTTCCCATGTGAGGGGACTTGATCTGACCACGTCATGAACCACACCTGCTCTCATCAAAGCCTGTCTTTAGATCTTTCCTCTGATTATGTCCAGGAATATACAATTTCAGCTACTTTTGACTGGACCCTAACTAACTGATTATCACCATGCTCTGTTCTGGACTGTTTTTATGGGTTCCCTGCTGACTCCACTCATCAACCACAAATCCAAAACATTTCTTTTTCACCATAAAGAAGCAGTCTGCTCTGCGAAAAATGACCATACATCCCATTTTGCACAAAACCTTGCTGGTTTACCTGATTTTTCAGCATACTTCAAGCTCAAGATTATATGCACATCCTAACTCAGGTGCCCCTCAGCTTCAAACCAAATAATATCAGAAGGTTACCAACTGAAATCATATTACCCCAAACTCCACAAAACAAATGGATTGTTGCAGTTTCCCTTACCTTTAGTGTATTGACGAACATGCTTCCCAATGACTAAATTATCTTCACCGGGATATAATATAAGGGAGAATCAAGTATTAGGCTTACTCTCTAATATCCTTCTAAGGATTTAACATCATGTGCCTCAAAAATAGCTGGTCCTAAGAACACAACAAGAGCCTGTTGTGTTTACTCGGAATCCTCAGTAAAATAATGTTGAAAGAAAGAATGGCTGTAGTGATTTAAGTTAACATCTAAGATTTGGCTTCTGAGCTATTGGGTATATGCAATATGAATTCTTTCATGAACCGGAATAATACCTTTTCCATTAACTACTCTGCTTATTTTTTTTATTTTGCAGATCTCTGCCTACCAACCTAGGTGTTGTTTTGTTGTTGGTGTTGTTTTTACACTTGAAAGAAACTTAGAGATTTCTACTTACTTTATTCAAACAGTAAAATTTTTGCATAGGAAGTTTTCAGTCTTAATAAATTTCATTAAGGTCTATAGAACACTGGAAGTATGTAGCTTTGTGGCAAAATTCGAAACTTGATTTTCTGCTGGATATGTTGTCTGTAAAAATGGACTTAATTTTGAGTGTTAAAATCACTTATAAATATGAATTTAACAATTTGAAAAAATGATTTGCAAAAATAATCCAATTATTTGTGATTGTTTTTTACTTGTGGGCTTTAAGTTCTGTTTTTTTTTTCTACAGACCTGAACCTTTGCTTTTATTTGAGCATTCTAAACTCATTTAGCTGGAAAACCAAATTCCCCGTGGTCCCATTATGTACGTTGCTAAGCAAACCATCTAGCAGCATCTATAAACAGGAGGTTTGGATGTGAGCCAGTCTTATAAGTTGAGAGTAGGTCAGTGCATTTTAAACCAGCACATCATTAATGAAGAAAGGTGTCTTGCTGCTAAACCAGTTTATATTTTTTGGGGGCAAATATACACATTTATTGACCTATGCTAAATTGATTTTGCTTTTTTACCCCTGCCTTTGAAGCACCTTCCATATTGCTATATAGATTTTACTTAACAAGGACTTCCCTAATTTGAAAAACAGATCTAAAGATAATCTTAAAGCTCTACTTGTATACTTTTCAAGCAAAGCTGTATAATATACTCTATCCCTTCCCTACATTCTTTCTGTAGGAAATAATTTGTCATGAGTAAATAATCTGGCCTTTAAAACTGACACTAAATGGAAAGATGCTATGGCTTTTGAAATGCATATTAGATCATCTGTTACCAAATTAAATTGGTATCAGTTTGCAAGGAGTACCATAAGAAAGTACTACAAACCGGGTGCCTTAAACAACAAAAATTTTTGTCTCAGTCTGGAGGCCCAAAAACAAGGTGTCTTCATGTAATAGTGAAACAGCAAAAGAGTTATGAATATTATAACTAACTCCATTTTTGTTAAGGGGCCCTTACCCGATTCCTACACATAGGCAAGGATAATTTTAGAACAGTGAGGTAATTTGCAAAAACAGCAATCATGTAGTTTTTAAAAGTAACGCTGAGATTAAAGGAGAAGTATGTATACAACTATATATTTTGTTAAAGATTTATAGGAGCATTGTGACCTGACCAAAGAAAAAGACATTCCCAACCTCCTTGGACCCTCCCTGGAGCCCAGATGCCTGCAGTGCAGTCATTAGTTACCTCTTGATCCCAATTCCCAACTCTTTCTCCTTCCCTTCACTTAAAAATAGCCTGAAATTTGTACTGACTTAAGATGGTACTTCAGGACGTTAATCCAAAATTTTCTCAGTTGGCTGATTCTGAAAAACCTGCTTCTCTTCCCACCAAATCTCATCTCTCACATTTGGTTTTTGAGCAGTGAACAACCAAACTTGAGTTTGGGTTACATTCAGGGTTGGTTTCTTCTGAAACTAGGTTTGGTTACATTCAGCGTTCTGAGGGAGAACATGTCCCACGCCTCTCTCTTGCTGGTGGTTTCCTGACAATGACAATCTTTGGTGTTCCTTGGCTTGCAGTATCGTAACTCCAATCTTCCCATAGCATTTGCCCTGTGACTCTCTCTCTGTGTCCAGAGTACCCTGCTTTATAAGAACACAGTCATACTAAATTAGAGCCAACCTTAATGACCTCATCTTCATTTGGTCATCTGCAAAGACCTTTCCAATAATGTCACATTCACAGGTACTGACAATTAGGACTTCATGTTTTGGGGAGACACAATTCAACACATAACAAAATTCATTCATGAAGAAATGTCACAGACTACACTGGCACACCAGTATTTCTACATTTCTATCAGATCCAGTGGTTCTCTTCTTTTATTGTCTCCTTTTGTTTGTTGTTCATGGTGGTATTTGGTTATTTAACTTCCTATATTAGATTTTAAAAGCACCCACGTTAATCCGGTTTCACAAAAGATATGTAGATATAAAAATGATTTGTAATAGCACATCTATATTGCTGATGAAATACATTCATAAGCTGTTTTGTCTATACATATGCATACATTCAAGTAACAGTTGAAACTGCTGAAACTATGTCAGTATATTTTGGCACATATTATGAATTGCCATTTGGAAGAAAAAAACCCAATATTAAAAATCTTTTCTTATAAAAGAATATAAGGTCTCTCTCTCGTTAGTCTTGTTAGTATTATTTTTTCTCCCCTAAGGAAATCCAACAATTATGTTGGGAAATCAAGGCAACCTTCAAACCAGGGAATCTAGATGTACAGGAAACAACAGGTAGATTGGCAAAAAGATAAAGGCCAATTTAAGAGCAGAATTAATTTCTTCTGCAGTGACCCTAGATCACCACAGAAGGGGCAAAAGTCCAGAACAACTGGCAGTAACATAAAATCCAAAAACACAGTTGTTTGAAAGATGGCTGTAGCCAGAATAGGAGCCCACAATACAATAGTTTAGGCCAATACCCTTAAGAAATAAAGCCTGTGGCAGTCATTTCCAGAAGAAATTGATAGCACTGGAAGTGGACTTAGAGAGGTAGAGAATGTGACCAAAAGGTTAGCCCTAGAAAAGATAATCCTACAAATCGACACATCTCCTAGAATGTCAAAATAATGAGGTCTGAGGGTTCCTATCATCTCCCTAGCTCCCAGTTTACCTAAGGTATACATCATCTGTATGTTTTCCCCATACTTGAAAAGATTCTTTTTTAAATTTTTTAATTTTTATAGATTTAGGAGGATCATCGGCAGTTTTGTTATAAGAATACTGCATAGTAGTAAAGCCTAGGCTTTTAGTGTACCCATTACCCCAACAGTGAACAACAGTACCTAAAAGGTAATTTTCAACCTTATTCTCCTTGTGCTTAGAAAGATTCTTAAAACAGAAATATGAGGCTTGAGGTATGTGATCATAGTATATAAGAACACAGTGTTTGTGTCTTATAATCAGGTTATATGAATAGTTCTAATTGCTCAGAAGGCAAGAGAAAACTCTGATTGTGTGTTTGATTGTATTTCATAGGTTTACTTTTACCTCTGAGAAATCAGTATAAAAATCCAAAATCTGTATAAGTATAAAGTGATGAAGGCAATCAGCTTTTCTTCATGAGCATTCTTAGAGCCCTTTTCTAAAAGAAAAAGTATGCATGCAAGATACACACACACACAAAGACATACACAGAGAAAGAGGATATGTGGTGCACACCATGTGGCATACATTTACATTTTAAATTATCATGAATTAAATTTTCCCATGAGGCCTCAATATTGTACTACATTGAAATTATTAGAAACTCACTAGGGTAGCATAAAATCAATGTTTTGAATCATTGACCACAAGGGAAATAATATTTGAGCCTCCTAGTTTTATTAATATCACAATAACTATTTAAATATTTACTCTAAAAGCCCAAAGAGAGAGAAAGAAGCATTAGGGAACAACCTGTATAATATAAATCATTTAAAGCTTTCTCACCTCCATGATCAAATTTCTTTTGCCTCAAAAGAAAACATGGCAAAAAGAACATTTATGAAAAATGTATTACATAAAGTTGGATACTTAAAGATTATAGTCATAATGTATACAGTAAAAGAATCCGGAGGGAAAAAAGATTAATATCCTGAAGAAAATTTACCAACATTCTAATCAGACCAGGATTTGCTTAGAACACATCTGAGGGTGCTCCTTAGACAAGAAGGAATGTGAAGAATGTTTCTTTTAAATTATTACTCTGCTGCTTAAAAAAATGCAGGTAGCTTACACTAAAAGCAGATAGAACTGTAACTATCTACATATATGTAATATAAGTAGATGTATAATAGGTAAAAAAAGATAAAATAAAGAATTAAAAATGCAGGGGCTAAGTAATAAGATGTGGTTAGGGGTGAAGAAAGGAATAACTTGAAAAAAGAATGAGTGGAATATTATGGGTTTGATGAAATATAGGGCACAGGCATTTGGTAATTTATTCTCTGATTTAACAGAAAACAGCATTAATCTCAATCAAAAAAGTAGTATATGCCCAGAAGAATTTCTTCAATATTGTGAATCTATGTATAGTCAAGACTACATTGTGAAGATAAATAAATCACATTTGTCAGTTGCTAAACCTGTTTGCTAAATGGTATAAAATATAAGGGACTTTCATAATATAAATATGCAGTACAGTGCTGGTTCCTAAGCAGACTGCACTCAACATTGAGTGCTTTCGAGACATAAGAAAGGAAACTTAGGAGCTTTATTTATTACTGATATTATATTCATTATTAAATTTAAAGACTGGAACACTCTATGATTTCTTCTTTGCTTTTATTATTATTTTAATTGATACATAATAATTATATACATTCATGGAGTACAATGTTACATTTTCATACATGTATACAACGTGTAATGATCAAACAGGGTATTCAGCTATCTATCACCTCAAACATTTACCATTTCTTTGTGTTGAGAACATTCAAAATCTGCTTTTCTAGCTATTTTAAAATATATAATACATTGCTGCTAATTATAGTCACCCTATCGTGCTAGGGAACACTAGAACTTATTCCTCCTATCTAGCTGTACATTTAAATCCATTAACCAGCCTTTGGCTATCTCCTTCTTCCCCTTTCCTTCCCCTCCTCAAGTAACCACTATTCTACTCTCTATTTCTATGAGATCAACTTTTAAGCTTTCCCATATGAGTGAGAACAGGCAGTGTTTATCCTTCTGTGCCTGGTTTATGTCATTTAACCTAATGTGTTGCAAGCTCATGTGGAGTTTTATATGTCATATTATAAAAGCATTATTAAAAGGCAACCTACCATTAAATTAATTAAAATCAACTTGAAATTGGCAAAATGGCAGAGAACTCATGGTATAATGGTGGAAAAACCACTGTGCCGATAATCTATGTAATAGAACTACTATTTTCTGTATGGCAAAGAGAGAACTGTAACCTGCTGAGGGACTGCTATTGCACCACATGCTATAGACAAATGAACAATACATGAAGTCAGTAAGAATTCCAGCAAAGAATAACTGAGAGTTTAGGTCATAAAAAGCCCCAGGAGATTCTAATTTCCTAGAAGTAGGGCTTTTTCTCAAACATTAATATTACTACTGAAGTGTTGCAGTCATTGGAAGATTTTTAATAACTTGAATTTTCTTTTTCAAAATTTAACATTATTAGATGATGACATCTAAAACCTCAGACTCTCTTTAGATGAAATAAAATTATTATTCTATTTTTCTGATAAATTAATTTCCTAAAAAGTGATTTCTTTAAAAAATCATTGCTAAAACAACTTTCTACCTGAAAAAAATTAATTAACAATACACAATTTTAATCACCTGAATCACTGAATCACTTGTGCACACTTGGCCTCTCACACCCGTTCTGTGAGCTACTTAGTAAACTTTCTAAAGATGCTGAGAACGTTAAGTTAGTGTCTACCCAATAAAGGAGAAACACTGTTATGAGAGTGTATGAATTTTATACATTGCCTGAATCTACTGGTTACAACCACAGTGGTTTGGAGGCTATACACTCGTTCTTTTTCTCAAGTTTGGTAAACAGTTAACTATAATTTGTATGTCCAGACTCAAAGAACAACAGTGAATGCATTTCTGGAGTAACAGTGTCATTTCCAATCCCTAGTAAAACAGCAGATATAATCTTCCTCCTGGGGTGTTTCTTATATTATCAGAAAAACACACTAGGGCTAATAACAGTCCTGTAAATGAAAACTAATCAGTCACAGGACATATCCAGAAAATGTAGATAAAATATGAGGAAAGAAGCTTACCATCATTGTAACATTTAAGAAAATCACAAGCAAATATCTGTCGTTCACTGTTCTGTTCTAAAATTTCAAACTGTTGTTCTAAAAGTATCTACAGTGAAGTTAAATATATTAACAATGCTTACTGAGTTTCTCTTTCAAAGGATTGTCAACATCAACCCTTCTCATAAATGTGAGCCTCCTCATGGGCATCTATTTGTATGGAATAGCATACTTCAATTTTCACTACCTGCCCCATATCATAAAGAAAAATTATACACATACACATACTCATATAAGAATATTTTTTAAAACCGTGGGACCCTGGTCTCAGTTTCACTAGAATAATACTACAATCATCAGTGAACTGGCTATAACCACAGAGACTTTTACTATTTCACAACTGAACAACTCTAAAAGTTTCAGTCCTTTAACATAGTTAATCTCAATGCATACTTACAAATGAGACAGGCAAGGCAGGTAATACAAATCAGAAAGCTGAGGCAGATAGAGGTTTAATAACTTCCTACAGCTGGCGAGTGTCAAAACCTAGTCTTCTGACTCCTAATTCAATGCATATTACCATACATACACACAGGCATATTTACACGCCTTCTGCCTAGAGCCACAGTCTATATTTTTATTGTATGTTTTATATTTTCAGCTCCTACCTCACTCAATGCAAAAAAAATATTACCGAATTTCAAGGTTCAGAGTGGTTACGGGAAATATACAGCCTAAATCTTCTGGCCCTTGTTTGCTTATTCTTAAATTTCATGATTACATTCTCCCTGCTTCAAAAAATTCTATTACCGTATGAAAAACTATTCACCAGCCTTCTATTGACTCTAGTAAAACAATTATTGAAAAAAGGAACAGAGTCCCATAAAGCATGTGCATGGAAACAAATATAATCCCTTCTTGGCACAGATGCACAAACTCAAATTGCTGAGAAAGAATCTGAAAGATATTCTGAAATCAATACTTGTGCAGTAAATGGTCGAAGAAAAACATGCAAGGCAGAAGAGATATACATATAACACTCAGCATTAAAAGAATTCCTTTAAGTGGGCTAGATTTTCCAATAAAGAATATAAAGCCAATAAATCAAACATAAATAAGTCCCTGATGGAATACTAGGCTTACAATATGCACTTAATAATTTCTTAGTACCATTAAAAACCTTTACATTTTATGAAAGCACATACTGAACTCTATTAAACTGAAAATGATTTCTTTTGAAATATATCAGAAATTAAGTGGAAAATCAGAAAAAACTGCTGTTTTCAGAGTCCTCGTTGCATTATGTATTCCGGCTTTATGCAAGAAGATTAGGATTAATTACACAGCATCCTAATTACTGTCTTTCTTCCATTTCTGACTCATTTAGAATGTGGGCAAGCAGATGGCCAAGGAAAAGGTCTTACAATAACAGGCAGCGTTTTCCCCATCTTAGCTTAGCCACATTCAAGAAGAAAACACAAGTACCTCCATCATTCCTAACTATAAACTATAAGCTCACTGAAGTTCAATGAGACTGTCTATTCTTTTAATTTCTAAGTAATACAATATGTACACTTTTTAGTAATAATGTAATATGGGGGGTAGGAGAGATATAAATACAGTCCATTGTAGGTTTGTTATGAAGAGAAATCTATGTTTATGCAAAAATACATATTCCATTAGAAATAACAGGATTCACAAGATCAGAAATTATTTCAAGAAATATAAATTTTATCTACAATGTGGAGGTTTTTTTTTAAATAGTAGAAGAAGGAAACCAGGCCCCTATTTCTCACCATGTACAAAAATCAAATCAAAATGGATTAAAGACTTAAATCTAAGACCTCAATCTATGAAATTATTCCAAGAAAACATTGGGGAAACTCTCCAGGACATAGGAATGGGCAAAGATTTCTAGAGTAATACCCTACAATGGCAGAAAACCCATGCAAAAATGGACAAATGGGGTCACATCAAGTTAGAAGGTTCCTGCACAGCAAAGAAAACAATCAACAAAGTGAACAGACATCCCACAGGATGGGAGAAAATATTTGCTAAGTGTCCACCTGAGAAGGGATTAATAATAAGAATATATAAGGTGATCAAAAATAGGAAAAAATCCAATAATCTGATTAAAAATGGGCAAAAGATCTGAATAGATATTTCTCAAAAGAAGACATACAAATGGCATACAGGTAGATGAAAAGGTGCTCAACATCACTGATCAACAGAGAAATGCAAAGCGAAACTACAATGAGATAACATCTCACTCCAGTTCAAATGACTTTATCTGAAAGACAGACAATAATGCTGGCAAAGATGTGAAGAAAAGGAAACCCTTGTGCACTGCTGGTGGGAATGTAAATTAGTAATGCCACTATGTAGAACAGTTTGAAGGCCCATCATAAAACTAAAAATAGAACTACCATATGATCCAGCACTCCCACACAAGGTATACACCCAAAAGAAATAAAATCAGTATTCAAAGAGGTATCTATCTGCACACCCATGTTTACTGCAACATTATTCACAATAATCAACATTTGGAAGCAACCTAGATTTCTATCAACAGAAGAATGAATAAAGAAAATGTGGTACATATACACAATGGAGTACTATTCGACTATAAAGATGAATTAGATCCTGTCATTTGCAACCACATGGATGAACCTGGAGGTCACTATGTTAAGTGAAATAAGCCAGGCACCAAAAGACAAATCTCATGTTTTCACTTATTTGTGGAAGCTAAAAAAATTAAAACAAATGAACTCATGGAGATAGAGAGAAGAATGATGGTTATCAGAGACTGGGAAGGGTAATGGAAGCTGTGAGTGTGAGGATGGTTAATGGATACAAAAATATAGTTTAATAGAATGAATAAAATCTAGTATTTGATAGCACAAAAGGGTAACTACCATCAACAATAATTAATTGTACATTTCAAAATAACTAAAAGAGTAAAAATCATTTAAACCCATTCGAACCATAAACAAAAAATAAATGGTGCACAGTGTGGACTCTCTTATTACCTATAGCTTCTCAATGATCTTCCAGGTATGAAATGCCATTTACTTAATCTAGTTTATTTTCTACATGTAGTATAAGAAAGAAAGGAAAATCTGTGTCCCTTAATACCTTTCTTTCTGCATAATTCTTTTCTTCCTGAATATACACTTCATTGGATGAATACCAGTCCTCAAGTTTACCAGTAAATGTTGATGAAAAAAAAGATAGGGAAAATGTGAAATCTTGAAAAAGTACTGCACAAAAATATTCTTAACAAAATGGTCAAAAAAAGTTTAAAATCAGCACAACAAACACTTGAGTAGATTAGTGAGTTTCACAATGCCCTGCTTTTATTTTTTCATTTTTGTTTTTATTTTTGAAGACTGGGTCTTGCTCTGTCATCGAGGCTAGAGTGCAGTGGTGCTATCGCAGTTCACTGCAGGCTTGACCTCCCAGGCTCAAGTGATCCTCCTACCTCATCCTCCTGGGTAGCTGAGACCAGAGATGCATACTACATGCCAGCTAATTTTTTAAATTTTTTCTGTAGAGATGGGGTCTTGCTATGTTGCTCAGGATTGTCTGGAACTGCTGGCCTCAAACAATCCTTCTGCCTCAGGCTCCAAAAGTGTTATGATTACAGGCATTAGCCATTGTGCCCGGGCTTCCCCACTTTTGAAAAATCGATTCCCTTTCCTTTGACCTTCTCTCTTATAATGATTAAACTTTGTCCTTTAAACATCTCCAAATTTAAAAACTGTATCAACTGGAATAATAGAATATAAAATCAAAGAATAGTCAGCTTTGATATTTACCTACATGTATAGATCTTTTAGTCCATGAAGCAACTAGAACCATTGTTATTAAGGCCCTAGAAGATAACACACAAGTTTAATTTACCAAGACAAGCCTTTGCCCTAAAATGTTCCCTTAGAGTTGGGTACATGTGACATTTCTTTTATTCACATATAGAAACATCAGATATGACAGGAAGATGGGGTTGGCAGCTTTATGTCACAAAGAGTGGGAACAGCTTACAAGGTACTTGTTGTCAGAGGGCAGGAAGTTAAATCCTGGCTTCCACATTCCCTGTGTGCCTTTTCCTGGGTATTCATTTTTTGTTTTATTATAAAAATGAGATTAACTTGATATTTGAAAAAAGAAAATATCAAATACCATGTGCTCAAATATGCTAATTACTTTTCACATTACTATTTCTTACTAGCTAGGGGACATATACATACTTTTAAGAACCAGCAAGCATTTTTCTACTGAATCACAGAACCAAATACAGGCGTACCTTGGAGATATTACAGATTTTGTTATAGATCACCACAATAAAATTAATACAGCAATAAAGCAAGTCATATAAATTTTTTGTTTTCCCAGTCCTTATAAAAGTTATGTTTACACTATACTGTACTTTATTAAATGTGTAATAGCATTATGTCTAACAAAGTATATAGCTTAATTTAAAAATACTCTGTTGCTAAAAAAATGCTAACAATCATCTGAGCGTTCGGCCAGTTGTAATCCTTTAGCTACTAGGGGGTCTTGCCTCTATGTTGATGGCTGCTGACTAATCACGGTGATGGATGCTGAAGGTTGGGGTAGCTGTAACAATTTTCTTAAGAAAACCATAAAGTCTGCCCTATTAATTAACTCTTCCTTTCATGAAAGATTTTTTTGCAGCACATGATGCTGTTTGATAGCATTTTACCCACAGTAGAACTTTTGAAATTGAAGTCAATCCTCTCAAACCCTGTCACTGCTTTATCAGCAAAGTTTATTAAATATTCTAAGTCCTTTGTTGTCACTTCAGCAGTGTTCACAGCAACTTCACTAGAAGATTCTATCTCAAGAAACCACTTTCTTTGCTTATCCATAAAAAGCAACTCCTCGTCTGTTAAGTTTTATCATGAGATTGTAGCAATTCAGTTCCATCTTCAAGTTTCACTTCTAATTCTAGTTCTCTTGCTATTTCTACCACACCTGTAGTTACTCTCTCCACTTATGTCTTGAACCCCTCAAAGTCATCCATGAGCATTGGAATCAAGTTCTTCCAAATTCCTGTTCATGTTGATATTTTGATCTGTTCTCATGCATCACAAATGTTCTTAATGGCATCTAGAATGGTGACTCCCTTCCAGGTTTTCAATTTACTTTTCCCAGAGCCATCGGCAGAATCATTATTTATGATAGCTAGAGCCTTACAAAATGTACTTCTTAAATAATAAGACTTGAAAGTCAAAATTCCTCTTTGATTCATGGTCTGCAAAATAAATGTTGTGTTAGCAGGCATGAAAATAACATTAATCTCTTTATACATCTCCTTCAGAGCTCTTAGATGACCATGTGCATTTTCAATGAGCAGTAATATTTTGAAAAAAAAAATTTTATCTGAGAAGTAGGTCTCAACAATGGGTTTAAAATATTTAGTAAACCATGCTATAAACCAAGCTTGTTCAACCTGCAGCCCACAGGCTGCATGCAGCCCAGGACAGCTTTGAATATGGCCAACACAAATTCATAAACTTTCTTAAAACATTATGAGATTTTTTTGCAATTTTTTTTTTAGCCTATCAGCTGTTGGTAGTGTTCGTGTTTGTTATGTGTGGCCCAAGACCATTCTTCTTTATCCAGTGTGGCCTAGGGAAACCAAAAGATTGGACACTTCTGCTATGAAGAGAAGTGCTGTCATCCAGACTCTGTTGTTCCCTTTACAGAGAACAAGTAGAACAGATTTAGCATCATTCTTAAGGGCCCTAGGATTTTTGGAATGGGCAACGAGCATTGGCTTCAACTTAAAGTCATCAGCTACATTCGCTCCTAACAAGAGAGTGAGCCTGTCCTTTGATGCTTTGAAGCCAGCATTGACTTCTCTCTAGCTATCAAAGTCCTACACGGCATCTTCTTCCAAAACAAGGCTGTTTCATCTATCTTGAAAATCAGTTGTTTAGTGAAGCCACCTTCATCAATTATTTTAGCTAAATCTTCTGGATAAATTGCTGTAACTTCTATGTCAATACTTGCTGCTTTACCTTACACTTTTATGTTACGAAAACAGCTTATTTCCTGAAGCTGTCAGGAATGAACTAACTTTTGCTAGCTTCCAACTTTTCTTCTGAAACTTCCTCACCTCTTTCGGGCTTCACAGAATTGAAGAGAGTTAGGGCTTTGCTGTGGATTAGGATTTGGCTTAAGAGAATGTTGGGGCTGGTTTGATCTATCCAGAACTCCCAAACTTTCTCCATATCAGCAATAAGACTGCTTTAGTTTGTTAGCATTTGTGTGTTCACCAGAGTAGCACTTTTAATTTCCTTCAAGAACTTATCCTTTGAATTTACAACTTCACTAACTGGTACAAGAGGCCTAGCTTATGAACTATCTCAATTTTTTACATGCTTTCCTCACTAAAATTAATCATTTCTAGATTTTCACTTAAAGTGAGAGACTCATAACTCGTTCTTTCTCTTGGACACTTAGAGGCCATTGTAGGGTCATTAGTTGGCCTAATTTCAATATTGTTGTGTCTCAGCAAATAAGGAGGCCTGAGGAGAGGAAAAGAGATCCGGAACCTGCCAGTCAGTGGAGTAGTCAGAACCACACATTTGTCAATTCAACTTGCCATCTTACATGGGTGAGGTTTGTGGTGCCCTGAAACAGTTACAACAGTAACAGCAAAGATTACTAATCACAGATCACTACAACATATGTAACAAAAAGGAAAGTTTGAAACACTGCAAGAATTACCAAAATGTGACACAAAAACATGAAGTGGGCACATGCTGTTGGAAAACTGGTGATGACAGACTTACTCAATGCAGGGTTGCTACAAACCTAATGCATAATACAGTGAAGCACAATAAAATGACATAAGCCTACAATAAAATTGTGCTGAAATGACTGTACTTTCTAATTACTTTTCATGCATTCACACGTATATATTGACAAAGCCTATTTTTAAAATTCATTTTGGCTGTTTATGGAATATGTGTTTCATTTTATAAATTGAGAAAAAATTTGACAGACTGTATATTAGGTTTCTATGCTGTTTCCTGGATACAAAAATATGATTCCTTAAAGTAAATCTAGCAATATTAAAATAACATACATTACAGTGTTTACTTGATTCTATTGGAACAAGGAAAATGATATTAATTTTTATAACCACCGAATATTATACCATATTTCTATACTTTTACTATACCATTATTACTATGTTATTTTACCATTATTACATTATTATCACAATACATAGGCCTATTTAAATATAATTAGGAGTCTACATTACCTGATGTTCTTATTACTATATTGTTTTTGTTGCCACTAGGCAACTTGCACATATGTTTAGGAGCCACTTAATATGAAAGATTTAACATCACTGAGCCTAATTTCCTCTGCTGTGTGGTTGGCTGGAGAATAAATATAGCAATATCTTCATGTGACTTTCTAAAATAAGAATGGATAATATTTCCCCAAACACATAACATGAAACACGCTTCTAATGAATAATCCTATATCTGCATTTTACTTATCACTATTCTGCTATTTTCTTATTTGTTTGTTTAATAGAATGTAAGTAATGTCCATGAATAGGGATCTTCCCTGTCTTGTTCATTATTACCATGTTCTAAATAATGTCAGATGAATCATAATTTAACAAATGGGTAAATCCTGTATTTGAGCACCCAGCTTGATGGAGAAGCTCTGGCCCCACATATATAGCTACTAGTTGGAAGCACAGCAATGAATATAAACTCAAATGACCAATAAGAGGAATAAATGAAGGTTCTCTTGCCCTAAAATACAAAAACTTGAACTTTCCAATTTTGGAAGCAGATACTAAGATAAATGTGCAGGTTTTATATAAACCTAAACAAATGACCAGCATCATTTAATCTAGTTTTATGCCACAAACAATAACAAAAAGTTGACCGTAACTATTTTCAACGGCATGATAAAAGCTAACACAATAATAAAGTATACTAAGGGTTTCTTACCATTGTTTCCACATTTCTGCTTACTTCTTACGGCTAAAATAAATAGCTATAAATTTTGTAGCTAGCTCATCTGTCAGTTTAGATATGCTCAAACCTTGCTTACATATAGAACAAGTGTTGAATAAAATTATTGGGCTTCAAAAGTTTTAAGAATAAACATTTCAATATATGCAGCCATTTCTTACTTTAATAAAAAGAATTAAGCATAAAAAGAAATAAAAAACATAAAAAGAGGTTTTAAAATGATCTTTCCTAAGTGTCAGAAGAGGGAATAAGTCCATGGAATTGATACATAAAATGAAGACTCTTACTCTTTTTCTTCCTAGTGCCATTCTTAGTATAATCAAATCTATCTAACTGTCCATCACTTTAACATCATCAGGACTCAATGGCTCAGTATGCTCAGTGGAACTCTGGAACAGGATTCCCACTTACCCGGCTAATAATAATGCTAATGAAACTAAATCCATAGCTTGTTTTCTAGTTTCTATTACCTTCAGGTATTTACCACTTCTTTGGTCCTATGAAAACTAAGAAGAGCAGAAGCTGTCCCAAGGTCTCAAAAGAATTTGGTTGTAGAGGAGCCAGGTTGCCTCAGAGCCCAGTCCCCGAAAACTCCATGATGCATTCCACTCAAAAGAATCCTCAGACCTTGGAAATCTCAAGAAAGCACTCAGCTTGGGGTCAAGATAGAGTTTCTCAGTTTATTTATCAACTGAAAATGACAAAAAGGAAGACAATAAGATTGAAAAATGAGAATTAGAAAAGAGAGTACAAAGTACCCACCGAAATTTTTTTCAAGTGGTATTAAAAAAATAAAGAAAGTCAATCACGTTTCTCAGAGAAAATACCTCTGAGGTGGAGGTAAGAATGTGATGTGAAATCTAAGGGAGTCATGATTTCAAGAATGAATTTAGTTGCAAATAAGAAAAAAATCTGATCCTACAGATATATGGCACAATGTAAGCAGAGACACGCAAAAGAAAACAAGAGAACTCAGGCTAGTTTCTAAATAGTTTGGGTTCTCTCAAGTGCTTATGTAAATTGAAATTTGGAAGACAGCGATTCACTAATCAAATCAACCCTTAATTTGTACTATCATTGGAATGCTAAATCTTACAGACATAGACTGGCAGTTTTCTCTTAAATTGGTGCCTTGCTAGATTGCATAAGCTTTTATATTCATGATCATTTTTAAAGTTTAAGTATTATTTATATAAAGTGGTTAAGACATATTAACTATTTACAAATGTATCTTAAATGTTTATTTTGTGATTGTGTCTAAACCAAAAAATGAAGAAAGGCCATTATGTTCTGCTTAACCCCATGATGCCTGCAAACTGAAGATGTGATATTTCAAATAAGTAAGTAATAATGCATAAACATTGTGTTTTTATGAAATGCATGTTAAAATTATGTCGATAAAATATCTCTATGCTGAAACGGAAGTAAACCATTTTGATGTATGCTAATGTAAGCCTTTATAAGGGATATTAGTCATATATTCAACTGTAGTTCTGATTACAAAACAAAAATATGCTGGAAATTCCATAAAGATCAAACTAATTAAGGTACTTAATTGCCTCTGACTAATTATGGAAATTGGCAAGCTCAGTAAGGAAACAAGCTTTTTAAAAGAGTTTATATTTTAGGCCATAGCTTTCTTGGCTTCATTTTACTGGGAGCCACTTGTATCATTTCAGATCTTACACTGCAAGCTCTGTCCACAGAGAGTTATAAAGGGAAATGACTGCATATGTATCCAGAGCTTAACTGGGACAAGGAGAAGCTACACTCTCAGACTTACAGTCAGAAGTTGGGTTGGCATTTTCCTAGATCACACATTGTTTCTCATTAGCAGTGTGACTTCTCTCATTTTGTTGTTGTTGTTGTTAAGTCTTCCACAAGGCATATTTGTAGTTCATCGAGACCCTTTAACTCAAAGGGGCAAAATGCCTCAATCAAGAAACTATGAATCCCTGTGAAATATCTGACATAAAACAAAAGACAAATATTTCAGGCATAAAAGAAAGAACATACACTCTGGAATTTAACTGATAACGGCTTTTTAAAACCCAGTTGTGCCAGTTGTTAGGTACATTTGTAAGAACTTGGGAAGTTATTTAATTTCTCTTGGTCTCATTTTCTGCATTTATAAAATGGAAATAATAACACCTAGTTTGCACTGTCGTCACAATAATAGGGACAATATAAGTTATCCAGCTCATTTATGGAAATAGAAAGTATCCATAAGTAGTAGTTATTATATTTTATATTCAATGAAATATAATTTTTTCATACTATGGTTTACTACTTTATTAGAGATATATGAGCAGCTATGAAGAATCAAAGAATACTCCAGGGTGCTCTAGAGAAAAATTATAATTATATCATAAGAATCAAAGAGAAATAGGGGGGAAAATAATGGAAATGAGTCAATAAGCAAATGTTATTCTATATTCTTTAATCTTCACCTTAAAATATTTAAGGTGCCAATTTCCATCTAAAATGACACCCTGAAAGGTATCATCATTTACAAAAATTATGTTGTACAGAATGAATTGTGTGTAGTATTCCAAAGTACATATATATTGATAATTTGAAGTCAGTGACAATTATATTCAATTTCTCCATATTCTATTAAACAAGGATGCAATCCATTTTCTCTCTCAAGCATTGAAAGGAACTTCCCTTGCCTTTTTCTTCTCTAGAGCTTCTGGTCTCACTACTACTTAGAGATCATTAGAAGCAGTTGTAGCAACCAGTACTACAAAAGCAGTTCTTCCCACCCCACCTCAAAGTTGGTCAAAAAACACTGTGGAAAGGAAGTTTGCTATAAATGTCACAAGTGCAACAGAAACCTGACTTCTGTTGTTACCTACAGCAGACCCCAGACACTGCCACTCAGAGGTAATGCCACCATTCAGAACTACCCATAGATGTTTAAAAAGTGTGTGTGTGTGTGCATTTGTGTGTTCAGAAGGCATAAAATCTGAATTTAGGAGTATTCAATGCATAGAAACCACTACGTCACCCAACCCACCCTCAAATTACTGCACAACAGTATTTGTATGAATTTTATGTAATAAGTTAGTAAGTATAAAAAAGTTTTGAATCCAATAAATATCCTGCTAATAAAGATGCTCTCCTTCAGTCCCTATCAAAAGCAAGAAATCTCTTTCGAGATAGTTACTGTTTTGTTTTGTTATTAAAGTACCTTTGTTGCTGATCTGTACATGAATGTCATCACTGAATGGAAGCAGTCCAAGAGACTCATATCATTCCCACTAGAAGGAGAAGCTTTGATAAATCTCTAAAGCTATGGCAGTGGTCCAGTCCCTATGCCATATGGCATTCCACCTGTCCCAAGAAGTTTTGTTAATGTCCTCTAAAGCTCCAAACAAAAATACTGAGACATAAACAATCAAATCTACTCTGTGGTTGGATTTTTCAGCTCTACGTGGTAGCTGCAAAAATTCCTCATGCTGTGTGTGTTAATGAGACCCTCCATGGACACCATTAATACATAAAAGCAATCACCCGTAACTCATAGGCCTTTTCCTTCTTACTATGTCTGAATATGTTCATTGCATTTAGAAACTGGAAATAAAATATACCCGGAGAAATTCCAGATGTCAGGAGGCATGAGGACTGAAGGTCTGAAAGTGTTGGCAAAATAAGCAAATCTACAGGTTGTGAGCATATTACCTCAAAGGATAAAAAGAACCTAACAATTAACCACAAAAATATATTATGTAAACAAAAATTACTGAAGCTGAAAACTCACTTTAACCTACAAGTATTCTTGTAGATTAGAACAGTAACAGAAAACTAAAATTTTTGTAACCTAATGAAAAGAATAGCAAGGAGATTAGAGCAAACTATCTGCCAGATCCTTTTGAATTACTGTCCAACCACTTTGTTCACTTAAATCTTTATCTCAATGGATATAAGCATTTTAGATGAAATAACATGAGAAGTATAAACAGATATGAGTAATTAGCTTGCTTAGCTTCTGGACATGTAGGGAAATATGCTTTATTTTAAATTCTATGACTTGGTCACCAACAGAAATCTGATTTATTTTCATATCACATTCCCATTGTTTTACATATCTTGAAATATTTTTTACCTTCAACACTACACTACTTTGAAACTATGATTGTTTATAGGCCCAGTGTTATTAGATCATCTTAATACATTTAAATATATTATGAAGAAACAAATATATAATAACATCACAAATTTTAAAGTATTTTGCTAAATGAGTTCAGTAAAACTGGTTTCCTCTTAAATAACATATATTTTATTTTATGCATCTAAAAATGTATTCTGAGAAGAGTTGTATAGGGTATAGCAGATTCCCACCAAAGGTGTCCATGATGCAAAGAAAGGCTGTAATTAACCTTTTCTAAAGGAAAGACTGCACAGACAGACAGTGACACCAATGTATATGCTGCGGGCATGTGATTGTCACAAATACAGTTATAGCCATGGGACTATTCATGTCCTTATGTCTACTTTGGCCTTCATTGTTCCTCTTTTCTGCCTAATATATGCCTATCATTCCACTCAATTTTTTTAAGCATCTAGAACCATATCTTTCAATTTTTTTTTTTTAGAAGGAGTTTCACTCTTGTTGCCCAAGCTGGAGTGCAATGGCACGATCTCAGCTCACTGCAGCCTCCACCTCCTGGGTTCAAGGGTTCCAGCGATTCTCCTGCTTCAGCCTCCTGAGTAGCTGGGATTACAGGCACGTGCCACCAAGCCTGGCTAATTTTTTTGTATTTTTAGTAGAAACGGGGTTTCACCTTGTTAGCCAGGCTGGTCTCAAACTCCTGACCTCAGGTGATCCGCCCACCTCAGCCTCCCAGAGTGTTGGGATTACAGGCATGAGCCACCGTGCCCAGCCTCTTTCCACTTTAATCAGGCATGCTGATGAGGTAATCAATTTCAGTATAAAATCTAAGAATGAGTCTTACGGCCTAGTTCTTTAAGAACCTCTGGAATTCATGTATAAAGGACAGGATGAGACAAAGGCAACACCAGGAAGAGGCCACATTTACTTTTGAAAACTGTTTCCCTACAATTTTCTGTAACTTCCCCCTCGTCCTTGCTTTTTTTAAAAAAAAAAAGTTTTAATACCTTTTTGTCTCCCCAGTACAGTATAAATTAGTCTACTTAGTTCTGGGAATAGAATTAGTAGTAGGCACTTTTTCTCCATAAATGAATACACCTTTACACAGAGGAAAAGACTGCAAACGTATAAATAAAATCAAAGTAAGTATTAATGTTGTCAAGGACAACTGCAAACATACAGTGTGTGTTGCAAAGCAGTGTAAGAGAATGGGAGTAAGGTGGTGGTGTTCTAATAGTCTGTGGGCAGCAAGAAAATTAGGCCCTTCCCTTTCTGGCCAAGCAGGTCTTAACCCTTCCATCAGTGGGTCTCAAGGAAGCAGAGCAACTGCATAGACAAGACATAAGTTCTGCCACCCAAGGAGAGGGCCACCAGGCTCTCCCTTTTAGGACCAACTAAATATAATGCTGGCACTTTGAAAGAGTACCCAGATATTCAGGGCAATACCACCCAAGCCCAAGTTACATATCTAACCTTTTAAAATATATAGCTAAAAGCCAATTGCACTCTTATATTTCAAACATAGTATTGTAACGAGAATTCAAACCACTATATTATAGTTAGTGTCTGGCCTTACTCATAGTATGGAGCCTGTTGGAAATGAGACAGAATACTATGCTTAGCACAAAGTATGTTCTTATTAAATATTTATTGAAGGAATGAACGTTGTCATTAGAATTACATTTCAAGTAATAATAATCATTATGATGGCAAACACTGAAAAGGAGCTTATCAGGTGGCAGGTATTGTTTTAAGTGCTTTACAAATACCAACTCAACTAATTCTCTAGACAAAGTGCACACAGGTTATTTACAGAGGAAACTGAAGCACAGAGACCTTGAATCACCTGCCCAAATCACTTATGTATTAATTGTAGATTTGGGAATCAAATCCAGGCAACCTGGCTCTGGAATCTGAGGCCTTAAGTACGTCAAAATACTGCCAAGTTAGAGTAAGATTTACATCCATATTGATGCTATTGCTTCCAAAAGGGAAAATGGATTTTTTGTTTTTTAAAGGAGGGCATGGGGATAGAGAAGTCCAAGTTGATTTGGGATATGTCAGAGAAGGAGAAGCTTTAGTAGGAAGGGTTGGGAACTTCCTGGCAGAGCCCCTCTGGAGAGGAAAAGTAGATGTCAGTGCTTATAGCTTGCCAGTCTACCGCTCCTGCTCCCTCCACGGCTTGTGACAGTCTCTGTCACAGTGTGGCTTAAGTTCTCTCTTGCTTTTTCAATAACAGCTTAAATAAAGGCTGTATCCCACATGTTTCAAGTCAATTCATGGTGCTCCTGTCTTAGTACAGGCTGCGATTAACAAAGTGCCATAAATTGGGTGGCTTATGAACAACAGGAATTTACTTCTCACAGTTTTGGAAGGCTGAGATCAGAATGTCAGCTTGGTCAAGTTCTGGTGAGGGCTCTCTTCCAGTTTGCAGACTGACCTCTTCTCATTGTTTCTTCATATGGCAGAAAGGGGGCAACAGACTGTTCTGGAGTCCCTTTTATAAGGGCACTAATCTCATATACGAGGGCTCCATCCTTGTGACCTAGTTACCTCCCAAAGGCTCCACCTCCTAATACCATCATATTTGGAGTTAAGATTTCAACATATGAATTTGGGGAGTAGACATTCAGTCCATAAGAGCTTATTAGACGGCTCTGCTCATCGTAGTTGGATCTGGCAGTTTAAGGAAGTAATTTGTTTTGTCCTGGGAGGAGTTAATTTCTTGTACTTGCTAGTGAGTGGGTAGCTAGTACAGGTAAACTGTTAATTGGCACTTGCACACAATGGAAGGGGACCCAGAGAGTGGCCACTTGAAAAACTTGGTATTACTGACACTCTCCAAAGTAGTGTCATTACTCATATTAGCTTATTATTTAGCTATTAGTCCTACAGAATAACATCTTTTTCAATAGGAAGATTTCCTACCTAATATGATCTTTTTAAGCCAAGGGAATTATTATAACTAGCTAACTTCCTGGAAGATCAGAACTACAGATATGGCTAATAAAAAAGTTCCTCCTGTTCAAGCACCATTCCAATAGCATCAGCCAGCTCCATTACTGCACCTACTAGTACCGTTGAGAAAAATCTGCCCTCAAGTGCAAACTGGAGTAAGTGGTAGAGAATGGTCTAGAGGCACCACAGCCAAACAGTGCCACTCAGAAGAAATAAGATAATTCATGTATACTTTTTATTGTGGCTATTCTCTAACCAGGGCCCTACAGAATTCCATTCTTTAAAACCAGTGTTTTCAATTAAAATAACAAAATCAATTAGAGGAGACAAAAGAGGCAGAAAGATGTGTCTCAAAAGCAGAAACTTTGCCTTTGTGGTGTCAGAAGCCTGAGAGGCCTGTGTATCAATGATAACTATTAAAAGACATCAGTGCTTTCATGTCACCCACCTTTTTTAATGAAAAAAAAAAAAAAATACTACAAGGGCCTGCCAGAAAAGAAATTAGCTTGACATTAATGACCAGAAGAACAGCACTAATACTTAATAAATAGGGCAGTTATTTTCTCTACAGCTTTTTCTTTAGTGTGTTTACACTCTACTCATAGATTATACTCTAACTTTCCTATCACAGATAACCTAAGTCCTGAAAAAAAAAATAAATAAATATTGGTCCACATTCTCCTAAACTCTACAAATACTGAAGAAACTATGGCATTCTTCAGCAAAGAACTAGGGCAAAGATAAGGGTAAGAGAATAAGGAGGATATTTTTAATACAGAAAAGCTTCAGAGGATTGTCATTCTTCATAGCTTTTATGATCTTGAACTGACTTAGCTTAAGGTGCTTTCTCTACCTCCAACCCACCCCAGGCATGGGAAATAGAGGGCTTAGGAGTAGAAAGAGAAGACTTACTATATCTTTAAGAGGAAAGATTCCTTTCCTAGACTAAATGCTTATTCAGACAAACTGCTCTCATAAATTAGCCTTAACATTTCAAACTCTGTGTGACTATAATAAGGTTTTGTTTATAAGACAACTCTGAGTGTATTTGGAGAAAGTCCCTGAAATACAGGTTGATATGATAATTTCAGTTGTATTATCAGTGGAAATTAACATGGCCAGTTGACAGTATATAAAAATAAATAATGAAACAAAAATTGTCTGCAGATATACATTTTACAGCATCATCTCATACCATTTTTTACACTAAATTAAATGTCTCACCAATAGCTAAAATCACTGATCACTGAGCTAGTAGGTATATGCTTTATCATTTCCTTTTATTTCTAGGGCAGCATGACGGTTATTATTTTTAACTCCTCTAAGCTTTCTAACTACTTGCTCTATTTTTCATTCTCAAGGTAAACAATGACACCTAAGCAAAAACAAGGTTTTCTCTGATTCTACTAGTCCTTCAGGCTTTAGTTAAAAAATAAATCTAGCATTACCAACATGCTAAATGTATATTACAGAGCTTCTTCCTCTATTATCAAATATACTTTTAGATTTGTCCGAAGGGAAAACTATTTTTATTTTGCATAAAATATATGTATATATAAAACACAAAAAATACAAAATTAAGAGAAATATTTCACTCCGTTATGCACCAATAGAACAATAGGAACGTAAGGTAGAGAAAAGTGGTTAAAAATACTTGCAAGAGTGAAAGTTGGTGTCTGCCACACTTAGGTCGAAATCCATTTACTACAATATGTCACTAACAATATGTGACCTTGGGCAGGTGACAGTCTCTGGAGCCTTAGTTTCTTCAAGCAGTCTGGCATAAAAAGCCACACTTTTCACTGACATTACATGAGTATATTGCTTATCTATATAAAACAGGATTATCAATATGTATGTACGAAGGTAGGTTGGTAAGCAGGTATTTGTGTATAACATCATGTGATATAAACAAATTCTACAACATCTTAACTAGGCAATTTGAATAGACAAAGTTTGCAGCTGGGGAAGGAGAGCTGGTGCCACAAATTTAACAGTCATCTAAATGACAGTATATGTCAAACACCCAATAAAAAGCCTGACCCATAGCAAACATCAATAATACTTCTTCCTTTTGCTTTGAGCGGGCAAACGGAATAGGAAAGAACTGACCACTGCAGTGGCAGATAAGAAGGCATCAAAGAGATAGTAAGGGTGAGAAGCAACAAAAGCATACTGCCTGACTCACAACTATTTCCAAGGCCAGCCTGGCTTACAAGTCTTCATTCTAATGTAGTTATATGACCTTTATTAATATCATTTGCAGTATATTATTTTGTATTTTGAATGATATTCTTTTTTAAAAAAATATTCTTTGAACATTCCTCCCCCAAAATGCAGGTAAGAAAACCCAGGCAAAAGTCTAGATTAACTATTTCATTTAGCCTCACAGAGCAATTTAAATTCCATTAAAGCATGTAAAATCTGTTTGTTACATTACAGTCACATTCACTATAACAGAATACTTCCAGAAAGATAGTTAAAATCTGTAACAAGGTAAAATGCTGCTGCTCAAATACACACACACACACACACACACACACACACACACACACACACAAAACTTATATGCTTTTACATCTAAACAAATTGCCTTGACTGGGAATGACTTTTAATGTACTCTTCCAGGCAAATTCCCTAAAGGCAAATACTGATATATTCCTTCCTCCTGACATGGAAGTATTCCTCCTGACAGGTCAGTAGTAGCACAAACTGGCTTCTAAGGTAAGAAGATTCTAGCATTTTTTACTCTTAAACATGTCTTGAGACCAGTTACTGTCTTTAGGAAATAAAGTCAGGCCAAACAGAAGTTGATCTACTCTGAGCTGAACAAGAAAACATTTTTTTAAAGGGCACTTCAAGTTTCACATTCTTTCTATACACATCCCTCCACCCTACCTTCCCATCCTAATCATCCATTGCTGGTTAAGGATAAGTCCATTTATTCTACAAAAGAAAGCTACTTGGTTCCATTTCTACAGCCAGGAACTATGTAGTAGACGCAGGTGAGAGAGCTTGTTGACAAGCAGGAGCAGGAGTAGGAGGGAGCCACATGGAAATCTGTGGTTATCAGGCAGAATCTGGCGAAAGGTAATGAGAGCAAACAGAAGTCGCACTGGCACAGAGCAACCTTATGGTTGACACCTTTACTCATCAGGTATCACTTAGAGTTTGGGTGATCAACTATGTACCCAAGTGGAAGAGAGAATTTTCTCTCAGACTCACCCAGAAGCCATCAAAGACAGAATATAACAATATATTTTTATAACCCTCATCAGCCTTGATCAGATTATTTTATGCCCTGAAAAGATTATGAGATTATGAGAGCTCATATTCCCATATATTATTTAATGTCAAGGCCAAATATTTAAAATAAAAATACTACACCATGATATAAGTATAAGGAACTCCAATAAAGTCATTTGTTTCCTTTGACTTTTAAAAATATCATGTGTCAATTAGTTTCAAAAAATTTTATTTTTATTTCCTGCTATTCTAAAGCCCCAAATTTGTATTTAGTCTGAAAACTGAGCAATCCAAACGGCCAGCAATCATAACTCCTTTTCTTTTCGCTTCTTCCAACAAAACTTAGTGTGTAAAATACTTAATCTTAATAAAATTAAGTGAATTTGTTTATTTTGAAAGATAGCAATCTCAATTATAGTTGACAACAGATACAAATCAGTAAGACATTTGGAACACACCAATTATGAAGTGCCTTGTCCATCCAGATGGAGCCAAGAGAACAGAGCTCAGGAGAAACCCAAACAAGAGCTCTGGATTTGGGCATCACATGGCAGGTTAATCAAAGAAAGGGGATGATTGCCCAAGAGAGTGCAAAGTACACAAAGAGAAGATCAAATGCAGAACTAAAACAAATAGCCACAATTTTAAGCAGGATAAAGGCAGAAGACACAACTAAGACTAAAAACAAATTACAGAGGCAAGAAGAGAGTGGTAGCTGATGAGGTAAGGGAGGAGTTTAGAAAAATGATGGCTAATCACATAGATTGTACAGTGATCAAGCCCCTGAGGAGAGTTTGAGTTGGGCAATTGGGAAGTCCTTGGCAACCTGAGACAGCTCTGGATGATCCCAGCAGAAGCCAGACTTCAGTGGACAGAGAATTACTAAGAGATGCATAAATGGAGATATTGAGTAAAAGCAACTGTTCAAACATGGGAGAACAGAGAGAAAGGAAAAGATTGAGGAGAGATTAATGTGAGGGATTTCCTCTTTTGTTTATTTCTCTTTTGTGAAGTATGTGGAGATGTAGCCTCTTTGAGGACTAATGGGAAGAAATTAAAATACAAAAGAAAGTCGATGGGTGTCTGTGCAAGCTCTTGCAGGAAGCAGGGAATAACAGAACAAGGGCGTGGCAGAAGGTATGCTCTTGACAGTGGGTTAAGATGCTTCTTCTTCCCACTCTGAGAATCAGTGAAGTAAGAATGGATAAATAGATAAACAATCTTAAAGGCGCAATAAAAATAAAATTGAGGTGATTTTTGTCTGACGGTGATAAAGTGTGGTAATGATTTAAAAAGAAAGACCCAGAAACAATCCTTAAAACAGAGTCAAACATTGAGCATCCATCTCCAACGACTTTTAAAGAAAATATAGTTCTTATTTTCACTCAGGTTTTATAACTCCCAAGAGTGATTATTTGGGATTAAGGAGAAAAGGGATGCTAAATATAGTCCTCCGAATGGGAAATCCTCAATATCCAGAGATGCTGACCAGAGAGAACAGAGGCCAATCAGAAAGAGCCTCTTCATTTAAGTGGGAAAAACTAAAAGATCAATAGGAGATCTTCCAGTACATATTTTAATTGATATACCTAATTAAGATATTTTAGCTGGGTTAGCTAATAGTATTTTTAGCGATATAATTTATATTCCTTTAATATTACTTATTTTACCTATTATTTACACATATTTTGACCAGGCTATGGGTCAACTTCCCATTATTTAATCTGTGTCCTACTCATCAATTGACCTTACATCTCAAGACTATATCACATATGCATTTGTAAAATATTACTGATTTCTTAAAATTTCTCTGCTCTTTTAGACCAGTCCACTTTTAACTCAGTATTCCAGAGGCCAAACTACTTATAAAGTCACAGCTGTCTCTTCGGGATTTGGCAGTGATACCATGGCCTGGTCATATGGCACAAAGTTTCTACAGCACCTTTACTCAACTTCTGCCTTGGGGCACAGCCCTCTGGGAACACACATCTGTCTCCTGTAGGACTGTGAGCCCCTGAAGAGCAAGAACCAGATCTTTTCAGGGTTCTAGTTCTTCTGTAGCTAGTAAAGGAACTTGTCTATTGTGACTTTTCAATAAACATTTGATGAACTGAGTATTCATCCTACATTTAGTACTCTTTTAATAGTGGAGTAGATGTTTACTTAATATTCAATCTACCTATGACAGTCTACCATTTAGTCATGTCAACACTCATTTATCTTGCCTAAGGAGCAGCCTCTGAGAAAGATTCCTGAGATCCCAGCAGAATCCACCCCTCCTTTGTACCATTACACCTGTTTATAACATTTGTAATTTTGTACCATAATTATTTGCTTCAATGCTTCCTCTCCTTCAATAACTATGAGCTTCAACAGTGTTAAGAACCTCATCTTATTTATCACAAAAGCCACTACCTGCCACAATCCCCAGTCCACAACAAGTACTCAATAGATGTTGTGAATGAATAGTACATATGTCTTCACAGTCAAATATATATGGAGCTGATAAAAACAATAATCAATATTTGTTTCTAAATAAAAGATTAACACCTAAAACAGTATTGCTTTATAAAATTTCCTTTATAAATTATTTTCACCAAGTCTGTGAGGTAGGCATTATATCTAACCTTATATTAGAAATCACAAAATTACTTACCAAGACCATATCTACTTAGCTCTACCCAGTATCAACTTCTATAATCATATCTAACATGTAGACACTAAATTTCCAGTTTTTTTGCAATGTATATACTTATGCAAAAATATTACAAAACAATTTTACTTATCGTTTTCATAGATGATTTTCCATAAGCAGAAATGTGTTTCAGTGAATTGTTTTTAAAAACCAAACTATTGAAAAATAACAATTAAAACTGTCACCATTTAGTATATTTATTTAATATGTTAGGTCTTAATGAAATAACATGCACTACATAAAACTTACATTGTAAAGTATATGAAAGAGGCAGGAAGTAATAGATTTTTGGCTTCCATTTATATTTACATAAAATTACAAAGATTTTAAGTTTATTGGATTATTAACATAATTTCAATTTAAACTAATTTAAATTTAAAGTAGTAAGGACAGTAGAAACCTAAATCCCATTAATATTTTTGGAAGATTAGATGAGAGGCTAGAAACAAATTTTTTTCAAAACTTATCTATTCTGTTTCAACTGATACCAATTTCTATGATCTCAATACAAACTGGACGGACATTATCAGCTGCTTCTAAAGACTAAGTTGAAAATATAAACTTGCAAGGAATAAAAAAGAGATAGACTGGAAGAATATAGGAGGTAACACTACTAGAAGTCAAAGTAAAGTGCAAAATTTCAATCATGTCTCTTTATCAATTGCCACATTATCTTTTTATTGTGTAGAAACTTTATTATAAAGGATTTTTTATTTTTAAAAGCAAATATGTACATATATTTTCATTGAAAGTCTAATTACGGACTGAGTCTGTCTTCAGGATGCTTTATATATGTGAGCTCATTTATTTCCATTGACTACCCTATGAGTTCCTTTTTATGAGTGTCGACGATTCTAAAATCCATGTGTTTTCCAGAGCATGATAAATTTAACTTTTAGAAATTATCAGAAAAATATGAATAGAATGCTAGACTGTGTAATCAAATTTAATTTTTATTGTTTATTTTATTTTATTTCATTTCATTTCATTTCATTTCATTTCATTTTTGCTCTATCATTTCATTTCATTTTATTTTATTTTTGCTCTATCACCAAGGCGGGACTTCACCAACACAATCACGGCTCACTGCACCCTCGAACTCCTGGGCTCAAGTGATTCTCCCACCTTAGCCTCCAAGCAGCTAGTACCACAGGTGGGGTATGCCACCACATCCACCGTTTTGTTTTGTTTTGTTTTTGATAGAGACAGTATCTCTCTGTGTTGCCCAGACTGGTCTTGAACTACTTGGATCATGCAATCCTCCCACATTAGCCTCCCAAAGTGCTGGGATTATAGGCATAAGGGGCCACACCCATAAATTTAATTTTTAAACTAAGATTATTTGGGACCTTAGGAAAAATCATGAAAAATAATCTCTTGGAATAATGTGAAAGATTATATTGTTCCCTAAAAGGAACAAAATGCTTTACGGTGCTAGCCTTTTATACCATGCTGGCCATGCCAGCTAAAGTTCAGATCGGGTCATCATTTCCAGAATCAAACGATAAAAATCAAACTAGAAAAAAAAATTATTCAATGAAGTGACCCATTCATCACTAGGAGTGTTAAACTAGAACAATGTGGTATTTTCTCTAAAGCATCTTACAATCATTGTAAATTAGGAGATTATGAAGTCTCATTCAAAAAGATTATGGAGGACACTAAGAGTCTCCTATACACTATTTTCTAAATAAAAGGGACTTTTTAAAAAACTATTTAGTTAATAAAAGCAATACATGCTCATTGTGAGTGTGGGAGAAACAGGAAGAAACAAAATAAAGCACTTTCACGAAATAGGAAATGAAAATATGAGAATTTAAATGATTTAAATTTAAATAATCATTTTTCCTAGCTTCTTTCCCCATAAATAATCATTGTTAATGGTTCCTTCAAAATTTTTCACTGCACGTTTGTTGTTTATATATCCATATAGCTTTAAAGATCTTTACGTAAACGCTCTCATACTATTTGCAGTTTTACATTTTTGTAACGTAAAAATATATCTTAGGCACGACTCTTTAACAGGGCATACAAAATTGACTCACTGGTTCTCAGAGCTGTGCAGTATTTCGCTGAATAGGTATATCAATTTATTTTGCCCTTACTGAGGCTGACTTGAGCTACTTCCAGTTTTTCGTTTATGAAGTTTCCCTAAACTTCCACGAACTCTCTTGAATCCTCTTATATTCACAAAGCCATCATGAATTAATGCTATGTTATTTTACAAAATCGGAGGCCCAGAAAATACTGAAAAGGTTGAGGAAGTACCAACTCTTACAACGATCACATAAGCCAACAAATTCCTTTAAAAATGAACAAAGTATTGGCTGGGCTCGGTGGCTCACGCCTGTAATCCCAGCACTTTGGAAGGCCAAGGTGGGCGGATCACGAGGTCAGGAGATGGATACCATCCTGGCTAACACAGGTGAAACCCCGTCTCTACTAAAAATACAAAAAATTAGCCGGGCGTGGTGGCGGGCGCCTGTAGTCCCAGCTACTCGGGAGGCTGAGGCAGGAGAACGGCGTGAACCCAGGAGGCGGAGCTTGCAGTGAGCTGAGATCACGCCACGGTGCTCCAGCCTGGGCAACAGAGCGAGACTCCATCTCAAAACAAACAGAAGAGAACAAAACAAAAATGAACCAAGTATTTATAGTAAAATAATTCTCAAGGTAATATAGCTAATTATTTGATGAAGATATCTCCATACGTCTTTAAAAAGGCAATCAAAGATAAAATAATCATAGAATTGGGCTTCAACAAACCAAAGTACCATCTGTCATCAGTTAAGGAAGTATCAGCTGGAAGGATGGGAAAAACAACTATATTTTAAAACTCAGCAGAACTACTATACAATGCGATAGCTTTCAGTGTGTTCACTCAATACTATTACATTCTATCAAATGACAAATCCATCTAATTCTAAAGACTAAAATTGCAGTTTAAAATGTTTAAAATAATTTTGCTCCTTTGAAAATTACTCTTGATGCTAGGCAATTACTTTCAAATTAAAAGTTCCTTCAGACTTTAGAATTGTCACACATTAGTAGGGATTTAAAGCAAAGATATACCTTACAGTAAGCAACAATAACAAAGAAGGAGGAAAAAACATTGACTAAATATAATTTAGAAATCAGTAGACAGATAATATTGCACAGAAGAATGAAGAGTACATAGATAATCTAAATCTAGGGACATCTGGGTTTTAATTACACTTTTTCACCAAGGATTCCAAAGATGGCATTTTGAAGCCATGTATTCTTTTCCTGTCCTCCAGGACACAAGAATGCAATTACTAATGGGAAAATAAAGACAGACTTTCTTTTACTCATTTTGAAAAAAGAAAAAAATGCTCTCTCTAGTCTGCATAAACTGGCTGAAGTTTTGATCTGATGTGACAATTCCTCTAAATATGGCTCCAGATCTGCCCTTAGAATCATATAATACTGTGAGTAACAACACAGGTCAGAACGGCTCTCGGTCATATTCCTGGCTCAACTACTCAATAGCAGAGTGACTTTAAGCAAGTTCTGAGTCTTATTTTCCTAACCCGTACAAGCAGTTATTATTACCCTATGGGCTGCTGTGTGGATCAACTTACATAATGAACTCAAAGTTCCTACAACATGGGTGTACCAGGTCACTCTGGTTAACCACAGCTCCTTGTGAAGCAGTGATTCATACTTTCCAGCATGTATCACATGCTGCAATCAAACTGGAATCCATAACTATTCCCTAAACACGCCCTGATAATTTCTGCTTTGATTCATGCTACTTCTACAAATGATGCCTTTTTCCACCATAACTGCCTACCAAAATCTTATCCTTCTTTCAATACTTTTGCAAATGCTACTTCCTTTATGAAGCATTTTTCCCAATTCTCCTCTGTTATTAGGACTCGTTCATTCTGGAACTCTGTTCTTCCATCATACTTATATCTGGCCTTAGAGTTATAATGCCCTTGTCATATCTTTCTCTTTCTTTAGATTCTAAGTTCCCAAAAATAATGTAAACTTCTTCAATATTTACCAAAAACTACCAATTGAATTGAATGTTTGAGTGGAGAATATATGCATTTTCAGAGATATATACAAACAGGTAGAGATCTGGAAAACTGTTTCAGCTCCCAATGTCCTCCCTCAATATGGACTAAATTCCACTGAACTTGATAGCTATGTCAGTCACTACATTTTCGAACTGCATTTCCTAGTGGGGCTGTTATAATTTGTGTCCATTTTTTTTTCATTAATTTACATGTATTTGTGAAGTAGGTTTCAAGAAAGGGATTGAAATAAACACATTTTTATTCTGCCACCATTTTACAAAAAAACCTGCCTCATTTCCGAATAAATAAATACAGCCTACATATAATGTATATTAACTCAAATATTTCAATTCTCTCATTTAAGTATGCGAGTATTTCTATTTAAAGTTCTTTGATTCTAAAACTAAGAGTAACTGGACAACCTGTCAGTTCCCTGTAATTTCCTTTTGCACCTTCACACACTGTCAGCAATACAACCACAGTTAATTAAAATATGTACGTGGAACATGTAAAATAGCATCAAATATGAAATATGTAAAAGTTGAAAACACTAAAAGAAGCCAAAACTAAAAATGATTCTCCTTAACACATTAAAAACAGTACTATGTCTGAATAGAAAAAGAAAAGCCAATGGTAATCACTAAAGTTATTCTCCTGTAACAATGTTAACCTATATAATTTGATTTGAGTAAGAAGTTTACAGAATGTTAGTCTGATATAACAAACCAATTAGAAGAAGCATAAGCTTTATCTTTCACTATCATTCTGTTTTTTGGTGAAGGAGCTTTGAGCAGTAAATAATTTACTATCAAAAGCAGCAAACTCTGCTAAAGTTAAAATTACAATCTTATGAGTGCATGTGCATTAGGGATCATGTTAAAACCATCAACCTCATTTCAGTAGATGTCTTATCTCACATAAAGTATGCTGCTAGACATAAAGCATCAGTGGTTTACCTCTAAATGATCCAGTCCCTCCAGGAAACTGGGTGTAGTTTTAATAAAATTGAACTCATAAGTTTTTATTACATTTATAATGAATGCTTTTCAGTTTTATAGGCTCTTTGAAGGAGCAATTTAGTTTCTCTATTAAAACATGACTTTATATCCTTCACAACTCTCAGGTTTCAATTTTATGTTGCTACCACTCTCAATATAAATGAAGATATTGAAGTTTTAATAAAGGTATAGAGTTATTTTTATTGTACATATGAAATGTGAGTTTACAAAATTACAGGGAAAAGTACAGCATATTAAAATTTCTTTCTATTCTTACTTTTCTGTATCCTTTCTGCCACACAAAACTAACCAAAGGTGATATAACATATTTAGGTATTAATAAAGCAGGATTCATGATATTGTCTTTTCTTAGAATAAAGCATAATCTAATCTTTCAAAAATGTCTTATTAGCACAGTCGAAAGTGTAATACTGTTTAATTTAACTTGTTGGATCTTTAATCAATCTCTTTATTACATCTAGTGGAACTATATAAAATTTTCAAACATATTGGCTTTATTTACACCATCAAAGTTTGCCCAACAGTAGGGATTATTACAAATGAACAACAGAACATTTTGTTTGTATTTTGTTTGTCTACTTTCCCAACTAAAGAACCTGGTATATACTGGGTTCTATTTTGGAAGCTTACATTTAAAAATTGAGGAAGGTATTATTTCTGCCCGTGAAGAACTCACTATCTGCTGGAAAAAAAAGAAACAGACACATATACCATTATAATACACTGTTATATGGCTGTAATAAATAATAGACATAATAAATATCTATATCCATAATAGATAATTTAGAGCAATAATGGGACCACTGAGGAAAAGCAATCAACTCTGCCCTGGCAGAGAAACAGTTCATGGAGATTTCACCTAGAACTTGAGGAATAAAAGGAATTCCACAAACAGATAAAAGACAAAAAGGCATTACAAACAATAGGAAGAACCCATTAACATAACTGCCAATAGTATTTAGTACTCCTGCAAGAACTAATATTGTCATTGTTGCTTATTTTATTCAATAACAATTTGAACAAAATTATAGTACTATAGTGAAAAACCAAAGAGCTTTTCCTTGTGGAAAATTCTTTTGGAAAATTCTTTTAGATTAAGTCTTCTATAAAGACAAAATCAGATCCTACTCATACAATCCTGATTCCCATCTTGGCTTGTTTGGATGTTTAGAAACAATTCTTATCTGTTCTAAGAAACACATATGAAAAAGCTTGTATCAAACACATATGCTTGGAGGGTCTGAAGACATCTTTTAAACACAAACAATTCATTAAATGGAAATGCAAAGCATGCCTACATCCTACTACTATATAATGAAAATCGATGTGTTATCACCAACCAACATTTAACGTATCAAATCCAAAAAAAAAAAAAACTGCGTCAATTTCAGGAATGTAATCTTTATACAGTTTTTTGAGAATTATAATATAACTGCTATGGTCTGAATGTTGGTGTCCACCCAAAATTCCTATGTTGAAACCTAATCCCCACTGCAATAGTATTAAGAGGTGGAGCCTCTGGGCACAGTGGCTCACACCTGTAGTCCCAACACTTTGGGAGGCTGAGGGGGGCAGACTGCTTGAGCCTAGGAGTTCAAGATCAGCCTGGGCAATCTGGTGAAAACTCATCTCTAAAAAAAATACAAAAAATTTGCTAGGCATGGTGGCATGTACCTATAGTCCCAGCTACTCAGTAAGTGAGGTGGGAAGATCGCTTGAGCCTGGGAGACAGGGGTTGCAGTGAGCTGAGATTGCGCCACTGCACTCCAGCCTTGGCAACAGAGCAAGACCCTGTCTCAAAAAAAAAAAAAGGAAAAAAAAAGAGAGATGAGGTTTCTAAGAGCTGATTAGGTTGTGAGGGCTCCGCCCTCATGAATGAGATTAGTGCCCTTATAAAAGAGGCTAAAGAGCTTGTTTGCCCCTTCCATCATGTGGGAACACAGCAAGAAAACACTGGCTATGTGGAATAAGCCCAAACCAGAAACTGAATATACTGGCATCTTGATCTTGGACTTCCCAGTCTCCAGAACTGTGAGAAATAAAGTTCTGTTGTTTTTAAGCTACCCAGTGCTTGTTAAAGCAGCCCAAATAGATATTAACCAAGCCACATGCAAAACTAGACATTAATTTCAAAGCCCATCTTTTGAAAAGTAGCTTCTCCATTTGACTAAACAGGTTCCTAGTGTTGTAATAAATAACATCATTTGACCCATCATTCAAAGCGTAATTGTCACTTGAGAGACAATTAAAAGTTAAATGAAGAATTTCTGTTTCCTTTGATATCAGGTTATAAATTTCCATGACACCCACTCTTGGCAGAAAAAGTCAGTGTAATTAAAATCCATTAATGGAACTTAAATTTGTCTGGAAAAGGAAGCTGTTAACTGGAGTGCTGGCCCCTAAGTCCACCATGCTAACAATTCTCTGATAACAAGTTTCAAGAATCAAAAATAACTGTACTCACGCACTCATAGCTTCCTGTCATGTAGAATTCATTGTTATGGAAGTGTCTTCTTTCTCCCATGGAGGCCTATCATTTAAACTGATCTACTCCAAATAAACCCAACGGGGCAAAGATGAGTGTCCTCACAGTTAGTTTCACTCGTGAACCCAGCCAGCAATTCAAGTGCCTCCACTTTGTTCTAGGTTGCTGCACTCTAATGATCGACAGTACAGAGGATATGTAGAATTGACTCTTCACAGAGACTGGCTAAAACAGTGCTAAAATATAACATCAAAGGAAAATATTATCCAAGCAAAAAAGGAGTTTGGGGAAATGAACTACTTCTCTTTAGAAATGAGATAAAGAAATAATAAGCAACTTTACACTATGAACTCTATCTAGTTGACCCAATAATGATTGATTAGTAGAGTAGAAACAGAGATGAGTGTGAAGGGGATGTTAGGAATTTGTAGAGACCTAGCCTCTTGAAATCCATTTTGGAAAATGATGGACAGAAACAATCAAGCAAATAAAGAAATCCATAGGTGACCACCATATTGAGAGACCAAGTTTAATATAGATGGCTTGAGTATTGATCTCTTGCCCTAAACTATAAACATTAATGGTTATGGGGAAGTAATCTACCCTCTGTAAATAGGCCATTGGCCATCCAAAAATGAGAAGTGACTATTACAACCTCCCAAACTAGTACTATCTATTCAGACACAGATGCAAGTAAAAAGAAGAAGGGTGATATTCAAAGGGATGATAGTTCATTTGAGATGAATTAATTCTTGAAACAAATGCTAACATAAAAAGAAGTCAGTCACCTTAATAGGCAAGACGGTTTTTTTTCTTTTACCATATTCATTCAATAAACATTTATTGAGGGCATCCTATATACCAGGTGCTGATCTTGGCACTGGGATACAGCAAAAAACAAAACAGATACCAGTCCCTGTTCTCATGGAGTTTTTATTCTAATGAAGGAAACAAACAGAAAAAAAAATCAAGAAAAATATATAGTATGTCAGATGGCAACAAGCGTTTTGAAGAAAATGAAGGCAAGATAGATACAGATTATTGGGGAAGGTGTTACTTTAAATAAGGCAGTCAGAAAATATAAGGCATAGGTTTTTAAAACAATAAAAAAGAAATAATGTTTGGGAAAGAGTAGCCTAGGGTAATATTACATTATTATACTGGTTCTTTTTTTTTTTTTTTTTCAATTAAAACTGAAGGACCAAAGAAACCCAAGGAATTAGATTCATGATGCTACTTGTTCTGCTTCTATCACCATCAAACATTAGGTAAAATAATTCTTCTTTGCCTTCACCTTGTCCATTTTCTGGAGGAAGGGACATAGGTTTGATACAACAAATCAAAAAAACAAAAAAGATCCTCGGGGTATTTATGCAGTATAATAAAGAGCAAAGCAATGTAATTCCAAAAAGATAGCTCTCAAATATTTGAAAAAAAATCACTAAATCCTAAAACTTCTCTTGGAAACAATTTCCATGTCTCAAGACCATTACATTGGTTACCCTTGTAAGAATTTTCTTAGGAATAGTTTAAAATGGTTACTTTGATAATACAAAAGATCTCACACTATAGAACTGCTGAATGGACTCACAAATCACTTATACTTTTAAAGTCTAACCATCCCAATGTACACTCAGAAAGGAAATAAATCTGACATTCAAAAAATATTCTTTTACCTTTTATAGTATCTACATTTTAAAATATTATTCTAAAATAATATCATTCCTCTAGTGGATGTGAAATTATCTTGTTCTGTCCAACAATGTTTCAACGACTGAGACAAATCCTGCTGTGATTAGTTTTGAAAATACTTTCACAAGCCCACATCGCTCACTGATGCAAATGTCTCATGAGAGGCATCTACCTTTAAAATGCAATTTGGGATCTGCTTCTGTTAAAAGTAAATTACAATATGAACTACAAGGGCATAAAACAACAACAAAAAAATCTCATTTTAGTTTATAATAAAACCTAGAGCATATCATCACCTCTGCAAGACAACATATATGAAAAAATATCTGATTAAAATTTAATATGCTGTACAGTTTTCCAAGCATACTAAGTATTAAATAATGCCAGTTGATCTATATTATGTGTATTAGCACATAAGCATAAAGTAGCTATATATGATATTATAATGATCTACCAGCTCTCTTTTCCCATAAAAATTCTGTACTATACTTTGTGATTTTGAATAAAAATAAATTTTTAAAAAAATAAAACTTCTTGGCTACCACCTATATACTTGAGGTACTTTCACATTTAAATAACATGTTGAGTACTTTCATATAAGAAATGATTTAATCTTTACAAGAGCTTATGTTTTGCTATCCCCCATTTAAAGATAAAGAAGCTAAGCCTTAGAGAAGTTAACTGACCTACTGAAGATCACAGAGTAAGTGTCTACAATTCAAACTGCTTTTATTGATGTAGTCATTACTTAAACATTGTTGGGAGTATATTGGGATGTAAAGTGTGACAATATAGTAATCAGAATGAATTCTTTTTCATCAATATATCAAACTTCATACACTATCTTAGTCCATTCCTCCTGCTATAACAAAATATCAGACTGGGTAATTTATAAGGAACAGAAATTTACTTCTTACAGTTCTGGAGGCTGAGAAGTCCAAGACCAAGGTGCCAGCATTCAGTGTCTGGTGAGGGCCTTCTTGCTGTATCCTCACATTGCAGGAGGGGCAAAAAGTACACAAGGGACAACACTGTGTCTTCACATGGCAGAGGTGGAAAGCCAAAAACAAAACAAAACAGGCCTAAGACCCTCCTTTCCACCTCTTTTATAAGGTCACTAATCCCATTCATGAGAGCTCTAGCCTTATGACTTAATCACTTCCTAAAGGCTCCACCTCTTAATACTATCACATTGGTGATTAAGTTTCAACATATGAATTCTGGGGGACATATTCAGCCCATCACATACATCAATAAGTGAAGCCCTTCACAGTGTTTTTACTTGGTTTGTTGTGTATTTCTTTCAAGGAAATTATCACTGCTACAGTTGTCCAAAGAACTTCTCTATGGAGATTGTCACAGAGCCAATTTCCTAACTCCTCAGGAAAATCAGTTCCATTGAACGTCACAGGACCTTATACAGATTAAAGGTCTCTTGCTAACCAAATATATATTTTTCTCCCTCCTTCCAACTTTACCTCTTTGAATTTTTGAATTCAAGAATTAAATTTGTAAACTATCCATATCAGTAAAAAAAAACATTAAATAAAAATTAATAATAACAAAAAATATAGGAGATTTACACACTTAAAAAAAAGATTAAATTATGAACTATAGGCCATGCCATCTTGCTCCCATTCTGCTCTCTCCCAGTTGCTGCTCTAGAGCTGAGTCTAATCCTATACTGAGTTCCACAGAGGAGCCCATGGGAACAAGCTGAGGCTGTTGATGAGGGGGGCCTTATTTGATTCATATCAGGAGTCAGACTAGCTGGGGCGAGTTCATTTGTGACCTGCTTGCATTAAGTGCCAATACATAATAACATAGAAGAAACTGGCTGGAAGCCTTTATGCATCATCTACAAGTACAATCACTTTAAGTAGAGGACCGCCTGCACAGCTCCAAACCCAAGTGCACACAATTAAAACGTGCTACAAAACACAGTGTTAAATCTCTAAAGACATCCCAATGATACCAAATCTGTTTTTCTAATGGCACACAAGACTGCTTTAAAACACCTCAAACCCTATCTTATTCTTACACAGCTGTGATTTTAAAGAATCTATAACCTCCTTCAGATCTCACTATTAGTAAAGACCAGAGGTTTTTCATTACGTCTCCCTTAGAACACTAGATAGTGCTTGCTTTAACTTAAGCTTATTTCCTCTCCATCCACCCAGAGGAAACAAACAAAAACATGTTTCTTTTAATATCCCTTTATACCAGTAAGTCCCCTTTAGCTTTCCAGCACTAAGATACATTAAGTCCAGAATTGCTAAGCAATTTTCAAGCCTTTCAATTAGTTCCCCCAAATCAGCATCTCGAACTACATTTCAAGTCTACATTTATATGCATTTTGGTGTATAGCGACCGAGTAAGTGACTGTGCTCTTCAGATTTTTTTTTAATTCTTAGTTTTTGTGGGTACATAGTAGCTGTACACATTTATGGGGTACATGAGATATTTTGATAAAGACATACAATATACAATGTATCAAAATAATAACATAAGGATAAATGGAATTACCTCAAGCATTTATCATTTATGTTATAAACAATCCAATTATACTCTTTCAGTTATTTTAAATGTACAGTTGAATTATTATTAACTACAGTCACTCTATTGTGCTATCAACAAGTAGATCTTATTCATTCTTTCTTAAGATTTTTAAAGTGAGAATATATACTTAGAAGCTTATTTTCATCTCCCAAGCAAGAGAACAATAAAACCAAACAGAACAAAACTAATAACAAACAATAAGCCTCATCAGGGGAGATGATTTTCCTTAGGTGTTACTCTTAGGCTCCAGATGAGCACACCCAGCATACATTTCAAATAAGTGGATAAAAAAAAGACCAGAAATTGCCATTTATCACGCTTCAACTCTTTCTGAATAAAAAATAAGTTTTACAAAAAACATTTTTAAGATTTTTAAGGAAATTTATTCAATGATTTAACCTTGGAAGTGTCTCTCCTTTTGGAATATATTGTACAATAGAAAATTTTCCAGAGTCTCCATTTTAAAATCAGCATTAAGATACTGCCCTGGTTAGAAATGTACTTAAAGCATCATTATCAATAGAATATACCTTGGAAAGGATACAGAGTGATAGCCAAGCACTTGACTTTTGGAAATAGGCTGTCTTGGTTAAGTAGCTCAGCCACTAATAATCTTTGTGCCTCAGTTTCCTCATAGAAACTAACCTATTTCATGGGGTCATGAGAAGATTTGAGATTATAGCCATAAAGCACTTACTGCAATTCCTAGAATAATGTAAGAGCTCAATTAATGTTAGTCATTATTATGCTGACTTCTAAGAAACTGCTTACTCTTTCATTCCCAGACTTCAAATACATCTTTAAAAATGTAAAAACCACCAATTAATTCCTAGCAAAGATAGAGGCTTGCTTTCTTTCTTTCTTTTTCGTTTTATTTTTGGTTTTTTTTTTTTTTTTTTTTTTTGAGACAGAATCTTGCTCTGTCATCAGGCTGGAGTGCAGTGGCACAATCCCTCACTGCAACCTCAGCCTTCCGGGTTCAAGCGATTCTACTGCCTCAGCCTCCTGAGTAGCTGGGACTACAGGTGCGCGCCGCCATGTCCAGCTAATTTTCATATTTTTAGTAGAGACAAGGTTTCACCATGTTGGCCAGGATAGTCTCAATCTCCTGATCTCGTGATCTGCCCTCCTCAGCCTCCCAAAGTGCTGGGATTACAGGCATGAGCCACCACACCCAGCTCAAAGATAGAGGTTTTCTATTCTAAAATATTAATTTTACTCTACCAGCCTTTTTGTTTGTCTACAAAATTAGCTTTTCTTTCTTTGTTACAAGAGCTACCAATAGTTAATCCATCCTCGCTGTACCCTATCATTATATTGCCCATCATTTCACACATTTGTCTTCCTCCTACTGCTCTCAGTTCAAAAGACCCCCTACCAAACAAACTATTATTAGCTTCCAGGATTCCACTTTTACTGTTTTTTCAGTCTTCAGTCAGGACCTAATGGACTCAAACAGAGTCTACTATACCGTTTATATATTGCTTGTATTACTCAGGTTTGGTTTTAAAGGCTCATAGCAAAATGTTCATTTTGACCATATCCAATATGTTGCTATTTTAACAACATTCTCTCAGGTGCATAATCATTCAAAAAAGAACAACAAAGTGAAAATTTCATTGATACAATTATTTTATTTACTATTTGTAATAGGCCAAGAAAAGGGAACGGTGAAAGCAAGAAGATTTTTACCCATAACATACAGAGCTTACTGTTGATTAGAATTCCAAAATCAAAGCAAGCCCTTAATTAATAGACCCTTTAAATTATTTTATTTTGTGGCTGAATTACCACACTGATACTTACTCATTTAATTATGCCCTGGCCCAGAGAACTGACATTTTTACTGGCAGGTTATGAAATGTTTGTTAAAGCTATGAAGTCTAATTATAAAAGCCTTCTTTCAGAGGTTCACAAAGGATGGAGAAGAACTAGAAAATTATCTCCCTGGTACCAAAGGAAGAGTTATAAAACAAATGAAAACAAATAGAGTGAAATCACATGAATGATACATGTGTAGGTAGTTTAGAGTACACACGGATGGGAGGCTGGGCATAGAATACACAGCAGAAAATGCAAGGATTGGTCTGGTGCAATCCTTTGGGTCTTTATAGAAAATGCTATGATTTACTTTTTTTTCTTCAATGGGGTTGGCTGTGACTGAAGTTTCATGATTGCTAATATGTTATCATTACTCAAATAATTAGACTTGGGAGCAATAGATTTTTAAAATTAGCTATCTCAAAGAAAGTGTCATTATAATCATCTAATTATCCTTTGAGGTAACTTATGTACACATGCTGTAAACGTTCAATATCTTACTCCCATGGGTGCTGCCTCCATGTTTATAGTTTAAAACTGATAGCATTATAAGAATCTGTGATGACAACTTAGAGAGCACAATTTGTTTATTTCTTCAGAAATCTGAAAGTAATGTTCAGAAAGTAAGAACTCACAGCCGAGCACGGTGGCTCACGCCTGTAATCCCAGCACTTTGGGAGGCTGAGGCGGGTGGATCACGATCACGAGGTCAGCAGATCAAGATCATTCTGGCTAACACAGTGAAACTCCCTCTCTAATAAAAATATAAAAAATTAGCCACGCATGGTGGCACGCACCTGTAGTTTCAGCTACTTGCGAGGCTGAGGCAGGAGAATCGCTTGAACCCAGGAGACGGAGGTTGCAGTGAGCTGAGATCATGCCACTGCACTCCAGCCTCGGCGACAGAGCGAGACTCCTTCTCAAAAAAAAAAAAAAAAAAAAGTAAAAACTCACTAATTACGGATTAAACTCAAAAATTAATATGTAGTTTCAGCTAAGGTGGTAAAACTCATATTTACATTTAATTTATTCACATATCAATACAGTATTTCTCTAGCCTAAATGCCACCAAACATTTAGCTATATTCAATCAACAAGATTGCTTAGCCAGATAAATAATTACCACCTTTATCAGAATAAGATGCCCTCCTATAATAATCAGCCTGTAGGAGCAAATGACTTTTTCAAAAACATAATTGTGTTAAATAAGTCTCTAAAGAGACTGATCACTCTAGCAACAACACAGAACAGTATTTGAACTATAAAATAACTCTTCTTTGTTACTCTTTATTACATATACAAGTATATCATCAAGAAACTGCCCAGAAAGAGGTGGGCAGGACACTTACAGGTGGGCCTGAAGGTTCGGGTCAGTAAAAGAAAAATGACTCAGATATTCTTGATCTCTAGGCCTCATCTTGCCCACTTCTAGGCCTACCTATGCTATATGCCTATTAGCCCTGTTCCAGTTCATGGGAGGGAAGTACAGTACTCTTCCTGTCCCCTCAGAGTCCAAGCAAGGTGTTCTTTGCCGAGAGTGAATAATCAATCTCTTCTCCGTGTCCTCTCCTTTTAGCTGAGCCTTTGCTTCAGAGTAGCTCCTTGTATCTCCTTTTGGTTGAGTAACTCCTTTCCAAATAGCTCCATTTGGTAGGAGACTTTGTTTTTTGCTTTCTTGACTCTCTGCTTCACCTTAATTAAAATTACCCCAGCCTCAGCAATTCCCTAGGAAGAGACCCCTGATAGGAAGATTAGTAGAGAATTAATTGATTAGTTGGCATATTTGTCTTAATAATTAGAAAGTTCATCTTTTTTAAAGAAGATCACACATCCAACATAATTATGTGGCTATCTTTATTCATCAGCTTAAAGTTTTCAAGCTGGGTTTATTTCACGTGTAAACTTACAATTGCAAAAACTAACAAAATTCCTCAAAACTACTCTTGCTATTTCTAGGTAGAAGTCTTTTCAACTAGGCAGATAGGTGCCTCATTATTCTTAGAAAACTCTAAGGACTACCTGCACTTATTTTATAACCCAATTAATGTATCTTCTCACTACCATTGGAAAGAAATATTTCTCTTTTCTTATGCTTGATATATTTTTAAGTATGATACATTTTGAAGTGTGTTTCCTTTTCTAGTTTTACTACCTGGTTAATAGAAAAAAAAATACTACATCTGCCTACACTTATATTCTTAATCATAAGACTGCCCTGAAGGGAAGGTATTCAAAAAAAACAAAAACTGCTCTTAATACCATGATATTAGTATATTGAAATAAGAACCATGATTAAGAAATATTAATATACAAAGAGTAATCTTTTTCTGAGAGTGAGAACTGGAACAAAATGAGAACAAAATTACTCAAAATGAGAAATAATACTTGAACTTGAAATTCTTGTGTTGTGTCCCCCAGCAGTGTAGATAAGGATAAGGCCTTTGGCTTTACCTGGACCTACCCTGGATAAAAGGGGAAAGAGAAATAAAATAAGAAATTTAATTTAAGCAAAAATGTTCTTCTTCTTCCTAAAAAATAATATATTCAGTCAGTTGCTCTATCTACCAAGTCATTTAATAAATATGTATTGAGTCAGTATATAAAACTTTGTGAAATCCCATAAAGTACAAGAAGAAATACAAGAAAACTATAAATACTTCAAGGAAATACTACAGAGAGTACTACAAGAGTTCAGAAGAAGGAAACCACATATGATTAGCCTGCATAGATGTGAATGCCTTTCAGATAGGCCCCAAAACATAAATTGGATTTTCACCAAAGGAGTTAACGTGGAGGGCATCCTGAATAGCTGGGAGGAAATGACTCTATGCGGAACTACAAAAGCAAAGTGTGGAAAGAAGAAAGCAATGGCTTATTCAGAGAAAGAGAGACGAAAATGAAGAAAAAAAAGGAAAGACATAAGAAAGACACTTTGAGTTTAAAGCATGCCGCAATTCAATGGGAGGAGTAGGAAATAGGCTGGAATCCGAATTGAACCAGGTCAAAACATTGTTGAATATCAAACCCAATCTATTTAATCTGTAAGAAACAAGGACCCTGAGAAAGATTCTGACCAAGGGTATGTGATCGGAAACTTGACAGATAAATGTAGTATACTTGTAAAGCCATACTGTGAAAAACTTGGGGATTATTTGAACACAAATTATCACCTGGAAAAAGACAGAAAACAAGGCAGAAGACTGTGCAAAGAGGTTGGAATATTCAAAACTTCAGATTAGAAGACGGAAATCCTGGCCGGGAGCAGTGGCTCACGCCTGTAATCCCAACACTTTGGGAGGCCGAGGCAGGCAGATCGAGACCATCCTGGCTAACACGGTGAAACCCCGTCTCTACTAAAAAAATACCAAAAAAATTAGCCGGGCATCGTGGCAGGCGCCTGTAGTCCCAGCTACTCCGGAGGCTGAGGCAGGAGAATGGCATGAACCCAGGAGGCGGAGCTTGCAGTGAGCCAAAATCGGGCCACTGCACTCCAGCCTGGGAGACAGAGCAAGACTCCGTCTCAAAAACAAAAAAAAGAAGATTGAAATCCTGTTTAATGTTGCTCTTCTCTTTCTATACTATAAACGAAACTAAGGTAATCATTAAATCATCCTAAGCATTTGTATTGCCATTTTGACAGTCTTCATCTTGATCTATTAAACCAGATCTCTCTGTCTCTCTCTCTGTCTCTATCTCTATCTCTCTCTCTCTCTCTTTCTCAACTTTCTGGGGGAATTATAAGGAAGAGTCAGGGAACCCTAATCTGGAAGATTTATTTTATAAAATAATAGTTCATAGATTTTCCTTTAAAGAGCAAACAACTTTTTCCTTCAAAGAGCAAACAATAATTACGGCCGGATGCAGTGCCTCACGCCTGTAATCCAAGCAGTTTGGAAAGCAGAGGCAGGTGGATTGCTAGAGTCCAGGAGTTCATGACCAGCCTAGGCAATGTGGCAAAAGCCTGTCTCTACAAAAAACACACAAAAAATAGCCAGGTGTGGTGGTGCACACCTGTGGTCCCAGATGTTCAGGAGGATGAAGTGACAGAATCACTTAGGCCAGGGAGGCGGAGGCTGCAGTGAGCTGAGATCACACCACTGCACTCCAGCCTAGGCAACAGAGTGGGACCCTGTCCACTACCACCCAAAAAAAAGGGGGGGTGGCAAACAATAATTATTGCCACCATCATAAAAATATAAATGTTTTCATATACATAATGGATGAATAAAATGATGTTAAAAACTCAATTTAAAAAATAATTGTTACACACAGTGGGGTCTGGTTGAAAAAGAAGAGCAATTCTAAAGGTAAAGGATAATAACATGTTAGATTTGTGGATTCCATGGGGCTTCTGCTATTTATGTCTGCCCACTGCATTTCCCATCTCCTGCTCTGTCCTTGTGTGGACTACCGGTCTCATTCCATGTGCTCTGGTAGAGTTCTCAATCCTCATGACGGCAGCCCATCTAGAGCAGAGGCTGCCATGACACCAGCTTCAGTGGAGGATGTGTTTCCAGGACTGCGCTCTCCACAGAGCTGGCAGGAGCTGGAAGCAGCCAGAAGCCCCGCCCTTCCAGGCACAGCTGCAGCCACCCAAGTGGCGGCTCCAAACCCAGGCATTTCTACACTCTTGGAGGCCAGGAAAGGCCCCCTGTCTCTGCAGGCTCAGAGGTGCCTGCTGTCACTGCCTCGCCTCTCCTTGCTCCCTGCACTTGCTCCGATCTTGGAGTGGAGTTGAGGCCTAGCCCGGGTGCTGTCACAATCAGGCTGAGTGTGCACACAATAAGGGCAGCACTGACATACCAGCACCCTGCTGCCTCAGCCCCCTCCAGGCTTTGGGTGCCAATGAGCATGGGAGGGAGGCTGAGTGGGGCCTGAAGGCAGCTTGGTGCTGGCCTGCAGGCACCCCACAGCACAAACAGCCTGGGTGCCATGAACTGTGGCAGGAGGCAGACGCGCTCCTGAGTGGAAGGGGGTGGGTCCCTAGCAAGGCCCCACCTTCAAGCTGGGGAGGGCCTGAAGCCCTCCAGGGGCCAGGCTGCTGGTCGTGCAAACCAGAATGGGAACTTGTGGTACCTTCCAGCCCTGCCTATGGCCACCCTTGGACAAACTGGTGCACACTTCCTCCCCTCTGAGGCCCACAAGAACCCCAGACTCACCCAGACTCAAGAAATCGATGGAACCACTAGCTGTAGGGAGGAGTTACCCATTCCAGGCTCTCCTCTCTGCTGAGAGCTAAAGAGATGACAGTATGACCAGTTGTGGAGAGGAGCTACCCACACCAGAGTCTCCTATCTAATGAGCGCTGAACATTTGAAGGAATGACCTGCCTGCGGAGAGCTATCCAACGTGGGTCTCCTCGGAGCTGTTCTGTTGCTCAATAAAGTTCCTCTTTGCCTTGTTCATGTGACAGTCCTACAAATGTACCCCCTGTATCTAAGATAAAAGGTGATTTAAAAAAATAAGACCCAAGTCACATGAATAGTGAAGAGCTATAAGTATTCATACATTTCTAATGTAAAATATATGATGGTTAACTTTGGTAAACTTGAGGGTAGAAATATATTTTTAATACACAATAAATCAATTAAATAGGCAGGTAATGATTTTATCTTGAAAAAAATTATAAAACTTCATCATCTGTTCCCTTTTACTATCCAGTCCCTTCCAAGGGTATCTTCTCTTGCTTATTTAGAAAATCTGTGTGAAACACTCAAAACAAATTTCATGTTTATATCTTACTAAAATTAGAGAAATAAAATCAATCACTTTGAGTCCTTCTATGCTTTAATTAAATGTATCCTCTTAGCAAATTTGTTTTTAATCCAGTGAATGAATGACAAAGTAATTTTTCTTCTTTTTTTTTTTTTTTTTTTTTTTTTTTGAGACAGGGTCTCTCACTCTGTCACCCAGGCTGGAGTGCAGTGGCATGATCTCTGCTCACTACAACCTCCGCCTCCTGGGTTCAAGTGATTCTCCTGCCTCGGCCTCCCTAGTAGCTGGAATTACAGGCACCTGCCACCAAATCTGTTTTTTTTTTTTTTTTTTTTTTTAATGTAGTAGAGACAGGGTTTCAACACGTTGGCCAGGCTGGTCTCAAACTTCTGACCTCAGGTGATCCACCTGCCTCAGCCTCCCAAAGTGCAGGGATTACAGGTGTGAGCCACCATGCCTGGCCAATTTTTTTTCAAATTTATGTTAAATCTCACCTAAATAAAATATATGATATTAAGAATGTTCAGCATCTTGTTCAACATTTAAACAAACTCTAGTACATACTGTGTAGATTATCCAGAGCTCCATAACCATGTAAAAAAAAAAAAGAGAGAGAGATAGAGATTAAAGTAGAACATTCAAAATACAGCCACAGGCCAGATCTGGCTCAAAGACTTGTTTTGTTTGACACATACCAGCGCAGCAAAATTGTTTTCTGATGAAATGCTTACATGTATAAATGAAAAACTTCACAGAAAAACTCCAAACTTAAGTCTCCTCCTTAGAAAGAAAAACAAAAATCAAAAACCAGTTCTTGCAAAACTATGCCCTCATTCCCACATATCACCGCAATCTACATACTTTAAACTGTGAATTCAGATACCAGTTTGCCATAGTACCCATCACTCCTTATATTTACCATTGGTTAAAAGTGTCAATGGTTGCAACCACACAGAGACATTATATATGTACAAGAAAAAAACAAAAACAAAAATAGAAGTACTCTTTCCTAAGCACTGTAAGTACTTTCCAGATCATCTACATGAGCCATTCTATTCATTGGTGAGCCTCCCATGCATACTTATGATCATACCCTTCTGCCTGAAGAAGTGTCTTACTCAGAATCAAAAAGTTGCTAAGTAACAGTATTACACTCGAATCTGAATCTGACCCAAAATCCAATGTTTTTCCAGCTTCTGCACAGTTAATACAGCTAGCAAATAAGTAACAATTATTTTTCCCAAACAAGAATCATGAAGATATTCTAGCCTATTTGAATATAGCTACTTTTATATTACAAGATCAAATTTACTACACATAACAGGCAAAACATGGAAGGCACCCATTTAGTCTAATTTCAAAAAAGATATACATTCTCTCCTTCCTGAATTTTGTCTTATTTCTTTCAATAATAAAAGAAAGGTTAGATACAAAAAGTATCAGATCACCCACAAATAGGCACTTAAAAAAGAAAAGTATGTCAATCATTGGGTAAGCTTTAGAAGGAAACTGTGGCAAAACATTAATTTTCTCCTCTTTCAGAAACTTCTTTGCTCAAATTCTACTTTCATTCTTTCTAATATAAACCTGAGGCTGGCTCTTACACAAAACTGTTGAAGTCATTCTTTTGTTCCTTCTTCATTTCTCATCTGTAAATGTGCTCATCAACTTGTCAACCAGGCTGTTAGAATTTGTATTTAATCTTCACATTCCCTCTCAGCTAAAATTTTCTCCCATTCTTTAATCATTTCCTATCTTGATTACTATAATTTCTCTTTTATTGTCCTCTTGAAATTCATACTTGTTAAGTCATGTATGGCCAGAATATATACTAAAATAACATTTCCTTCCAACTGTCTTTCTCTTCACAAATACATCTTCATTCTCTCTTGGAAAATTCCAATTTGCCTTTGGATCATTCCAGATACCTCACCGTAATTATCTTCTCTGTCACTAGAGTATGGAGTCACATACATCACCAATTTTGTCATCTCACTTTCCTTTGAGGAGGTCCCAAGTAGATATTCATTGAGATAGTCTCTTCTCAAGAGCACTGTTTTAAAATGTTCCCTGTCAAGCTGGATAGCAAGAAACAGATGAAGGATTAACTATATCAGTATTTTATTTCTTTCCTAGAAAAAGAGGGAATAGTTCAAGATACATTCCACATCTTAAACTTGCTTTGAATTTTAGTTTTGGAATATATTTTTATCACAAATTGTCAATTTATGACTGCATAAATTTATGGCGTACAAAGTGATGTTATGATTTATGAATACAATGTAGAATAATAAAGTCAAGCTTGTTAACACATCCATCACCTCAAATATTTCCATTGTTTTGTGGAGAGAACATCTGAAATTTATTCTCTTAGCAATTTTAAAATGTACAGTACTCTATTATTAATTATATTCACCACACTGTGCAATAGAACTAAAAAGAAATACCATATTCCTCCTGTCTACCTGAATTTTGTACCCTTAAAGTGGAATTTTCAAATAAATGGTTTCTCAGATTCTAACATTTTTGGCAAAAGATGAGACATCCAATTATATCATATGAGGCACTAACAAATGCAAATAGACTACCCATATAATCAAAAGAATAACATTTAAGGCAATAAGCCCTTCAACTTCAGAAGGCTTGGCTTTATGACTATATTCAGTCAATCACATAACCATTTTGAAGTCTTGCAGTGGATAAAATAACACCTTTGAAGGGTGGGGGAAAAGAAAAAGAGACATTTTATCAAATGCATGCAAGTGATTTTGCCCATATAAATACTTGAAATAAAACCCTAAATGGCACATTTTAATTTTCCCTTTGGAATTTTCTGGAAAAAAAATTGCCAGTGTAAATTCTTATCAAAGACATTCCTCATCTTCTGATCTCTCTCTCTCTCCCTCCGTCTCTCTCTCTCTCTCTCTCTCTCTCTCTCACACACACACACACACACACACACACACACACAATATGCAGTGGAGTTAAAATGTTCCTGGTTAGGAATATTTTTCTCTGTTCTGCAATCTGTAGTAATTCTTTATCTTAAAGCTAGCTCTCCTTTTGGTGTTAGAATGGTGGCCAGGAGCCTAGCAGAATAGAAGGAGAATCAATTCAAGAAACTCTCCCAGTGAGAATAAAGGAAGACCTGTCCAGGGAGGCACCAGCACTACTCCTAATATCAGTCCGCTTAAGTGGGTACCTGACCCTTTTCACATGAAACAAGAAGTGGTAAGAAAGATGGTGTTCACCTTAGACTAATAAAGCCCACTCATGGAGCTTGGATTAGGGTCAGCTTCTCCTGAAGCATTTAGCCTACAGCAGAGCAGAGTAGCTACATGAAGAAACTAGGATATACTGTAAGCAAAGGAATAAAGGGATATCAATGCTGAGTACAGCTAATAACGTCCGTTGAGTCAGAAAGAGAATTGTGACAGAATTATCCAATCTCCTTTACTTTATCTTTTATAAACAATAACAAAACTAGTATATTTTATATTCTGATTAGAAGCAAATTACAATAGTTTCAGGTAATCCTTTACCTCAAAATTATGATACTAAACAATAATCAATATGAATGAAATTCTAATACAAGGAAGAAAAACTGCCTGACATGAAATAACTATCAATCATCTTCCCTATATATTCTAGAAATCTTATTTTTAATATAAAAATTAAGTTTAGTATTTTTGGCAAGATTAGATCTCTACTATGAATTGAAAGTCTTCGGTATCTCTCTGGAGGTGGGTGTTAGAATCAACAGGAGCAGTATTTTCATGTTCTTCACTTTTCTTTTCAAAATAATGAGCTACGGAAAATGCTATTGCCTTTTTGTGCTTTCATAAGAAGTAAAAATCAAAGGATTCTATGATGGACAGAAAATTTGAATCCTAAGGAAAATAATAAAATCTTCTCTCTTTATTCACTCTTTCCCTATATATGAATTGTTTAGCTTAGCATTTATGGTCTTAGTAAACAAATAGCAAAATATAAACAAGTGTCCCAAGTATCTGCTCTGTTCTGAAGTTTTCTTATGCAAGACATCACCAGACCTGGTAAACCAAGGTTTTACAAGTCTTACCAATTTCTGTGCACTTCCTTTTAAACTTTTCAATTCTTATAAATGTCATATTTCTTATGAAAATTAATGTCTTCCTCCTGAAAGAGCTGCAAATAAAGAATGCATGTACCTATGCTATTATGTTGTATCGCCTACATTTAATAAAACACAAGTGGAAACTTTCACCATATTTTCAAAAGTTTTATCAGTTTTTTTTTTCCCATTACAATGTTAAAGAGAAATGCACCAATAAACCCCAGGCAACGTAAATAAAACGTTCCCCATATGATCTTAAAAGAAATCACAGAAATATCCAAGGCTATACACTCAGCTAGATCTAAAATATTTTCGTTAACCTAAAGACAGTTGTGAAAGTCTCGAGATGGGAGAACTCCAATTAACCTAGTTCATTACCAATAAGGCTTTAATTCAGTCAGGTACTAAAATAGTTGTTTTTTCTGATTAATTATTTCAGGCTGACCAGTTATAGGCCAGGGCTACGTACATCAATGTCACTCACTTGGTTAGAAATGACATCAGTGGAAATTACTTTCCCCATGAACAGTTCTGATATCTGAGCCCCTGACTACAGCCAGTTATTACAAAAGTATAATAAATCTTGAAAATCAAGGGCCTGCCTCTTCTAATACAAAATAATAAATACTTTTCTTAAAATCCCAGAGTTCTGCTTAAAATATGAAATAACAAATACATCCACAACTTAGAATATCTATACAAGATCAAAATTCATCTATGTTGAGCCACTAAAACTTGTGAAGGAGTGAAAACAGGGCATGAAATAGAGGTATTAAGCTAGAAAGAAAAAGACTACGTGGCTAACAAAATCAACTATTGATGTATGTTATACTATTTGGGTTTAGCTGTTTAGCTGTTAACCATCACAAGTTATTTTTACATGGAAATTTCTAACTTACTCTACTTTGAAATGCCAAATTACTAAAAAATTTTAAAAGCCTCTTTTTGAAATCTAGAATAATGACCCAAATACAGTAAAGTCATAACTTTTTTTCTTTGTTTGAGGCACTATTTCTAAAAGTGTAATCCTAAGACCACCTGTGATGATCAATATGCTGATGTTCAGACTGTTCCCAAGACCTAATAAACCAGAATCTCTGGAAATAAGGCCTAGGACCCTAAATTTTAAACAAATAATGCAGGTATTAATATTTCTGCATTGGTTTGAGCTATTGTATTTGCCAGTGGATAAATTTTAAGTAAACAGGGCTAGCTAAACATAAAAATTAGCTCTAATGATATCATAAAATTAATTCACATATTATTCAAATTAAGTGAGTCTCTATTTTTGCTTACATATTTTATTATGATTTCTTAGGATGCATTATCTTATGAAATAATGAAATCACATCTAATTTAATATGGCTGTCTTTTTGCCTTAGCTGTCAGTATTCTATGATCTCAAATCACTGTTTGGTTGAATCAAATTCAACTGCAATAATTAAACAGTACCACTAATTTTTTTGGTCTATAAAACAAGAAATTAATCATGTTTTTTTACCTTTGTTAACCTGTTTCTATTGTGTTTAATCTGAAAAGCTTTTTCAATAAATTAATGGAAGTAAATGAGGTATCCATAAGCAAGAAAGTGATCTTAGAGTAGTGATAGAATGATTCAAGCAATGGGAATATTATTTTAACTTCTTTTATCAGAAGCCAATAAGTAGCTAGTGGAAAAAGAAATTTCACAAAATAAATTTGGAACCTAATTCTCAGACTACGAATTTATGCTCACACTATTTCTCCAAGCTCCACTATAGAATTATGTCACTTATCTACTAGGTTAGTGCAAAAGTAATTGCAATGTTTGCCATTTGAAACCTAATATTACATTTTTCCAGGTACTGTTAAAGAACAAACCACTTACCACACCCTATTCCCACCATATTAAAACAGCATAGGCTCACAAAGGAAAAAAATGAAATCAGTTTCAAAGTCAGAGCTGAGCTTCTACTTATAATTCCTTTACATGTATTATAAAGTAAAATATTTTATAGGTATTATACGATATAAAAGATGAAGAATAAAACATTGTTTGGTTACCAGACAAAAAAATAAATCCTATAAAGCAAGTTCAGATTTTAAAACAAATCAGATGGTGTTTCTGAATATGTAAAATAAATTTCTTTAAAAGATTTGGAGGCATAAAAGCTAGATTTAATTGCAGATTTAAAAGATGGTTTAATATCAGAAAATTTATTATATTAAATGCAAGAAAAATAATTGTTAAATTAAATATTCATTTGAGATAAAAAGTTTTCTGTATTACTCAGGCTTCTCCAGAGAAACATGATGGATGGATGGATGGATGGATGGATGGATGGATGGATGGATGGATACAGAGGGAGAGAGAGAGAAGACAGACAGAGACTGATAGATATACACACACATATATTTACTGTAAGGTATAGGCTCAAGTGATCATGGAAGTAAAGTCCCATAATTTTCCAACTGAAAGCTGGAGCCTCAGGAAAGACAGTGATGTAGTCTGAAGACCTGAGAACCAGAGAGCCAATGGTATAGATTCCAGTATGAGTCTGAAGGCCTGAGAACCAGGGGAACCGAGGGCAAGAGATGAGTGCTACAGTTCAACGGTTAGGCAGAGAATGAACTCAGCTTTCCTCCATCTTTTTGTTCTATTCAGGCCCTCAATAGATTGGATGATGTCCACCCACATTGGAAAGGGCCATTTGCTTACTGAGTTCACCATTTTAAACGCTAATCTCTTCGAGAAACACCTTCACAGAAACAACCTAAAATAATGTTTAACCAGATATCTGAGCATCCTGTTGCCTAGTCAAGTTGACACATAAAATTAACCACCACACCTTCACAAACAAGGAGTAAAGGAAGCATCTCTACCCAAATACAGAGTAATGTAGAGTATCTCTTAAGAGCTTACAGCATATATCACAAACTAAAATTTTAGTCACATTACCATTAACATAAAAACAAAAAGATATATATCTATTCCGCTGCTTCTCTCATACTGCTCTAGAGATAATAGTCAATATCACAAGACTACTTGAAAAATTTTAAAAATATGTATTAGAAAGCATTACCCATATCTGTACGTTATGACTGCCAAAATAGAAAATTTTAATGGATTCTGTAGCAAATTATTAGAAGATTTCAAAAGTAGCTTGTTTTAAGACTAGCAAACAAAAACTACAGACTTCCTATAGACAAGTAACAAGCATTTCAATACTGAAACAGAGAGAGAGAGAGCAAGAGAGAGAGAGATAACGTGAGCCTATACACACTAGCAACAATAAAAACATACGGTACACAGGGGAAAATGTGTATAATCACATTACGGGGAAAATTATAAAACCTTAGCTCTATGTAATGAAAAGTAATTCCATGTTCACATGTGGGAAAAAAATATAAATACAGCAAATTTGTGGCAATTAATAGATCAATTTGAAGTCATTCCATAGAGTTTTTCATAGAAGTTGATAGTGTAATCTTGAAATTCATATATAAGGCCAAAGAGCCAAGAATAACAATGATAACTATGAAAAGATAGTACAAGGTAGAAAAACGTCTCCTGCCAGATACTGAAACTATCATTATTAGAATAGCATAGCATTAGGCCAAAGACACGCAGCTAGACTAAAACGACAGAACAAAGAGCAGAGAAACAGATCCATGCCAGCATGGACATGAAATATCAAAGAGATGGCATCACAGTCAGCAGGGGGATGATGGGGGAAAAGTAAATCCCTACCCAAGACTAATTACAAAGTAAATGGGGATTTACTTTTTTCTTGTCTTCCCCCACCGATGTATAATGCCACCACTAATTCCTGATTATAATGCCACCTCAATTTCTGACAGGTAAGACCTAACTGTGAAAAGCAAGATGTGTAGATATATTAGAGGTATAATGCCGCCTCTAATTCCTGATCTGTAATCCTACCTCAATTCCTGATTGATTAGACCTAATGTGAAAAGTAAAATATAGAAAAATATATCTTTATAACACAAGAGTAAGAAAATTCCTAAACAAGAAAAATACCTATGCCTAACAAAACAAAAAAACTCTGCCACATAGAAATTAAAATTTTTGTACAAAAAAAACACATGAGCAAAATTAAGATAAGCCACAGACGAGATATTTTCAAGACTTATGACAAACAGATGATTATTATCCAGAATATAAAAGGACACCTACACATCAACAGTATTTTTTTTTTAAAGCTTAATGACCAAAAAGAAAAATGAGTAGGATAGAAACAAACATTTCACAGAGGGAAAATAGTCAATATGCATATGAAAAGATGTTCAGCCTCAGTAGTAATCAGGGAGATGTGCAATAAAACTTCAAGGAGATGATATTTGGATATATTAAAATTTACAATCGAACAATACCAAGTTTTATGAGGTGAGCTGAAAATGAAACATTCTTATATAAGAACGTCAGTGAGTAAGGAATGTATAAGTGTATAAAATAGCAAAACTACTTTTGAAAATAAGCTGACAATATTTAGTAAATTAAAGAAATGTATACCAAAGACCTGGCAATTCCACTTCTAGTTATATGCCCTAAAAAATCTGTTGTCCATGTGGATAGGGAAGTATACATAACAATGTCCTGATATCGGTACATATAGCAAGAATTGAAAAGAACCTACACAGCCATCAATAGTACAACAGATACATGAATTATGGCATACTCACTAAAAAATACTACACATTGTATACCTACATCAGAGTTACATATATAAATATGAATGATCTCAAAAGCAACATTGAAGAAAAAAACTGTTGCAAAATGACATAGAATGATACCAAATTTTATACACTATTAAAACATGAAAAACACTATATATATTTATCAATACAAATATATGTATCAAAATATAAAAATATGCATTATGGAAAAATGATCAGTAAATTCAGAATGATAATTAACTCTTGGTAGTGATGGACACAGCCTCACGACAAGGTATACAGTAAGTTTTAATTATTTTTGTAATATTTTTTCTTTAAGAAAGGCAGAGCTAGAAAAATGTTAAAATACGATAAAACTGGATGCTGCAAACATGGATATATGTTATTATTCTCTATCATTTGCAGTGTTTTAAAAATATTTTCTAACAAATTAAGAAAAATTATTTTTTAAAGTCTAATTAAGCACAATGAACTCTAGGAAGTGTTCAATCCTCTTGGCCAGAAAGGAATACCACAAAGAAATAAAATAATGTTTAATTAATTGTTATAATATGCAACCATCTTTGCTATTGTAAACTCTTCAAAACCCTTTTTCATTAATTCACACCACGTATGTCAGCCTTTTGTATTACTAATCCTAGCATATGATTATAGATTAGTCAGTCTACTTTGTAACATGCTTAATTACCCAGCAAATCTCCATTCTCTGTATTGTTTTGCCTTATATTGGCTATAGGGTATATTTAACTGTTTCCTGCAGTTCTTCTTGCAGCTGAAAATTTCATACCTGGGTTGGCTGATATTTATTAAGTTTAAAAGAAAGTAACCTTCATGGTTACAACAGAATTGTGAGCAGTATCAGGCCTTCGCTGAGACCATAGCTCCTATGTGTAGCTTCCATTTCTTCAGTTACACAATATTTTTATCTAAGTCAACAGCCTGTGCAGGCATCTTATGATATGAAATGATAAGAGAAACCAGCTACATAGACTAGGGAAAAAATATGGAATGCCTTTTAAATTGTTACAAGAAAAGAAAGAACACTATACACAAGAGGAAACTGAATATAGAAAACAGAGCATCTCAATTCTGTTCTGCCACTCACTGTGTGGCCTTAGACCTTAGGCAACCCACTTCCCCCTCTCTCAACCTGGGTTTACTCGTGGAGATAATGACACTGCCCTGCAAATCTCACAGGACTGGTGTGATGGCCAAAAGAGATGATGCATGAGGAAGTGCTTTGTGAACTGAAATGCATTTCAGAACCACAAGTGAGAATGTCATTATTCTGACCCTTTCAGAACTAAAGAGTATACTGGTAAAATGAATATACTAAAATTCTTTGAAACAAATAGATTAAGGAAAATTAACTTAATGGCCTCAGCAAATGATGGTTTGTACATGTGTGAGTCTATCTGTCACAGGAAAATTTCCATGAAAATATAAACACCTGCTAATGACATTTTAGAGAGGAACCCTGTTAAAAGTAGAAGTATCTAAGGAAGTTGAAGAAAGGTGTTTTAAATACCATCTTCCAAAATTACTCAAGTAGTAAACTAAATGATGATTGCAATTTGTGTGCAAAGACTAAGGTAGATACTTGGTGACAGAGGGTGACAAGATGCAGAATACTGTGTGTTGCTGTTTTCTTTAAAGCAGTGGCTCTTAAAGTGAACTCAATGGACTCCTGAGATCCATGAGAACCTTTCAGGAGTTCATGAGGGCAAAATTATTTTCATAATGATATTAAAATGTTATTTACCCTTTTTGATATGTTAATATTTTCACAGATGATATGAAAGCACTGGTGGGAGAACTGCTAGCAGCTTAGCATAAATCAAAGCCTTGGCACCAAACTTTACTGAGTCATTGTACTCTTCACTGCCATGCACTGTCATTAAAGCAAGCAAAGTCTGTTTTATTTAAGAATGTCTTCGATGAAGGAGTAAAAATCTTAGTTCCATTATATCTCAAATTAAATGTGTTTTATTATTCTGTGTGGTGAAATGGCAAATACACATAAAGCACTCACTGCAACTAGAGTACAATGGTTGTTTAAGGAACAGCACTCCTGGTTGTTTCCGTTGCAAGCTGAACTAGCCACTTTTTTCCACCAAACACTTTTTACTTAAAGGGACAACTGACAGATAAGCTATTATTATTTAGACTTGGATTTTTGGCAGACATTTTCACAAAAATGGACAAAGTTAATCTGTCACTTCAAGGAAAACAACTGACAGTATTCATTACCAATGATAACATTAAAGCTTTCAAGCAAAAAGTAGAAGTTTGAAAAACTTACATCTGTCACTGTGACAGTTATAAGAAAGCCTTATATTGCCACTGTAAGAGCTTACTAATATCATGACTTTTCTGATGCAGCAGTAGTAATATTAATAAATGGGATTTGTTTATGCTGTATAATAAAATGCATAAACATTTGGAAGATATATAACCCAATGAATCTATATTTTCCAAATGACCAATACATGCATGGGTAAAAGATTTATTCAAGGTGCAAGATAAACCAATGGATTTTGGAGTGAGAAAATACAAAAAGTTCATTGATATGGCATCAGATTCCACACTGTAAATAGTCTATAGGAAAGTACTACTTATTGAGTTTTGGTATAATATCAATATAATATCAAAGAAGAATGTCACAATTATCCATCAAAAGTGCTATAAAATACTCATCCCTTTTCCAGTCAAAATGGTGAGATAGAGCCAAAAAAAAAAAAAAAAAAGAATGGGTGGTTAAGTGGAGTGATGGAGTGCAAAGTAAATTATCCAATTCCATCACATGGTTCCTTAAGAAGACTTGTGCACATTACAATACATATTCTGACTTGCATGTTGTTTCAGTGTGATTTTGCTTCCAAAAGATAAGACTTGTTAAGTGTTCTTATGCCCTCAGGCTACTATAGTCACTTTATATATCCCCCTAACTGGGGATAAGCATCTCCCCTCCTGTACCCCTTTATCATCCTTAGGCAGTGGCTGGTAGGGATGGAAGTATGAACATCTACCTCATTTAATTTGGGTTTGAACAGACAAATAATTCATACTCCAGAGCTCTCATGAAGGTTTAGACTAAAGCTATCCTTGAAAAGACTTTGCCTAAAATCATACCTCTTCTTCCCCATTCCCTTTTTTTCCCATTCTGTCACTCCCTAATTGATTACTCCTTTTTTTGTTTTGTTTTGTTTTCTGAGACAGGGTCTTGCTCTGTTACCGAGGCTGAAGTATGGCACAATCACGGCTCACTGCAGTCTCGACCTCCCAGATTCAACCAATCCTCCTTTCTCAGCCTCCTCGGTAGCTTGGACTACAGCCATGTGCCACCATGCCCAGCTACATTTTATTTTACTATTTTATTTTTTTATTTTACAGACAAGGTCTCACTATGTTGCCCACGCTGGTCTTGAACTTCTGGCTCAAGCGATCCTCCTGCCTCAGCCTCCCAAAGTACCAGGATTACAGATGTGAGCCACCATGCCTGGCTGTTTCTCACTTTCTTAATAAATTACTTGCAAACAAATCCTCATCTCAATGTCTGCTTCTGGGGAATTAAACCTCTGAGAGCTAGCAACAGGTCATTCTACTGCTTGATCATTGCGCTCTTTGATTTTCTGCTAAATGATGATCAATTCAACTACCACAGTAATGGGGGAGACAATGTAAAATTTCTCTTTATAGCAACATAATTATAGCTAATTGTGAAGTGAAATAAGAAATAAATTTTAACTCTGGCAACAATAACAACAAAAACAAAGTGTTGATTATGATCTTTGATTCATTTCCCCAAAAAGGGCATTATCAGGTACAGTATCTTTGAGTCTACAATAATTGTAACATGCTTTTTGGTAAACTGACTAGAAGGAAATGGAAGTAATATAGCAATAATACGAAGGGACAGAATGGAGAGAGCTACATAGAAAATACATGAGCAAATTTATTGTTCAAGATAATAATCAGTGGAGAAGACAAGACTGGAAATGCCAGTAAAAAGGGGAAGTGATTGGTGGATTCATATCCCTGATGAAATAGGAGGAAACAAGATAAAGAAAGAAGGCAATGGATAAGAGAAAGAATGAAAACAAATAAATTGCTCAGGTGAATAAGAAGGGGTGGGTTGAAGCTGCGTAAGGGGCTTTCAATGGTTCCAGATATCATTCTCTGGCATTGGTAGCACAGAATGCTGCACTTGCCACACACCACCACCTGGTTTCACCTTGCAAACAGCCATACAGTGCTCCATTTACACCCACACACATTTCTCACACTATTCTGCATTCTTCCATTACCACTACTTTTTTATCTCCTTCTCCATTTTCTATATTTCATTTGCTACCCGAAGTATTACTTTAAGAGATTCCCAAACTTCTTCTTCCAATCAATACATGTTCCCAGAAATCAATAAGGAAAGATGGAAGTAGAATATATTATAGGATATCTCCCTGTTTTCTTTTAAGCTTCGACTATAAGGATTAGTTATTTTTACAGCACCCAAGAGAAAACACTAGTCACAGGAAGCAGTTCCATATGAAACCAGATCTATCTAAAACTGCCTTTGCCAGTCCCAAAGGACAATGTTGAAAAGGAATCCCAAGAAATAAATGTGTCTACAAAATTCAGAGCCTATAAAGACAAAAACTGAGGAGAAACACTTAATAAAGCTACTCCCATACTCTGCATAAGCCAGAAATAAACCACTCCTAATATGGCAACCACACAATAAACATCTAATGCTCAGAATGTTTGTCAAAAGTATGTTGGTCAAATGTACTATCTTTCAACATTTAACATTTTATCAATAAAGAATTCCTAGAAACAGAATTCTGGCATCTACAAAAAATATATATATCACATAGTAACCCATTTTAAAGTTAATCCAGAGTGGTATTTATAACATTTTGAGTAAATCAATACCTTGGAATGATATTTCAAAAACCACTTCTACTATTAATCTGTTGTCTCATTAGTTGTATTTGTTACAGAACCTAATATGACAAGTTTTGATTTCGACAGCATGTAGTGATTTCAGAACCGATTCCATTGAAACCTAGCCATAGGCCACAGAAATCTATCAGAAATAATGTCAGGATTGACTTCAGATGGGCCAACCAAGAATTCCCTCATTAAGAGATTATCTGCTGTTGAAATACGTTTATGTTCATGTTTAAAACAAACATTTCTGAAACACAAAATAATTCTACTCCTCTATATTCAAGAAAAGGTACTAACCACAAGACAATAGCATATAAATAAAAGCCACAAACCTGAAAGGCTGTCAAGGTGGGGACAGGAGCACTTGGAACACAGGCTGGAATACAACATGTGTCTGGCTCAAGTACTTAACTTGATAAAGTCAAGTCTATTTCTATCAATTTGTATTAGGAGATGAATAGGTTCTCATTAAAAAAAAATGAGACTCAAAAAGAAAAACTTTTATTAAAAAAAATCAAAGGTGTCAAATCTGGAAATACCTCCCAAAAGCCAGGAAACACTGAGTTCTAAGCACAAGAACCAAGACAGCTTCCTGATGGTCCTTGAGACCAGATGGCCAAGACCAGTACAGACCCACAGGTCCCATCTCTCAAGTGTGTGTTAGAAGTGCAAGAAGACTGGGGAACTAGTCTGCAGAAGTATCCATTCCGAGAAACTGACCATACATAAAGTTTGGTGAGTTTTGTATGAAATTTCCTCTATTGGGCAATGGCAGCATTTATGCCTCTGAAACTTTGTCAAAAATGCATAAATATTCTATAGTTATTTGCAGAAGAACTACATTTAAATATAGCATATCCTATGGCTATCCATCTTCTTGGAGTTAACAAAGGGTCCCCACCATCTTAGGTGAAAGGTATTTTACAATGTTATAAAAAAAAATTAATGGATATATGTAAAAACAAAGGTAAAATAATTTATACCTTTCAAAAATGACCAAGAAGTAACAGTTAAACATGGTGCAAAGAGGTAATTCAATAAACACTAGCAATGCGTGTGTGTGTGTGTGTGTGTGTGTGTGTGTGTGTGTGTGTATCAGCCCGAAACCTCAGAATTGCTAGTTTTTTTAACCACTTACTATTAATGTCATACTCAACCCGGATTTTACATACCAACAATTTACCAACACACTAACAGTTTACAAAACATCCAGTTCTACGCGGTTGCCTTTATTACAAAGTAACTTCTTTCCACACTGATGACAGATATAATCAAATAGAAACACAAATTAATTCTTAATATTTTTATAATACTTTTTTAAAACTACTGATTTAATAACCCTCAATTTCCCTTTGAAAGGAAATACCGAGAGTATTTAATGTATCCTGACCATGAAACAGAAACTTAGGATAGTAAGTGATACGTATGTATCCATTGATACAATCTGTATCATGATACATGATAAAAGTATGTGAAATGATTTTATCAGTTTCAGGTATGCAAATCACAATCAGGTGATCAAGGTAATTGCTTTTCCTTAGGGTTGAAATTATCCCTGGTTTCTGATAGGAAAAGTACTGTGGAATGTGCTAAAGTGGTTCCAAAGGTTGCCACACCAACTCACCCTACTCACATTCCCACCGTCTCCTTCCATCTTTCTAGGGTTGATTGTGTGGTTTAAGTGATTGTGTGGTTTAAGTGCTTAACTTACCATTGGGAGAAACCTCAACAATGGATAAAATTAGATTTAGTGAAGAATTTCCAGGACATTTGACTAAAAGAGAAAAGGAATTATCGTATATATTAAAATAATTCATATCATTAGTACACACCACACTTTTCCATTTCAGAGGCAAATGTTTGATAAAGTTCAATTAGAATCATTTTTTCACTTAGTTGGAAAATGATTCTAAACTCTGCCCAAATATGTGGGAATGTTACATTGGAGAAATGCTCAGAAAAAAGCCCAAGTGTAAAGAACGGAAGATTATGTAAGCTTTGGTAAAAATCTCTGTGTTACATTTTCTCAGCTCTTAAATGTAATTCCAAAAAAGACCCTGGACAGTGTGGTATGGGCTAGCATATGGTTTATTTTCAGCTTTATGGAACAACAGGGATTTGCAAGCTTTGATAAATTCCCAACTATAACCACAGAAGATCTCTTCGGATTTCACCAAATAGAAAACAAACAATAATGAGTTGCTGGGGTGACAGGGTCTTTATTTGTTATGATGGCATAGAAAAAGAAATGCGTGCCTAGGGCATTTGTTTTAATCATGAAAATGGGGAAGTTAGTGCTCAGCATTCTTCATTGCTGGGTCATTCTTACAGCCAATTTAATTAATGTGAAGAACAGCTTCTTGTCTTGTAAATAATTCATTTCTTCACTTCACAAGTATTTACTGAGGTCTGATACCAATTCAAACACTAGCAAGGTCTTCCATACTTTAGATCACACAGGAATTTGAGGAATAAAGAGATTCAAAAGGGAAGAAATGCAGAAAGAAGTGCAACAAGATGAAATACTTAGTTTACTCCTAATTTTAAGACAGTTACTATGTTCATAAAAGTGTTTTATGTGTAATTTCAAAAAAACTTTAAATAATCAAATCCCATAGTTTATCCTGAAAGAAAATAAACATGGGAAAATGTCAGCTTTGTCTGATAGAAAACTTTAGGCTTAGGTGGTGGTATACATTTATTTATTCATTCCACCAAATATTTTTCCACCAAATATTTATTGACTACCATACAGGTGGCAGGCTCAGTGCCAAGCTATGCAGATTTTAAACTGAAAGCTGCTCTCATGGAGCTTTCAGTTTACTGAGAGTGTATGAGAGCAAGAAACAGTAATCAAACACTAATGAGTGTGCAATTACAAACTGAGATATGATCTAAAGAAAGGAAGCACAGATATGGGAATATTTGTAACAAAGGTACATGTCTTAGGCTTAGGGTTACTGAGGAAGGTGGATGATGAAAAACTTCTTTGAAGAAGAAATGCTGGAATTGATAACTAATGAATGGGTGCAAATTAATGGGAAGGGAGTGACATCTGACAAAGGCAACAAAATGTACAGAAGCCCTATGATGTAGGTAAATAAGTAGTGGCTGTGTGTGTGTGTGTGTGTGTGTGTGTGTGTACATATAAACAAAAAGAAAGCTTTTATAATACTGAAACCAATAAATTTTCAGATGTCCTATCAGCAATCAGATTACTTAATCTATCTGCCTTTGCAAGTACTTAACAACTGACAAGAAAGTGAAACATGGATCTGTCTCCATTTCTCAAATGCAGGAGGTAAATTATTATGATATTTTACACCATCATCTATTTGCTGCTACTACAATTAATGCATTAGTGCTTAACAAACTTAATACTTTTTATGAAATGAAAATCATAATATCAAAACCCCATCTTGCACAACTGTAGCCTTCACTCTTAACAGCCACAGGTCTTCTTTGATTTTCCCAAAAAGGCAAGCTCTATCCCCACTAAAGGTATTTACCTAGACTTTCTCCCAAATCTTAACAAGAAAAAATAATTCCTAATCACGCACCGGATCTCAGCTTAATGTTACTTCTCCAATGAGGTCCTCCCTGCTTGCTCATTCTAAAGTAGGTTGCTGCCTGGTTTTTTTTCCCCTCTCATACCAGTTGTCAACTTAGTGTGTTTATTTGTTTACTCTGTCTTTCACAATGTAAATCCCATGAGATAAAATATTCATGACTATTTTATCTACCAAGAGCAACACATATGTTAGGGGCTTAGTAAATATTTTTTGACTGAAAGTGAATGAATAAATGATGACTGAGTACTGAAGTAACATAAAGTCAGAGAACTATGAATAAATATGTATTATAATCTTCATAAAAAACTCTATAAGTGTAGGCAATTCGAATATAACTGAAACACTCTTCTGAGATTTTCTCAGGGAATATCATATGATACAACTGTCAAGTATAATAATTTTTTTCTATAAAAATCACCGCCAAATTTCAGTGCACTATCTAGGAAGTCAATCTGAATCTTAAGACAATTCAAACTGGAAAACAGGAAAGGAGTTCTCAAGTATAAAAGCCCTATTAAACAAAATTACTTTCATACATAGAGACTTAGTATCACTCATAATTTAAAAGAAATGTTTAATAAATGTGTACTAGATTAATAAATATTTAGTATTTCTGTATTTTCTCCACAATTTTAAGTGTAGAAAAGTCACATGAATTTACATATGATTCTTCAACACAATTATTGTTTTTATGAACTTTAAAGAAAAGTCAGGATATAGAATTTTTCCCAAAAAATTTATAATATTCTCCCAGAAGCAGCTTAGACTCATGTATAGAATGAAGAATATTCAATTAGGAGAATAAAGAATTCACAAACACCAATAAAAATAGCCCACAAATCACACAGACATTAATAATTAGTTCACTATATTGATTCATTTTGGAGGGTTTTTTTTTTTTTTTTAAGAAAAACATTTAGGTATGTGTGAACTCAGGAGTCATAACCTGCAATGAACCCAACTCTGTAACACAACACAGATACCACAGATGGACTGCAAAGGCCAGTCCTGAGGTTAGCTAGATCTGACATGGAAATTTTCAATTTTCTGAACCAATAAATTCTTTTGTTAACTTCTTTTTTGTTAGCCCAAGTTACATTAGATTTTTGACCCCTGAAATCAAAAGAGAATTAACCAATAACAAATACTAAGAACTCTTCACTCTTCACACTCTGAGTCATCACTTCCTTCTCCATTCCATCGCATAGGATGTTTTCAGAATGACAGTATTAAAATGAAAATGTGATTAGATCATTCACTCTACAGTTTCTCCTTGTTTACAAGATAAATATTAACCCTATAGCTTATCTCTGCTACCTTTACCTCCCCACCTACCATTCTAATTCATACACACTGTAAGCCAACAATTCTGAACATTTACCCATTCTCTGTGTCTGCAATCCCCTTCTCAGAGTCAGCTCCTCTGGAAAGGAGTTACCTTCCTCCTCAGGCAGCATTAATACTGGTACGATGTACTCCCAATGCATCTTGCTTCGATCTCACTGTATTGCAATTTCTGCTTTGCCAGGCTACCACCTACCCCTACTAGACTATAAACTGCTTCAGGTCAGAATTCCTCCATATTCCCAGTGAAAACACTGAACCTAACTCATCTTAGATGCTCAATAAATGTCTGCTAGATGAATGTACACTTTATCCAATGAACGTAGATTACATTCAATGCATGCACATAAGTTAGCCACTTTTTAAAATGAGTAATCCCTTTACAGCATGATTAATAAATACAATCTCTAAAATAATAGTTTATTAGTAAAAATGGCCTTATATAATTGATGGTTAAATACTTTTTGTATATAAATAAATGTGATCTCATTTTTAAAATGTCACATTTCACTCCCTGAAATAAAGACCTCAAATTGCTTTTTGTAATAATGTAAGGTTCAAAATACTCTCTAACATTTAAAAGGAAATCAGAATTTGAGGAAATAGTCATATAAAATCAGTGGTAATTGACAAACTGACTATATAATAATTTCACTGAGATGATTTCTGGTATTAAATGAATGAAAAAGATAATCGTAACACAGAAAGGTTATTCAAAAACTTGACTAAGAAAAAAAGTCACCAATAATTATTTTATTCAGGGAGTAAATGTTATTAATTGCCAAAATACGAATTTTAAATTTGAGAAGTACAGATTTGTAAGTATATATTTGTTTGAATAGTATCAGATTGGCCTTTTATTGGCTTATTGGTATTTAGTGCCAGCACTTACAATGTGAACTCAGCAACAGAAGATAATTCTTATGAAATCAACATTCAACTTACATGAAATAACTTAAAAACTTACCAACAATAGTCTAATGATTATATACCTTTACCAAACAATGTCTAATGAAAGTCCAAATGTAAAAATTTAAAAATTAAAATTATAGAATATAATTTTTACACATCAATTGTTTTGTAGCACCATCTCGCAAAGTAAATATCATGTTTATTCTGTAGCTAAAATTTCTCCCCACAAGCAGAAATTGTTTGGAATATACAAAAAGACAACCCATTAACAAGTAACTTTAAGTAATGTAGTTGGATGGTCATTATAATACAAATGGTGCTATAAATTTCCCTTTAAGTATTGTTTTAGCTACATCCCACAAATCTTGATGTGTTTTCATTTTCATTCAGTTCAGTTCAGTATTTCCTTAATTCTTCTTTTATTTCTTTCTTAACCTATGGGTTATTTAGAGGAGAGTCATTTAATTGACAAATATGTGGAGATTTTCTACAAGTCTTTCTGTTATAGATACCTAATTTAATTTCATTAAACTCAGATAATATTCTTTGTATGATACAGATGCCAGTTACACCAGATTCATAGGGTTGTTCAGGTCTTCTATGTCTGTATCTATTTCTGTCTACTCTGTCCATCAATTACTAAGAAGGAATATTTAAATCTCCAACAAAAACTGGATTTGTGTCTTGCTCCTTGAAGTTCTTTCAGATTTTGCTTCAAGTATTTTGATGCTGTTATTAGGTACATAAATGCTGGGTTTTATGCCTTCTTAATGAACTAACCCTTCTATCATTATGAGATAATCTCTTTTTTCCCTGGATATATACAATCATGATTGGATTTGAATCTACCCTTTTGCTACTTGTTTTCTACTGCTTTTATCTGCCCTCAGCCTCTTTTCTCTCTTTTTCTGCCTCCCTTGGATTAACTGCATATTTTATATTATTCCACTTTATCTGCTTTCTTGACTTATTAGCTATAATTCTTTTAACTGTTGTTTTAGTGGTTGGTTCACAGTTTATACCTTTAATTTATCATGAACTGTCTTCAGGTAATATTATACCACATCATATATAGTATAAGAAATTTACATCAGTATTCTTACATTTCCCCCTCTCCCAGCCTTTGCACTACTACTATTATAATTTTACTTCTATATATGTCACGAAGTCCACAATATATTTTTATTATTTTTTACTTAAACAGTCAAATAACTTTAAAAGAGTCTGTAAGGGGAGAAAATTACCATTTTCAGTGTTCTTTATTCCTTTATATAGTCCAGGTTTCTAACTGATAACATTTTTCTTCTGTCTGAAGAACTTTTTTTAGCATATCTTTCAGTACAGGTCTGCCAGTGACTAATTTTTTCATCTTTACTTCATCTAAACAAGTTTTTATTTCATCTTTATTTTTGAAAGATATTTTCACTAGGTATAAAATTCCACATTGATGGCCTTGGACAGTGGCTCACGCCTGTAATACCAGCACTTTGGGAGGCTGAGGCAGGCAGATCACCTGAGGTCAGGAGTTCAAGGCCAGCCTGACCAACATGGAGAAACCCAGTCTCTACTAAAAATACTAAATTAGCCGAGCGTGGTGGTGGGCACCTGTAATCCCCGCTACTCGGGAGGCTGAGACAGGAGAATCGCTTGAACTTGGGAAGTGGAGGTCGCGGTGAGCTGAGATCATGCCATTGCATTCCAGCCTGGGTAACAAGAGCGAAACTCCGTCTAAAAAAAAAAAAAAATTCCACATTGATAATTTCTCTCTTTCTATAGTTTAAAAATGTTATTCTACTGCCTCTGTGTTGCACTGTTTCCAAAGCAAAGACTCTTAACCATCTTTGTTACTCTGTACCTGATACGTCTCTTTTTTTTGGCCTTCTTTTAAGATTTTCTCATTATCACTGGTATTAGTTTGATTATAATATGCCTCTGTATCATCTTCTTGTGCTTGGGGTTTTTTTAGTTTCTTCTGAGTTTATAGTTTTTATCAATTTTCTTTCCCACCATTTTTTCAAATATTTCAGTCTAAAACTCTCCCACTTTCCTCCTCTTCAGCAACTTGAATAACATGAATACTGAGGCACTTGAAATTGTCCTACAGTTCACTGATTGTCTCTTTTTTAAATTAGCCATTATTCTCTCTGTGGTTCATTTTGGGTAGTTTCTATTGTTATGATGTCACCTCATTAATTTCTTTCTTTGTAGACTAAACTGTCACAGATCCATCCAGCAAATTTTTTTCATCTTAGGTCCTGTAACATTCATCTCTAGAATATAGATTTAAGTCTTTTTCACATCTTCCATTTCTGTGCTTAATGTCTTCAATCTTTCCTCTCCTTTTTTGAACAAATTAAATGTGACAATAACTATTTTAATGCTTTGTCTACTATTTCTCTCATTTGTGTTTTTTTTTAACTGATTGATGTTCTCCTCATTTTGTGTCATGGTTTCCTGTGTCTTTGCATTAAAAGTAATATTTTTACTAGCTTCCAAACATGATTTTCACCTTTTGGGGTGCTACATATTCTTGTGTCCTGAGGAACATCCTTGAGCTTTGTTTGAGAAAACAGTTAAGTTACTTGGGAACAGCAAATCCTATAGAAGTTGGCTTTTAAACTTTGTTAGGCAAAACTGGCACAGCCTTTAATCTAGGGGTGAATATGCTCCACTACTAGGCAATATTCTTCTGGTTATTCTATCTGATGCTTCGTGAATTATGAGGTTTTCCACTCTGGCTGATATGGGAACATGAATAATTCCCAGCCCTGTATAAATTCTGAAAACTATTCCCTGTGTTCTTTTGAGGTGATTATTTCTCCAGCTTTTTGTAGGTTCCCCACATACTGATGGGTCCTCAGCTGAGGGCTGTACGAGGACCTTCTGCATATCTATATAGTTTTCTCTCTGTGCATCTTCTCTCCAGTCAGTACTCTGTCCTGCAAACTCTAGCCACCTGGACTTCCCCAGACTCCCAACTCTGTCTCGTCAACCCTAGACTACCAACATTCACCTGGGTTCTCCTCCCTGTGCTGGGCCCTGGAAAAACCTCTCAAGGCAATCAGCTGGTACAATCAAAGGGCTTACCTCATTTGTTGCCATTCTTAAAGGATCACTGTCCTGAACTGTCTGATATTTAATGTCTGAAGACTCCCTTTCATACGGTGTATCTGGTCTTTTTTGTTTGTTTCTGGTAGGAAGGCAAATCATGTTCCTGTAACCCCATCTAGGCTGAAACATTCTAATACAATTAAATGGCCATTCTCTGGGAATAGAAAGTAAGAACTTACAACAGTGACGTTTCCATAACACGGAATATATAATAATTTTCAAATGGACAAAAAAGAACAAATAATACCCAAAAGAAGAAACTTAAATATCCTAGTTGATGGAATAAATATTTCCACACCCAGATATAATGTCTCACACATAGAAGGCTCAAAATAAATACTAAATTCATAATTCCTTGCTTTGAAGCTAATTAAAATTAGAAAAGATAATTCAGTAAAAGGAAGAAGAAAACAATGCTATCCTGTGCCTTAGATACTGAGTAATTAATTCAATTTGATGTCCTATAAGAATAATTCATAAAATTGTGTATTGTGTCCTGTTTTGATTTACTGGAAGATTACAAACTAGCATGCCATATTCACATGTATTTTACCTTCATCTGAAATAAGTTAAATAAGAATGATTTTATAATTTGTTTCTTTCAAAAAGTTATTTTTTGGCAATATTTAACATAGTATAACTAAGATAAACTATATATTACCTTGTTAATATTAATGGTTAATATTAATTTTAATAACCATATATTTAGGCAAGATTTAAAAACTACAAAATAGAAGAAATTAAGCAAAAATAATTTAAAATAAAGCATTACTATGACTATAATATTTACCTATAATCATAGAAATTACACCTTATAAATGTATATAATCTGTTTCTTTAAAAAAAAAAACTTTAGGACAATTTCTACCATCATTCGGAGGGTTCAATTAGTCCAATCTGCTGTTTAAGATCTAGAGGCTTTATTCAGAGAATAATGCAAGGTCAGTCACCTTAGCTCATGAGCTCTAAAGTAAAATAGCCTTCAAGATAAATAACACCTCTATAAATTACTTATGCTCCCTAAGCTTTACTTTCCTGATCTGTAAAATGGTGATAATGGTATCTATCCAATAAAGTAGCTGTAATAATAAAAGAATGCACAAAGAGCACCTAACATAGTATTTGGCACTAAGCTGGCTATTATTTTATTAAGTTTAATGTTATGCTGCCTAGAAGTAAAGCCCTTATGTGAAGAAGATGGACTCCAAAGCTGCATTGTCTTATATCCTATTCTCAAACATTAAGGTCAGTCTTCTGGTATGTCAAGCTGTAATTTCTGAGGCTGCCATTAGTATTGCTTATGGAAACATAAGACCAAGTAAGGACACATAAAGTTGGAGTAATCAGAAAACAATCCTGTACCATAAGGAAGAAGACAGGCTGGAAGTCTGGAAATAGATGATGTATTACAGGGTAGAGAAGGTGAAAAGCCAAGGATTCACCCTATGGAACCTGTAAGGTTTTAAATCTCGGCTCCACCAGTTTATTTATGTTTGACTTTGGGCAAGTTACTTGACCCTATCTGTAAAGTGAAGACAATAGTAATAATTACTACATATATTGTTAAGTTTCACTGACAATACGATGTATCACTCACTCACTAACTGTTAATATTATAAAAGCCAGGAAGATTGGAGAGTTACAAAAGCATCAAATACAAGGTTATAGAGATGGATTTTTTATTAAGGGAAGGAGCAGATTCCAGGGTCAATTTAATATAATTCTGTCTCTCTTTTAAGACCCAATCACAAATAATGAAAAAGAAAGGTTTTAGAGTGATAAAAGACCCCTCAAAAGGTAAAATATCCATGCATGAGGATAGCTGTTATGACATAAGCTGAAGTGAAAGCTGATCTAACACACACTTGTTACATAGAAAAATAGTTCTAATATTTTTTGATAATTTGGAATAGGGTGTGGAAAAGTAAAAGTTTTGCAGTCAGACAGACCTAGCTTGAGTAGCTTGAGTTCAATTTTGCCACTTAGTAGTTGTTTGACCTTGAATAAGTTCATTATATCCTCTGAACCCTAATTTTCACAACTGTAAGACAGGCATAACAACAACTGCCTTTCAGAATGATACTGAAAATTAAATGATAAAGTATGTAATGTTCTTGCCATAATTGCAATAATAGTAGCTTTCACTTTCACTATTTCACCAATAGTGAAAACCATTCCCAAAGAAACAGGAACCTTTCCAATATCTCTGCCCCACTCTGAATAGGACATTGTTTTTGTTGTAACAGACCATCTTTCTCATATGTAAATCTGAACTAATTCCAGGTCTCTGTCAATTTGAATAATGAGTTCAAATCCACATCCTGTTCAACATTAGTTAATTTGTTATCCAAACTATCGCTATGAGTAACTACTACTTTACTTTCCCTGAAATCACCTCTTTCTCTTATTTTCCTTACACATATGTCACATATAATATTCTTTATGATCAAGCCTCAAAAGCCAGCATTCCATCTCCTAGGCCCTAATTTCAACAAAGTCTATTCAAACGAATTAACAACAAACCATTGTTAATTTTCACAAACTTTCGATAAAATTTGAATTTAATGCTCTCATACTTAATGACAAGACAAAGATAAAATGTGCACGAATTATAAACACCTCCTTGGTTCAATCTATCATATTTACCAAAATTTGGAAAACAAAAATAACACTCTCTAAAGGCAAGGGTTCTTAATTTAGGTCTAGTTGATTATGATAGAAAACAGACAACCACATGATGCAGAATATCAACCTGATAAGACCAATTCTTTGTAATCTCTTTATCTCTGATGATCCTTTATGCAATCCAGAAAACTTAATCTTCTCCCACATTTTCAACTGCCTGTGTTTTACTGCCAACTCTGATCAATTTGGCAAAAAGATGAGAGCAGCAATCACTGGAAAAAATGTAGGGGGAAAAATGAGCCAAATCAACTGATTTTGTTTCAATAGACTATTTAATCTGCCCAATGAGCAAGCCTAAGTGTTCTTGCTAAAGGTAATTAAGTGGTATTTTGTAATTCCTGTTGTTCTTTTTAAAAGGTCTTGTTTTAAAAGTGTTTTAAAGGTGTTCTATAATGAAACACTTTTTGTCCTTAAGGAAACACCTTTTGTCCCTAAGGAATAAGGTAGAAATAGATGCTAAAGTAATAATTTGGCATTACCACCTTATTGTCACAATAATGGATGTTTTGACATTGACAATAGATTTCCTCATTTGTACAATCAAAATTCAATTTGAATAGAGTTTTAGTAGCAGCTCTTAAGGAAACAAAGGGTATCAATAATATAGAATGTTTCCTTAAGGATGTATAGCTACTGCTATGTTTCCATTTCTTCTAGTCAAAAATCAATGTCACACTAGGCTATAATGAATGGCTGCTTGCCAGCTGCACTTAAACTGACAGAAACTCATCATTCCTTTAAAAACTGTTCTTCTAAAAAGAGTAATTTAATAACTTGACTTATTTAAGTTTGATTCAGACATACAATCTAACCATGGCTTAGAAGGCATTTTACACATAAGAAAAAATAGGCTGTCTTTATTAGTGTTAGAGATGTTTACAACACAGTCAATTTTTAAAGGAAGAACAGAAACTGCAGTCAATTATTAGATACATATTCACACCTGTTGTCTGTCATGTTTCAAACCCCTTCGGTGTGAGATGTAGTCAAGGCAAATAAAACGAAGAAGAACCAGCTGCAAAAACTGATTTTGTTCTCATATGGTAATTAAAAGGAAAAAGTGTACCATGTGTTGTATCTACGACAGTCCCATTACTTCATGTTAGGGACAGTCCCATTTTCTTTTAACAGATTTTTGTTGCGGTCAAGTATGTTATAAAGGCTAGCACTTGTAGGTCTAGGCTATTGACCTAATTTATATTGGTAGTCTGCCCAATTACCTTTGCTAAATTTCTCCCTGAAGCATACTAGTCTGGTGTCAGAAAAATTAAACATTTTCATTTTCATTCCCACTCTAACCCCCATACTTAAGTCACACTTAATGTGATTTTTTTAACATCACACTAGACATCAGACCTAGTCAGGCCATGTCTTAGAAAGACAGGTGCTATAAACACCAAATGCTTTTAAAATGCAAACCACAGAGCATCTAAAACTACAGGTGGTACAGTTATAATAAATGAACACTCAGAACACATGTAAATGCTACACTGTCATGGCCGTATCCTTCTCGGAAAACCTTTAAGATAACAGTAACTTAGTTACTGTTCGAATGGTAAATATTGTATTATGTTTCAATTGTGCTTAATTTACGTTTAAATCTTACTTTCAAAAAACTATTAATTTAAAATGCTTCTGAATATTATCAATAAGATTACATATATTTAAAGCATCTGAAAATACACTCCAAGTCACTATGGATGTGACTCGTTTGAGGAATATATAATATAAAATAATTTGAAGTTAAAATAGATCTTTACCCAAAAAAGGTCACTTTAAAAACACATTCACCACTGTCTTCTATGTATTGAACATAAAGTATGATTTGCTTTGTAAAAATTTTATTCTTGTACAACAACAAGAAATACGCAAAGATGAAAATACATATGCTCTGGAACTAGACAGAGACAGATGCAAATTCTGGCTCTAGAGCTTACAAAAACAAGACCAAATAAAATGCTTAACAAAATTAATGCCAACCTAACCTACTTGGCAAGGACAACCCTACACATGAAATGATTCTTACTGATACAATGTAACTGCCACACAGAATTGTTTGACTCAAGAAAACAAAATGCAACTTGTTATGGCATTTGTAGTTAAGTACCAAGGGTCTAGCCAAATGTATATTGTGCTGTAACTTTTATACATAAGTATAAATTGTATATATATATTATATAAGTATAAAGTGTGTATATATATTTTATATATACACTTTTCCACCAAGGAAGAAATTACCAGATTTTCTCTGTCTCTGGATGATTTATAGAACTGAGTAACTTGAAACAAAATGAAGTAAATACATTACAGTGGGAAAAAAAAGTTTTTACAGTCAATGAAAAGAGATATTTGCAGGTATTGCTACGGTATTTGCAGCCTGTAGCAAAACATGTTGTTAAAGTTTAAAATGTCCTAACATTATACGTGAAAAATATGATTCACCTGACCCAACCATGGAAAATGCCTTTAACCAATATGTGAAATAGGTTTTCTTTCTAGATTATGAAGAATTATTCACTGAGTTTTGCATCATAGAAGTGATTTTTTTAATGAAGGTTAAAATGAAAACAATAATTCAGAAAATAGAATATTAGTTTCCCTTACCATAAACTTTTCCTGAATATGCTTTAGGAAAATAGAGATAGCAAAAACAAAGCAGAACAAGGACAGGTGTGTGTTGCTCAGTGATCAGTCAGTTCAGTCATAAATCAGTCCCTTTTAGACGCCGATTTTAATGTAAAGCAGAAGTATATCAGCTAGGAGAAAATCCAATCTCTTCCAACGTTATTTATGACAAAGCACTCCTAACTGAAGTCCAATTTGTTTGTGGAATTGCAGTCATTTTGATTCAACTAAACAATAAATGAATCTGCCTTTCATAGCTCCAACTCCAGAGCACAAAAGAGAACTACATCACAACACTTCACGATCCAGGGGCGCAGTTAAAGGAACAGTGGGAAAGCAGTTTTTGGAGTGGGGAAAAAAATCCAATGAGCTACAAAATACAATTCATTCACCTGAACCACCCACGTACTTTTTGCATCGGCTGTATTTCACCTAGTGAGCTATTCATAGCACACAAACGAGCTTGCTGGGAGCTTTATTACAATCCTTCTTCATTCTGAAGGCCTCGTGCATCACTGAATGCTGGACATCTCAGATGACCACTCTAAATACTCCTCCAATTCAACCAAAGCCTATGGCACAACTAGATCATGATAATGATTAAAAAAGAGAAATTCTGGGAGGCTAAAAACACAAACAACAGAGAATTTGTCTATAAATTTATAAATATTCCTCAACTAATTAAGATTTTGGACTCCGACATACTATTTTCTTTCATAATGACTCTATTTAGAAACAATTATTGTCCAATTGTTCTCTAACTCACTGGTATTTCTTAATTTGTTACATTTACTAAGTTGTATTTTACCAGGGAAGAAAAAGGAGATCTTAAAATATTTTTTTCTGTCATATCACAAATCTCTTTTTGTGCACTTTTCTTGTGAACCACATGTCTGAAGGTGAAAAATATTGTTACTAAAACAAAATTCTTATTATTTTTATGCCAACTAAAGAGTAGTTGTTTTGAGAAGAAACAACAGGAATTTTTAAATGTATGGCATGACGTTGCCTTGCTCACCAGCCATTCAATCATTCCCAAGATACATATTCTGAATGTGAAGTATTTATTATATATTGAATTATAAAATATTTATTATGCTAAAAGAGTTCTCAATAAATACTAATTCTCTATCTAAAACTCTTGTAGAATTAAAAACTATGACATAACTGAGGCATGTTGACAGGAATGTACACAGTACTAGTAAATTCCCAAGCTGTTGAAATTTTATATTCTTGCATGGACTAGTAATTTCCACAATAGGTTTTCCAGTCCTTCATGTTTTACATATATAATTTTAAAAGTTATATGCTTATAGAAGTAAAGTGTTCAACTCTATATTTCTTGTTGCTTTATTTTTTTTTTTTTTATTATACTCTAAGTTTTAGGGTACATGTGCACATTGTGCAGGTTAGTTACATATGTATACATGTGCCATGCTGGTGCGCTGCACCCACTAATGTGTCATCTAGCATTAGGTATATCTCCCAATGCTATCCCTCCCCCCTCCCCCGACCCCACCACAGTCCCCAGAGTGTGATATTCCCCTTCCTGTGTCCATGTGATCTCATTGTTCAATTCCCACCTATGAGTGAGAATATGCGGTGTTTGGTTTTTTGTTCTTGCGATAGTTTACTGAGAATGATGGTTTCCAATTTCATCCATGTCCCTACAAAGGATATGAACTCATCATTTTTTATGGCTGCATAGTATTCCATGGTGTATATGTGCCACATTTTCTTAATCCAGTCTATCATTGTTGGACATTTGGGTTGGTTCCAAGTCTTTGCTATTGTGAATAGTGCCGCAATAAACATACGTGTGCATGTGTCTTTATAGCAGCATGATTTATACTCATTTGGGTATATACCCAGTAATGGGATGGCTGGGTCAAATGGTATTTCTAGTTCTAGATCCCTGAGGAATCGCCACACTGACTTCCACAATGGTTGAACTAGTTTACAGTCCCACCAACAGTGTAAAAGTGTTCCTATTTCTCCACATCCTCTCCAGCACCTGTTGTTTCCTGACTTTTTAATGATTGCCATTCTAACTGGTGTGAGATGATATCTCATAGTGGTTTTGATTTGCATTTCTCTGATGGCCAGTGATGATGAGCATTTCTTCATGTGTTTTTTGGCTGCATAAATGTCTTCTTTTGAGAAGTGTCTGTTCATGTCCTTCGCCCACTTTTTGATGGGGTTGTTTGTTTTTTTCTTGTAAATTTGTTTGAGTTCATTGTAGATTCTGGATATTAGCCCTTTGTCAGATGAGTAGGTTGCGAAAATTTTCTCCCATGTTGTAGGTTGCCTGTTCACTCTGATGGTAGTTTCTTTTGCTGTGCAGAAGCTCTTTAGTTTAATTAGATCCCATTTGTCAATTTTGGCTTTTGTTGCCATTGCTTTTGGTGTTTTGGACATGAAGTCCTTGCCCACGCCTATGTCCTGAATGGTAATGCCTAGGTTTTCTTCTAGGGTTTTTATGGTTTTAGGTTTAACGTTTAAATCTTTAATCCATCTTGAATTGATTTTTGTGTAAGGTGTAAGGAAAGGATCCAGTTTCAGCTTTCTACATATGGCTAGCCAGTTTTCCCAGCACCGTTTATTAAATAGGGAATCCTTTCCCCATTGCTTGTTTTTCTCAGGTTTGTCAAAGATCAGATAGTTGTAGATATGCGGCATTATTTCTGAGGGCTCTGTTCTGTTCCATTGATCTATATCTCTGTTTTGGTACCAGTACCATGCTGTTTTGGTTACTGTAGCCTTGTAGTATAGTTTGAAGTCAGGTAGTGTGATGCCTCCAGCTTTGTTCTTTTGGCTTAGGATTGACTTGGCAATGCGGGCTCTTTTTTGGTTCCATATGAACTTTAAAGTAGTTTTTTCCAATTCTGTGAAGAAAGTCATTGGTAGCTTGATGGGGATGGCATTGAATCTGTAAATTACCTTGGGCAGTATGGCCATTTTCACGATATTGATTCTTCCTACCCATGAGCATGGAATGTTCTTCCATTTGTTTGTGTCCTCTTTTATTTCCTTGAGCAGTGGTTTGTAGTTCTCCTTGAAGAGGTGCTTCACATCCCTTGTAAGTTGGATTCCTAGGTATTTTATTCTCTTTGAAGCAATTGTGAATGGGAGTTCACCCATGATTTGGCTCTCTGTTTGTCTGTTGTTGGTGTATAAGAATGCTTGTGATTTTTGTACATTGATTTTGTATCCTGAGACTTTGCTGAAGTTGCTTATCAGCTTAAGGAGATTTTGGGCTGAGACGATGGGGTTTTCTAGATAAACAATCATGTCGTCTGCAAACAGGGACAATTTGACTTCCTCTTTTCCTAATTGAATACCCTTTATTTCCTTCTCCTGCCTGATTGCCCTGGCCAGAACTTCCAACACTATGTTGAATAGGAGTGGTGAGAGAGGGCATCCCTGTCTTGTGCCGGTTTTCAAAGGGAATGCTTCCAGTTTTTGCCCATTCAGTATGATATTGGCTGTGGGTTTGTCATAGATAGCTCTTATTATTTTGAAATACGTCCCATCAATACCTAATTTATTGAGAGTTTTTAGCATGAAGGGTTGTTGAATTTTGTCAAAGGCTTTTTCTGCATCTATTGAGATAATCATGTGGTTTTTGTCTTTGGCTCTGTTTATATGCTGGATTACATTTATTGATTTGCGTATATTGAACCAGCCTTGCATCCCAGGGATGAAGCCCACTTGATCATGGTGGATAAGCTTTTTGATGTGCTGCTGGATTCGGTTTGCCAGTATTTTATTGAGGATTTTTGCATCAATGTTCATCAAGGATATTGGTCTAAAATTCTCTTTTTTTGTTGTGTCTCTGCCCGGCTTTGGTATCAGAATGATGCTGGCCTCATAAAATGAGATAGGGAGGATTCCCTCTTTTTCTATTGATTGGAATAGTTTCAGAAGGAATGGTACCAGTTCCTCCATGTACCTCTGGTAGAATTCGGCTGTGAATCCATCTGGTCCTGGACTCTTTTTGGTTGGTAAACTATTGATTATTGCCACAATTTCAGAGCCTGTTATTGGTCTATTCAGAGATTCAACTTCTTCCCGGTTTAGTCTTGGGAGAGTGTATGTGTCGAGGAATGTATCCATTTCTTCTAGATTTTCTAGTTTATTTGCGTAGAGGTGTTTGTAGTATTCTCTGATGGTAGTTTGTATTTCTGTGGGATCGGTGGTGATATCCCCTTTATCATTTTTTATTGTGTCTATTTGATTCTTCTCTCTTTTTTTCTTTATTAGTCTTGCTAGCGGTCTATCAATTTTGTTGATCCTTTCAAAAAACCAGCTCCTGGATTCATTGATTTTTTGAAGGGTTTTTTGTGTCTCTATTTCCTTCAGTTCTGCTCTGATTTTAGTTATTTCTTGCCTTCTGCTAGCTTTTGAATGTGTTTGCTCTTGCTTTTCTAGTTCTTTTAATTGTGATGTTAGGGTGTCAATTTTGGATCTTTCCTGCTTTCTCTTGTAGGCATTTAGTGCTATAAATTTCCCTCTACACACTGCTTTGAATGCGTCCCAGAGATTCTGGTATGTGGTGTCTTTGTTCTCGTTGGTTTCAAAGAACATCTTTATTTCTGCCTTCATTTCGTTATGTACCCAGTAGTCATTCAGGAGCAGGTTGTTCAGTTTCCATGTAGTTGAGCGGCTTTGAGTGAGATTCTTAATCCTGAGTTCTAGTTTGATTGCACTGTGGTCTGAGAGATAGTTTGTTATAATTTCTGTTCTTTTACATTTGCTGAGGAGAGCTTTACTTCCAACTATGTGGTCAATTTTGGAATAGGTGTGGTGTGGTGCTGAAAAAAATGTATATTCTGTTGATTTGGGGTGGAGAGTTCTGTAGATGTCTATTAGGTCTGCTTGGTGCAGAGCTGAGTTCAATTCCTGGGTATCCTTGTTGACTTTCTGTCTCGTTGATCTGTCTAATGTTGACAGTGGGGTGTTAAAGTCTCCCATTATTAATGTGTGGGAGTCTAAGTCTCTTTGTAGGTCACTCAGGACTTGCTTTATGAATCTGGGTGCTCCTGTATTGGGTGCATAAATATTTAGGATAGTTAGCTCCTCTTGTTGAATTGATCCCTTTACCATTATGTAATGGCCTTCTTTGTCTCTTTTGATCTTTGTTGGTTTAAAGTCTGTTTTATCAGAGACTAGGATTGCAACCCCTGCCTTTTTTTGTTTTCCATTGGCTTGGTAGATCTTCCTCCATCCTTTTATTTTGAGCCTATGTGTGTCTCTGCACGTGAGATGGATTTCCTGAATACAGCACACTGATGGGTCTTGACTCTTTATCCAACTTGCCAGTCTGTGTCTTTTAATTGCAGAATTTAGTCCATTTATATTTAAAGTTAATATTGTTATGTGTGAATTTGATCCTGTCATTATGATGTTAGCTGGTGATTTTGCTCATTAGTTGATGCAGTTTCTTCCTAGTCTCGATGGTCTTTACATTTTGGCATGATTTTGCAGCGGCTGGTACCGGTTGTTCCTTTCCATGTTTAGCGCTTCCTTCAGGAGCTCTTTTAGGGCAGGCCTGGTGGTGACAAAATCTCTCAACATTTGCTTGTCTATAAAGTATTTTATTTCTCCTTCACTTATGAAGCTTAGTTTGGCTGGATATGAAATTCTGGGTTGAAAATTCTTTTCTTTAAGAATGTTGAATATTGGCCCCCACTCTCTTCTGGCTTGTAGGGTTTCTGCCGAGAGATCCGCTGTTAGTCTGATGGGCTTTCCTTTGAGGGTAACCCGACCTTTCTCTCTGGCTGCCCTTAACATTTTTTCCTTCATTTCAACTTTGGTGAATCTGACAATTATGTGTCTTGGAGTTGCTCTTCTCGAGGAGTATCTTTGTGGTGTTCTCTGTATTTCCTGAATCTGAACGTTGGCCTGCCTTGCTAGATTGGGGAAGTTCTCCTGGATAATATCCTGCAGAGTGTTTTCCAACTTGGTTCCATTCTCCACATCACTTTCAGGTACACCAATCAGACGTAGATTTGGTCTTTTCACATAGTCCCATATTTCTTGGAGGCTTTGCTCATTTCTTTTTATTCTTTTTTCTCTAAACTTCCCTTCTCGCTTCATTTCATTCATTTCATCTTCCATTGCTGATACCCTTTCTTCCAGTTGATCGCATCGGCTCCTGAGGCTTCTGCATTCTTCACGTAGTTCTCGAGCCTTGGTTTTCAGCTCCATCAGCTCCTTTAAGCACTTCTCTGTATTGGTTATTCTAGTTATACATTCTTCTAAATTTTTTTCAAAGTTTTCAACTTCTTTGCCTTTGGTTTGAATGTCCTCCCGTAGCTCAGAGTAATTTGATCGTCTGAAGCCTTCTTCTCTCAGCTCGTCAAAATCATTCTCCATCCAGCTTTGTTCTGTTGCTGGTGAGGAACTGCGTTCCTTTGGAGGAGGAGAGGCGCTCTGCGTTTTAGAGTTTCCAGTTTTTCTGTTCTGTTTTTTCCCCATCTTTGTGGTTTTATCTACTTTTGGTCTTTGATGATGGTGATGTACAGATGGGTTTTCGGTGTAGATGTCCTTTCTGGTTGTTAGTTTTCCTTCTAACAGACAGGACCCTCAGCTGCAGGTCTGTTGGAATACCCTGCCGTGTGAGATGTCAGTGTGCCCCTGCTGGGGGGTGCCTCCCAGTTAGGCTGCTCGGGGGTCAGGAGTCAGGGACCCACTTGAGGAGGCAGTCTGCCCGTTCTCAGATCTCCAGCTGCGTGCTGGGAGAACCACTGCTCTCTTCAAAGCTGTCAGACAGGGACACTTAAGTCTGCAGAGGTTACTGCTGTCTTTTTGTTTGTCTGTGCCCTGCCCCCAGAGGTGGAGCCTACAGAGGCAGGCAGGCCTCCTTGAGCTGTGGTGGGCTCCACCCAGTTCGAGCTTCCCGGCTGCTTTGTTTACCTAAGCAAGCCTGGGCAATGGCGGGTGCCCCTCCCCCAGCCTCGTTGCCGCCTTGCAGTTTGATCTCAGACTGCTGTGCTAGCAATCAGCGAGATTCCGTGGGCGTAGGACCCTCCGAGCCAGGTGTGGGATATAGTCTCGTGGTGCGCCGTTTCTTAAGCCGGTCTGAAAAGCGCAATATTCGGGTGGGAGTGACCCGATTTTCCAGGTGCATCCATCACCCCTTTCTTTGACTCGGAAAGGGAACTCCCTGACCCCTTGCGCTTCCCAGGTGAGGCAATGCCTCGCCCTGCTTCGGCTCGCGCACGGTGCGCACACACACTGGCCTGCGCCCACTGTCTGGCACTCCCTAGTGAGATGAACCCGGTACCTCAGATGGAAATGCAGAAATCACCGTCTTCTGCGTCGCTCACGCTGGGAGCTGTAGACCGGAGCTGTTCCTATTCGGCCATCTTGGCTCCTCCCCCTCTTGTTGCTTTAACTAAATATTTACAAACTGCTTATAAGGAAAGAAAACTATCCATTTAGAAGAGAAAGTCATATTTGTAATTCATCACATAAACAGAACTAAAGGCAAAAAACACATGATTATCTCAACAGACCCAGAAAAGGCCTTTGGTAAAATTCAACATCCCTTCATGTTAAAAACTCTCAATAAACTAGGTATTGAAAGAGCATACCTCAAAATAACCAGAGCCATATATGATAAATCCACAGCCAATATGATACTGAATGGGCAAAAGTTAGAAGCATTTCCTTTGAAAACAAGACAAGGATGACCTCTTTCAACATTCCCGTTCAACACAGTATTGGAAGTTCTGGCCAGGGCAATCAGGCAAGAGAAAGAAATAAAGGATATTCAAACAGGAAGAGAAGAAGTCAAATTATCTTTGTTTGCAGATGACATAATCCTGTATCTAGAAAACCCCACCGTCTCAGCCCAAAAGCTCCTTAAGCTGATAAGCAATTTCAGCAAAGTCTCAGGATACAAAATCAATGTGCAAAAATCGCTAACGTTCCTATACACCAACAACAGAAAAGCGGAGTGGTGAATTATGAATGAACTCCCATTCACAATTCCTACAAAGAGAATAAAATACCTAGGAATACAGCTAACAAGAAAAGTGAAGGACCTCTTCAAGGAGAACTACAAACCACTGCTCCAAGAAATCAAAGGACACAAATAAATGGAAAAACATTCCATGCTCATGGATAGGAAGAATCAATACCAAGAAAATGGCCATACTCCCCAAAGTAATTTATAGATTCAATGTTGTTCCCACTAAACGACCATTGACGTTTTTCACAGAATTAGAAGAAACTATTTTAAAATTCATATGAAACCCAAAAGGAGCCTGAATAGCCACAACAATCCTAAGCAAAAAGAACAAAGCTGGAGGTATCACACTACCTGACTTCAAACTATACAAGGCTACACAGTAACCAAAACGGCATGATACTGGTACAAAAACAGAGACATAGACCAATGGAACAGAATAGGGAACTCACAAATAAGACTGCACGTCTACAACCATCTGATTTTTTACAAACCTGACAAAAACAAGCAATGGGGAAAGGATTCCCTATTTAATAAATGGTGCTGGGAAAACTGGCTAGCCATATGCAGAAAATTAAAACTGGACCCCTTCCTTATACCTTATACAAAAGGTAACTCAAGATGGATTAAAGACTTAAATGTAAAACCCAAAATTATAAAAACCCTAGAAGAAAATCTAGGCTATTATCATTCAGGACATAGGCAAAGGCAAAGAGTTTATGACAAAAACACCAAAAGCCACAGCAACAAAAGCATAAATTGACAAATGGGATCTAATCATCTACAGAACTTCTGCATAGCAAAAGAAACTATTATCAGACTGAACAGACAACCTATAGAATGAGAGAAAATTTCTGCAATCTATCCATCCGACAAAGGTCTAATATTCAGAGTCTACAAGAAACAAACAAATTTACAGGAAACAAACAACCCCATTTAAAAGTTGGCAAAGGACATGAACAGACACTTCTCAAAAGAAGACATTCATAGAGCCAGTAAACATATGAAAAAAGCTCAACATCACTCATCATTAGAGAAATAAAAATCAAAATCACAATGAGATACCATCTTACTCCAGTCAGAATGGTGATTATTAAAAAGTCAAGAAACAACAAATGATGGCCAGATTGCAGAGAAAACACTTTTACACTGTTTATGGGGGTGTAAATTATTTCAACCATTGTGAAAAATAGTGTGGCAATTCCTCAAAGACCTAGAGGCAGAAATACCATTTGTACCATTTGACCCAGCAATCCCATTACTGGGTATATACCCAAAGGATTATAAATCATTCTATTATAAAGATACTTGCGCACATATGTTCCATGCAGCACTATTCACAACAGCAAAAACATGGCATCAGCCCAAATGCCCATCAATGACAGACTGGATAAAGAAAATGTGGTACATGGAATACTATGCAGCCATAAAAAGGAAAAACATAATTTCCTTTGCAGGGACATGGATGGAGCTGGAAGCAGTTATCCTTAGCAAACTAACACAGGAACAGAAAACCAAACACCACGTGTTCTTATTTATAAATGGGAGCTGAATGATGAGAACACATGAACACAGGGAGGGGAATACCACGAACTGGGGCCCATTGATGAGGATGGGGGAGGGAGAGTATCAGAAGAATAGCTAATGGATGCTGGGCCTAATACCTGGGTGATGGGTTTATCTGTGCAGCAAACCATCATGGCACACATTTATCTATGTAACAAACTGCACACCCCCCAGAACTAAAAATAAAAGTTGAGGGGGAAAAAAACATAATGTCATTGTGTCACCTCTATCTTCACGAGTTTTATTCCCTAATATTAAACTTGTCTAAAGGTTTACCTAATAAACTCTCTCCTGAAAAAAAATTCTCATGTCACTGAAAATTGACATGAACAGAAAAAAAGAAACAGATTTTGCTTTAACCAAGTAAAAAGAAAGCATTTCTCTGAATATTACCAAATCATCACTTCTCAAAATAGGTCATTTGGGAGCATAAAAAAAAAAAAGTCCCCTTCTTTTCAAAGTTCACATGCAGGATACCTTCCCTTTTGAGTGATTTCAAATGATGCATGGAGTATTCAGCTGATGGTATGTATGAAATGTAGGCATCATCAACCAACAAGCGGAAACAAACTCAAAGTGTATGTACGTAGCATGCACATGCAAGCACCCACACAAATGTTTAAGTGTGTATTGGAGTAATCTATTAGAAATATGCCAATGGAAAAAGTTCTGAATTAGGCAGTATAAAACGAGACCTGGAAAATGGATTCAACAGATACAAATTATTATGGCAGATAAACAAGTACCCTAAATATTGTCATAAGTATAATTTAAATAGCTGTCATATGATTGGAGAAGAGAAAGTCTACTGGACAATGTGATTGGAAAAAGGAAATGTGACAAGGAATAATTTGGAATGGGAAGCAGAGGAGAAAAAGAATACCAGCCTCTGATGAATAATACGTGGCTCCAAGACTGCATTAGGTTTGAAGCCAACACTAAATCGGGGTCCTTGAGCATTTAAATTAAAATTCTATTTTTGAGAACTTGTGAAGAATCTACTTAAGGTTAGTAACACTGGCATAATATGCAAATAATTATGCAAACATATCTTTTGATATTGTTTCAGAGGCATGAACTTGATTTTCAAGACCCAAACATTAGAAAATGACATTTTCTATTGCATATTCTAAAACCTTAGAGTTTTACTCAACATTACATTTAAAAGTTACATGGTTCCAAAACTGACAATGTCATTTATAAGAGTAATGTAATTTATAAGAACTATGACTCTGTTTGTATCTATATCAAATTATTTGTTTAAAAGTAAAAATGGCATTAGAGTTATAAAATGTTCATAGATTTTACCAATATTGCCTACGCTTCTTCTAATTTCTACAAGTGTTTCCAACTTTATCATAAATATAAAATATGGTGAGAAATGAAATATGGAAAAGACTTATTGTAAGCCAATAAAATTTAACATGATAAAGGTCTCACCTGGAGTATTTAAGGGGGAGAACATCTGTTATTCCTCCATTAAAATTAAATATTTCTCCAAACACAAACTACTAAAACTTCAGTGTTATCAGAGAATTATATCAATGATGAACACAAAAAATGTCCATAATGGCTATTTACTGGGTGAATACTCACAGGTGCAGTGTTAAGTGTACAGCAGAGCAAAAGACAGTAGCTGCCAGGACTCAAGGAGCTGACATTTGGGAGGGATGTGCATGCCTCAGAAGAGTGAGCATTAGGGAGGGCTGTCAGGGAAGAGGTAGAGGATCTGTAAACCAGACAAACCAGGGTGGGAAGGAATTTCAGGTAACATGACATACAAGGCTCAGAGGTGAAAGGAGGCTGCATATGATTCTATTTGGCTGTGAAGACTGCCAGAAAATAAAAGTCTTGAGAGGGAGGCAAGGCTGAGCTCATGAAAAGTAACACCAATGGTCTGAGGAGGAAATTCCTCTAAGTGTTTTAATCAGGAGAGTATAAGGTGTGTGTTGCAGAAAGAACATGCAAACTAATTGAGGTCAAGATTTGCTACCAAATCACAAAATATGTATCAATATGTGTTAAGGCTCTCAAAGACTGCCACATAGAACTTGATCTAAAGTCAGAGAATTATTTAGGCCAAAGTCAAACGCCTACAAAAAGCCAGGCAAGTAATGAAAGTAACTGAAGAGCCCCAGAAAACCATGGCCAGGAAGAGGTGTGAGGCCAGCGTGGCATGATCTAACATTTAAACAAATCCAGATATCAGAATTCTTAGGTGAAACATACTGATTGTTCAATAACGACAACTATATAAATGTGCTTTTTCAAAGCACTGAAGTGCCAAACATAATATTTATGGAAATTATCTAACTCCACATAGTGCAAGGCCATTTAAAACCAATTCACTAAGAAATAAAATTTGTGCATCAAGTTACCTCTTATTTGAGCTAAGCATTTTTTTCCCCAAAACACCCTCGCTGAATGAGATTTCTGAGTGATAAAGGCTTTAAAAACTCTGCTTTGGTGGCTATGAATGATAGAGAAAAGACTTAAAATGTAAAGTTGCTTGTCTGTTTCTTGTCTTTTGTTTTGTTTTGTTTTGTTTTGTTCTTACTGATTTCAAAGTAAAATGAATGATCCTAAGCACTCTGGAATGATCCTAAAAACTCTGGAATGATCCTAAAAGTCTTTGAATATATGCAAATCTGCAAAGGGGAAAGTTTACAAATATGAGCAATAACAAATATGGAACATTTTTGTTTTCACCTATCAATCTCTCATCTGTTAAACAGAAATGAACACAAAAATGCTATTTCATGGATGAAAACTCTCTGAAATAGGATATTTCGCTACCTAATATTGTACTCAAAGTGCTGTTTTAAATCTGGGGCAGACTGTCAGAATATCTGATACCTAGTTTATTGGGTAATTGATGAACCCAATGTATTAACATTTTATAAGTAAAAAGAAAAAAATCAAGTCACATATATGTGCTTATTTAGCATGTATAGTTGTCCCTCTGTATACATGAGAGATTGGTTCCAGGACCACCCACATATAACTAAATCTGCACAACATAAGTCCCAGAGTCGTCCTGCAGAACCCTCATATAAAAAAAGTCAGCCCTCTGTAACACAAGTTTTGTATCCCTCAAATCCATGTCTAGTTGAAAACAAAGCCACATATAACTGTGCAGTTCCAACCTGTGTTGTTCAAAGGTCAACTGTATATTGTTTCTGGGAAAAATCTTCAGCTCTTTATCAACATTAACTTTTGCATAGCAAACATATATGTAACTCTCAAATGTAATTAACATAATGCAGAAAAATGTTTAATTATCCACGATCCTATAACCAAATATAACTACTTTAAATTTTTAATCTATAATCTACATGAATACATCAAGGTTTTCTATACTGATGAAACTGCCAGTTAAATAGCAATTCCACCTCCACCCCAATCCCACTATTTTAACAACCCCCACCGATACATATTTTAAAGCATATCTTCCCACAGAAATCAAACTGTGCACCAATCCTTGGAGACAAATATCTCTTCTAAGAATGACTGCAAATATCATAATTAAAGAAAACTAACAAACTTGAAGTTCAAATTGAATGTGTTCTTTTCCATGAGGATAGAATGCATTCTCAAATACATCACAAGCACAACATTGACAGCTGCAATTTGAAAATTTCACAGTATAAAATATGTGAAACAAAAGAATGGTGGGAGAGGTAGTGAGAGAAAGGAGGGTGATGATCATCCATTTTACAAAAACATGCTCCACTTAAAATGATTCATTATAGTATTTTTTTTTACAGAGAAGCTCCACCTAGTAACAAGTGGAAGTTTTTGTTAATTATACACTATAATAAGAGAATGAATTAGACTATAATTATTATAGTTTAAAATTTTAAACTTTCATATGCATGTATCATTTTACCCTAATAAAATCCTGTAAGTTACACATTATGTCACAAGTTTACAGAAGAGGAAAATGAAGTTCAGGAAAGGTGACTGGGCCATCCAGGATCTGAAAGATAAAAGAGCTAGGGATAGATGAGTCAGGACTTGAACTGAGGTCTACTCTTTCCAAATCTCATGCTTTAGTTAACACAAGCTTTCTTGGAACACTCAGAGTACAGTGTCCTTTAATAACTATTGTCCAAACCAAAAGCTTTATAATTCTTTCCAAGAAAAGGTTATCTATCTATACAATGCTTCTAACCAGATAATAACTCCCACATAGTAGTTTTGTCTGTATTCTATTGTTCAAAGCTGTAATTACCAAGGAATGTTTCTGGAAACAACAAATGCTTTTTAAAAAACTTTTCAAAGATATTTAATGAGCAGTTTATTCCAAACAATAAATCATAATTATCTCTCAAAAAATTAAAATGAAGCATAGAGATTTATACTATACATTGTATATTATTTCTTTGGGAAGTATTTTTATTTAAAACAAAAGATTAGTTGTTTGATTTAGATAGTATTCTAGCAAGCCCATTTTAAAAAAATGTTCTTTTTCCTTGTTTTAAAGTGCTATGCTAATTAGGTTTATTCATACAAAAACATTTATTTACCAAAGTTACACAGTTACAAAATGGCATACATAAAGGTTAAACTTTGTTTTGCTTTTAAACCAAACAGATTTCAAGTTCTAGATCTGCAAATGATGTACATATGAACTATAACAATTTTTTATTTGAAAAATAATGTTTAAATCTAACATTATTTTCTACATATAACACTGATAACTGTGGTTCACTGTGTAAGATAATACATGTCATTTTCTTCTTCTAATTCAATTTGGAAACCAACTCCAAATGAATAGAATATGTCAGTGAAATATCTCATTGAAGAAGGATTAACACAGTAAACTGTACTCCACATTTACAAATAAGCAGTTTCATTGTTAAAAGATGCTTGCAGCTTCTCATTCTCACCACAGATTTTCACTATATGTCCATTGTTCATAGAGGACCATGCTGCCTAGAGAGAAAAGTTCTTTTAAATCGAGTAAAAGGGTTTTTCTGTACCACAGGATAATCATAAGATTGAGTACCCCAAAGGGAATCAAGGTGGCTCTTCAATAATTTAACTCTCTGCCCTGAACTGACACATTAAATTA